>NC_000009.12:130731095-131044913 GCF_000001405.40 Homo sapiens
TCCCAGGTTCAAGAGATTCTCCTGCCTCAGTCCCCCGAGTAGCTGGGATTACAGGCGCCCACCACCATGCCCAGCTAGTTTTTGTGTTTTTAATAGAGAAGGGGTTTCACCATGTTGGCCAGGCTGGTTTTGAACTCCTAACCTCAGGTGATCCACCCACCTTGGCCTCCCAAAGTGCTGGGGTTACAGACGTGAGCCACTGCGTCCGGCTGCTTTTTCACTCTCTTAATGGTGTCTTTGATAAACCTTAATTTTGACTTAGTCTAATTTAATCTTTTATGGTTAGTACTTTTTTTGTGGTCTGTGTAAGAAATCTTTGTGTCTACCCTAAGGTCACAAAGAAGTTTCACTCTCTTACATCTCATGTTTATAGTTGGCCTGGAATTGTTTTTTCTGTGTAGGGGCGAAGGTTCATTTTTTCCCTCATATTGACCTAGCTGTTTAATTGAAAAGAACATCTGCTGCTGTGTAAATCAGGTATACATGTACGTGTGGATCTGCTGGGGAACTCCTTCCTGTTAATTTGTTTGTCTTTCCTTGCACCAGTATTACAATGTATTACTGTAGCTTTAAAATAAATCTTAATGCCTGGTAGAATAAGGCCTCCTGTTTTGTTCTTCAATATTGTCTTGGCTTGCTCCTTTGTATTTCCATATACATTTTAGAGTGGGTTTTATCAGCTTCCATACCCAAACAGAAATACCCTTAAGGATTTTCTTCTCTGATTGCACTAAATCTATAGGTTTCTTTGATCCTAGAAATGAATAATAGAATATAAAGAATTCTTATTGATGAAAGAAAGCTATTTCAGGAAACTTTTTTTTTTCTGTTAATGATAAAGGCTAAATGATTCCTGTCAATTGTTTCAAATTTTCAACTTTCAAAATACCTGCTGCTTCTTTCCAATTCACCTTTCTCTATTCTTTTTTTTTTTCCAATTGTATTTTTCTTTGACACTCAGTACTTGTCCCTTGATAGTGGAGACCATGTTTATACATTTTCATGGATCGAACAGTATTTTTTTTTAACAGACTAGCTACTTAGTGAATACGCAGTTGAATCTACTTGTTTGGCAGGTTCAGGCATTGAACAAGTACTAAGTGCCTGTTCTGTATCAGGTACTGTGTCAGTCTGGGGTAAGAGAGCCAGGAACAACATAGCCAACAAAAGGCTCTTTGTGTCTAATTTATATTCCTGAGGACCACCACTGGCCATCTGCTTGGGAGAATGGTTATGGCTTGAATAAACAGTGTGGAATGGGTCCAGGGAACCGGCTGAGGAAAGGGGACATTTACTCAACCTGATCTTCTTTGTTAAGCAGTGGAGAGACCCCTGGTGGAGCCAGCAGTATCCTTTATCTATAATAGCTTGCTTTTCATCTTTTTTATATCAGTGGCTGCCTGTGGCCTCTCACCAAATCTGGTGGACTCATTTTCTCTGTGTATTTAGTTTTTCTCCTGGAAATGACTAACAGCTGCTTAAGTCCTTATTCCTTTCTCCAGGTTTCTGGTGCTGCCATAATTTGTTCTATCCACTTGGGATACTGCTGTAGTGGGAATATTGTCCCTGTTACCATCTTCAGGTTACAAACCTTTTCCCCAGCTTGTGGTAAAATCCCGGGGGTCTGGTGGATCCCACGCATTTTAGGATGTATATGGGAAGCTAACATTATAGGCACAGTGTTTTTTTTTTTTTCACTGTGTCCGTCTGTTCTTCAGAGGAGCAAAGGCTAGCATGACCTTTAAGTCCTCCTTTAAGAGTACTGAATTTCTGCCAGGAGCGTGGCTTGTTCCTCAAGTGTCGCTAGGTGAATTGTTATTAGCAAGGAGGGATGAAATTGCGAAATCTTAAAAAGTAGAGAATTCCTTCAGATTTCATTCTTGAGAGGTAGAAAACAGGAAATAGAATTGCTAAACAGAGAAGGGGAGTGTTTTTAATAGAGATATTTGTATGAGAATAAGAGGATGGAGCCATAATCTGAGGATGCCTGTCTTGTTTGCTCTTTGGCTTAGTTGGATCTTGGGTTGGTTTACTTCCTGTACAAACTGTGAGTTAGTAGGGACTGAATTTACAGTAATATCTAAACTGATTGGAACCTTCACTTGAACAGAATTGAGTTTTGGCGTGTTCACTTTTAAGAGAAAGAAACAAAGGCAGCCAACCCAGTATCAAGAGTTTAGTCAAAACAAACAACTCCCAGATTTGCCTTGGTAGTGAATAGATTCAGCATGTTTGTACTTTCTATTTCTTCAGTATCATATAGTAATTTATTGTTTCATTGGTGATTTTGCAGCATCCTAGGTTGCAAAGAATATCTCTTGTGGATGTGTAAAGTTAAAAAAAAATTTTTTTTTCTTGTAGCAGGGTCTCAGTGTTACTCAGGATGGTCTTGAATTCCTGGGCTCAGGTGATTCTCCTGCCTCCGCCTCTCAGGTAGCTGTGAGTACAGGCGTGCACCACTGCGCCTGGCTGTAAAGCACTTTTTTTTTTTTTTTTTTTTTTGAGACAGAGTCTCACTCGTTGCCCAGGCTGGAGTGCAGTGGCGTAATCTCGGCTCACTGTAAGCTCCGCCACCTGGGTTCACACCATTCTCCTGCCTCAGCCTCCCGAGTAGCTGGGACTACAGGCGCCCGCCACCGCGCCTGCCACCACGCCCGGCTAACTTTTTGTATTTTTAGTAGAGATGGGGTTTCACCATGTTAGCCAGGATGGTCTCGATCTCCTGACTTTGTGATCCGCCCGCCTCGGCCTCCCAAAGTGCTGGGGTTACAGGTGTGAGCCACTACGCCTGGCCTGTAAAGCACTTTCATATACTTTTTTGTGAGGTCTATGGTATAGGCAGGATACGCATTATTCCTTTCTTTCAGTAGGAAAACTTGTGCTTTGGGTAGTCGTGTTTTTAGGGTTACATTGCTGATTAGTTTTAGAGCTGTGGTTGAAATCAAGTGTCTCTTGACAGCTTGAGTGTTTTTCAATTGGAAACATTACTTTTTGAGGATAGACTAATGCATTTTGAAAACATTTGCATCATTGAAATGAGTGGGGTCTAGCTTTAGAATTTAATCAAATTTTTAATTTTTTCACAATTTCGTGGTATGATTTTTAATACTCTATTGAATATTCTTTTTTTTTTTTTGAGATGGAGTCTCGCTCTGTCACCCAGGCTGGAGTGCAGTGGCGCGATCTCGGCTCACTGCCAGCTCTGTCTCCTGGGTTCATGCCATTCTCCTGCCTCAGCCTCCCCAGTAGCTGGGACTACAGGCACCCGCCACCATGCCTGGCTAATTTTTTTTGCATGTTTAGTAGAGACAGGGTTTCACCGTGTTAGCCAGGATGGTCTTGATCTCCTGACCTCGTGATCCGCCCGCCTTGGCTTCCCAAAGTGCTGGGATTACAGGTGTGAGCCACTGCGCCTGGCCTGAATCTTCTTTTTTTTTTTTTTTTGAGACAGGGTCTCACTCCGTCACCCAGGCTGGAGTGCACTGGCATGATCTTGGCTCACTGCAATCTCTGCCTCCCAGGTTCAGGCAATTCTCCTGCCTCAGCCTCCCGAGTAGCTGGGATCACAGGCGTGTGCCACCAAGCCTGGCTAATTTTTGTATTTTTAGTAGAGACAGAGTTTAGCCATATTGGCTAGGTTGGTCTTGAATTCCTGGCCTCAAGTGATCTACCCGCCTCAGCCTCCCAAAGCGGTGCAATTACAAGTGTGAGCCACTGCGCCCAGCCTCTATTGAATATTCTTACCCTTTGGTAGTTGAGTGTTTTGGAATGGCGGTGTGTAACAAACATACCTTATGTATGCTTTTATGATTTATAATTTTATGCTGTTATGAAATTTTATAATTATAAAATTATTTATAATTTAAAAAATTTATACATTGTCCTACAAGCTTTGTGGCAGTTTTACGATTTATTTTAAAATTAAATTGAACTTTTTTTGTTGTGTTTTTTTGAGATACAACCTTGCTCTGTTGCCCAGGCTGGAGTGCAATGGCATGATCTTGGCTTACCGCAACCTCCGCCGCCTGGGTTCAAGCGATTCTCCTGCCTCAGCCTTTTGAGTAACTGGGATTACAGGCACCTGCCACCACATCTGGCTAATTTTTGTATTTTTAGTAGCGATGGGGTTTCACCATGTTGGCCAGGCTGGTCTTGAACTCCTGACCTCAGGTGATCAGCCTGCCTCAGCCTCCCAAAGTGCTGGGAATACAGGTATGAGCCACTGTGCTAGGCCTAAATTGAACACTTTTGAATAGATAATACATTTTCTAATTTAAACTACAAAGCTACAGAACAAACATGTATTTTCAGAAGCTTGCTTGCACCTCTGCCACTCTGTCCTTTTCCTTCTCCTACTCCTCTGGAAAATTTTTTGTGTGTGGTTTTTTTTTTTTATCCTTCCAGTGTTCTTTTTTGCAAATACAAGCAAATATATATTTATTACACAAAAGATAGCATACAGTATATACCGTTCTGTACCTTCTTTTTTGTTTTTCCCTTAATAGATCCTCAGGATCTCCCCATATTGGAATATGTATATCTTCCTTCTTTTTATGGCTGCATTGAATTCCACTATCTTGGAAGTATCATTGGTTTTCCAACCAGTTCCCTTTCTGGACTTTTGGAGTGTTTCCAGTCTTTAGATATGATAAACAGTGCTTCAGGGGTAACGTTATAGCTGTGGGAGAGATTCCTAAAAGTCGGGGCACTGGGTTTAAGGGTACATGCGTTTGTCATTTCTGTTAGTAGATGGATTCTACTTGGTAGATAGCTACCATTTTGCGTATGTCTGTGTGTATATATATGTGTGTGTATATGTGTGTGTATGCATGTGTGTGCATATATATATATATATATATATATATATTTTTTTTTTTTAAGACAGGGTCTGGCTCTGTTATGCAGGCTGGAGTGCAGTGGCATGACCTCGGCTCACTGCAGCTTCAGTCCTCGGGGCTCAAGTGATACTCCTGCCTCAGCCTCTCTAGTAGCTGGAACTATAAATGTATACCACTATGCCTGGCTGTTTTTTGTATTTTTTGTAGAGATGGGGTTTTGCCATGTTGCCCAGGCTGGTCTTAAACTCCTGGGCTCAAGTGCCTCCTTGGCCTTCCAGAGTGTTGGGATTATAGGCATGAGCCACCACACCTGGCCTGTATTAATATAGAGTAATAGAGATCTATATTGGTAGATATTTCCACATTTTCTTCCGTAGACATCATTCTAGTTTACAGTCCCATCGCTGGTAATACAGAGGTTGCCTTCATCCCCAAAGCCTAGCTAAGAGAGTGTATTGTCAAGCTTTGGGACTTTTTCCAATCTGATATCTAAGAAATAGTATTTTAGTATGGTTTTAAATGGTAGGTCTTCTGTGAGTGAGGTTGAACATTGTTTTGTTTTGTTTTGTTTTTTGAGACGAAGTTTCGCTCTTGTTGTCCAGGCTGGAGTGCAGTAGTGTGATCTCGGCCCCACCGCAACCTCCGCCTCCTAGGTTCAAGCAATTCTTCTGCCTCAGCCTCCCAAGTAGCTGGGATTACAGGCATGTGCCACCACACCCGGCTAATTTTGTATTTTTAGTAGAGACGGGGTTTCTCCATGTTGGTCAGGCTGGTCTCAAACTTCCGATCTCAGGTGATCTGCCCACCTCGGCCTCCCAAAGTGCTGGGATTACAGGCGTGAGCCACTGTGCCCGGCCGGTTGAACGTTTTTAACATGTTTAGGGGAGATACATACTTATCTTTCTGTGAACCATCTCATCAGGTTCTTTGTGTGGCAGATATTTAAATAGGAAACTATGTAGGGCCTAGTTGATTGCCTATATAGAATCCAGTACCCTGTCTATGCCCCTTCACTGCCCAAGCATGTCACAAGGAACTGCCCTATTCCAAGCTCCAGAGGACCTGCTGAGTAGGTGCTTTTCAGGAGCTTGAAAAGACTGTTTCCAGGTCTACCCCCAGGGGTTAATTTAATTGGTCTGGGGAGAGGCCTAAGTATCAGTTTTTTTGTTTTGTTTTAGTTTTTTAGTAAGGAGAGACTTTATTGAAAAGGATTTTTGCAAGGAGGGGAAAACGACTGTTGAAATAGGGAGGACACTCTGACCATAAGGAGGTGTGCAGGCATCTTCTTTTTCAAAAAATGTTTTCAGTTTTAAAATTTAAAAAAAAATTTATTTTATTTATGTATTTATTTTGAGATGAAGTCTCACTCTGTCTCCCAGGCTGGAGTGCAGTGGCGTCATCTCAGCTCACTGTAACCTCCACCTCCCGAGTTTAAGTGATTCTCCTGCCTCAGCCTCCCAAATAGCTGGGACTACACGTGTGCACTACCACACCCAGCTAATTTTTGTATCTTTTGTAGAGATGGGGGTTTCACCATGTTGGCCAGGCTGGTCTCGAACTCCTGACCTCAGATGATCCACCCGCCTTGGCCTCCCAAAGTGCTAGGATTACAGGTGTGAGCCACCACACCCAGCCACCTGGACATGTTTAAAGAACCCAGTACCTCAGGTTTAAGGAGCTTTTATGTTTGGTCCAGACTACGTTTCAGGGAAGCCACAAGCAGAGTTTAAAGCCTGCTGAGCACCGAGCTGGTTCTTGGTGCTAACAGGGCTGAGACTAGTGAAAAAGTCATGTTGAGGCATCTGCTCAGTTCCAGTGTCTTCCTTGGCATCTGCTTGTGCCTACTGTTTGCCCCCTTTGCCTGTGTGTTAAAACAGCCTCTGTCTCAGAACAGTGTCTTTTTTTTTTTTTTTTTGAGACAGAGTCTCACTCTGTTGTCTAGGCCGGAGTGCAGTGGCACAATCTCGGCTCACTGCAACCTCCACCTCCCAGGTTCAAGATATTCTCCTGCCTCAGCCTACCAACTAGCTGGGATTACAGATGTGCACCGCCACACCCAGCTAATTTTTTGCGTTTTTAATAGAGATAGGGTTTCACCATATTGGTTAGGCTGGTCTCAAACTCCTGACCTCGTGATCCGCCCACCTCCACCTCCCAAAGTGCTGGGATTACAGGCATGAGCCACTGCAGTGTCCTTTCTTGAGGAATGGTGGTCTATTAGGAGAAAAACCAAAAGATAAGACCCGAGACCAAGGAAATTGTAGTCTCAATGCAAAGATACAATCAGAACATTGCACAAGGGGGAAAGAAATGTCATGCTAGTGTTTGTATTTTAATTGTCTTTCCTTATTTAGACCAATAGTAGTAACAGGTAACTTGGGTTGCATGCTTACTAAGTTCCAGGCAGTAGTCGAATAACTTTTAATATTTAATATTCAGAACAATAAGGAAGAAATGAAAACTAAGAACTTACTAGCAATCCGGAGTTTATATTTCTTGAAAAGCTCATTACAGGTAGTTGCTGGAATGAGATAGTTTGTGTGCATGAAGAAGAACACACAAAAATATTAAAACATGACATGAGTGATGGTAATACAGCAGGTCCCCAGATAATGGCCTTTCATTCACTATTGTTTCATTATCATGTTGATGAGAAAAAAAAATCAATTCCCTGCTGGAGCTACTGTCTATTTGGAATTTACACATTCTCCAGTGTCCTCGTGGAACTTAACTCTTGTTTATATCAATTACCTTGCTGATTGATGGACAAATCATGGAAAATTGGTTTTGTTATATGTCATTTTGCTCAAAGCCCCAGTTTCCAAGAACCTATCAATGACATTAAGTGAGAACTTACTGTAGTTATTCCCTCCCCATTCAAAACAAATTTATTGTTTAGAGGATATAAGGAGAAAACATTTTTTCCCTCAGATGTATCCTTCTGTGTGTTATGTGTCTTTTTCTTTTGAGACAGGGTCTTGCTCTGTCGCCCAGGCTGGAGTGCAGTGGTGCGATCTCGATTCACGGCAACCCCCACCTCCCTCGTTCAAACAATTCTCCTGTCTCAGCCTCCAGAGTAGCGGGGAGCCACCCGCTACAGGCGCGTGCCACCATGCCCGGCTAATTTTTGTATTTTTTTTAGTAGAGACGTGGTTTCACTATGTTGGCCAGGCTGGTCTTGCACTCCTGACCTCAAGTGATCCACCTGCCTCAGCTTCCCAAAGTGCTGGGATTACAGGCGTGAAACACTGTGCCTGGCCCGATATGTGTCTTTTTAGGCAAGCAGTGCTTATGTTGTTTGTTAGTGGTAAGCTGCCTTTGTAGCTCTGTGTTACCTTGAGTGAGACATGATGTGATGTTTAGTTCGTAGCATCCTCAGCACTGTCTTATTCACAATCATTGTCAATCTAAATGCATAGTCCTTCCTGATTTTTTTTTTTTGAAGGCTTTTTAAAAAAGTTTAATTGAGATATGGTTACAATGGAGAAAAACCTTCAGGAAATATAAATGTAAAAAAAATTTTTAAGCTTTATTATTTATTATAAAAACAACATACATTTTTGTAAATTATTCAATCAAGGAAAATTGATTCAGAAAGCTATTTGAAATTCAATCAGCATGATCAATGATACTTTAACCCCTATTCAAATGAAAGTTATCCTAATTAAAAGTAGGTGCCCTAAGACCATTTTTCAGGGTGCATTTGGGTTCTATTGCTTCCACATCAGGAACTCATAATTACTGTATGGATTTTATAAGTTGATCCAACCATGGTATGACTTCTGTGGGTACTGGTAAGTCCACATCATTGCTTTGTAATAATGTATAATCATGACTGGATGCAGTGGCTCACGCTGCAATTTCAGCACTTTGGGAGGCTGAGGTGAGAAGATTACTTGAGCTCAGGAGTTTGAGACCAGCCTCCAACATAGGGAGACCCCAACATAGGGAGACCGCATCTCTACAGAAAATAAAAAATAACAATAAAAAATGTGTAGTCACAATGTTAAAGTGAATCAGAAGAGTTGCTAAGTTATGATCCTTTAATTGAATCAAAGTTTTTTGTTTAAATTGGCTTGCTGAGGAGTTTCCAGTAAATTAATAATGAATTATGTAATTAATATTATGTTAATATTAAATGTTATTTTAATCAGGTCACTGCCCTGCATGCCAACTTCCACTGAAGTGGGAATGTTTCACAGTGATTCAGTGGCCAATTAGCAATGCTCAGATTCGCCATTTATTGAGAGATTCACACACACACAATCAATCAAACATTCACAATGTGGTTATTAAAGGCTGTAATTAGGGGGACAATGAACCACAGGGATGGCTCAGAAGGTCAGAGCACTGATGGACCCTCAAGTGGGTTGGAAGTCCCTTGGATGCTAGTAAGTGAGGAGTGGCTGTTCCTCTCCTGGAGAGCCGCTGGGCGGCAATTGTCATGCTAGGAGGAGGCCTCAGAGTTCTCATGGGCAAAGATTCCAAAGGCGCCCCAGACATCATCAGCTCCTTGCTGTGTGTATGATTCTCCAAAGGTCTGCCCAGTATCATGGTCTCAGCCAGCTCTTGGCTCCATTTTTCCATCGGTGGTGGTACTATGCCACAGCAGGTGTTATTATCTCACCACCTTATTCTATTAGACGTATGTTTATCACTTCGAAGAAAAACAATTTTACTATGATCTCAGTTGCCAGGCTAGTACACATGTGCTTATCATTCTTTGTTTGCTTTTCTTTTGAGTCAAGGTCTTGCTCTGTCACCCAGGTTGAATTGCAGTGGCACGATCATCGCTCACTTCAGCCTGTAATTCCTAGGCTGAAGGGATCCTCCCACCTCGGTCTCTTGAGTAGATAGGACTACAGGTGTGCACCACCACACCCAGATTTTTTTTTTTTTTTTTTTTTTTGTAGAGAAGGGTCTCACTCTGTTGAACTCCTGGTGGCCTCAAGGGATCCTCCTACCTCGGCCTCACAAAGTATTGGAATTACAGGTGTGAGTCACTGCAGCTGGCCTTCACTTATCACTGTGAGGAGTAAACAGCTGCATGGTGGGCTTAATGCCATCTAACACGAGTGACTCCATGTTCAGACAGTAGGATCACAAATGATTATTATATAGCAATGAATGGCCACAGGTACATAGACTAAGGAGCCACATCCCTGCTCCTGGGATATCCTTTAGTCAAAGGGCTAGAAGGGTCCTGGAGGTTTGCCACTTCTCCGTGTTGAGGTACAGAGTTCCTAGACTAAGGGACTGGCTGCATTGTTATGTGTGAGTGCTAGTCATGGTGCTGCCTGGCACCCACAAATGCCACAGCAGACCCATGGTCGAGGGAGAGGAGCAGGAATACCAGTTACCATGCCGGAGTAACAGTTACGGCACTGATGCACCAGTTACCATGCCAGAGTAACAGTTACAGCACTGGTATACCAGCTACCATGCCGGAGTAACAGTTACCACACTGATATACCAGTTACCATGCCGGAGTAACAGTTACCGCACTGATGCACCAGTTACCATGCCAGAGTAACAATTATAGCACTGGTATACCAGCTACCATGCCAGAGTAACAGTTACCACACTGATATACTAGTTACCATCCCAGAGTAACAGTTACCGCACTGATGCACCAGTTACCATGCCAGAGTAACAGTTACAGCACTGGTATACCAGTTACCATGCCGGAGTAACAGTTACTGCACTGATAATACCAGTTACCATGCTGGAGTAACAGTTACCACACTGGTATACCAGTTACCATGCCGGAGTAACAGTTACCGCACTGGTATACCAGTTACCATGCCAGAGTGACTGATTTTGACCAAGACCTTTGGGTTGTACAGAAGGGGTGAGACCATACCTGTCCTCAAGCATTTCCAACCTAGTGTAGAGAAAAACAGGAGCAAGATAAGAACAACGTACTGAAAAGGAAATTGGATGAGGGCCTGGAAAAAGGGGTAAAGTGAGCTGGTTGGGATTGGTGAGTGCCACAGCTTCCTGCCCCTTAACAGATCAGTGCCATGGTGGCTGTGGTGTCCCTGGCCCAGACCTTCTCAGACAGGGCCTGGGTGCCCTTTACAGAGCAGTTGGGAAGAGAAGGGAACCTAGCCTTGTGACCTTTTGCTCCACAGACCTAGTCCTTTGTTGTGGTGCGAGGCTCAGTCGTCAGCCCACCGAGTCATGTATGTTCTCTGGTTGCCCCTGGTTTTGGCTGAACTCAAAGGATGGCTGTCTGTGAGGAGTACTGGTACTTTTTGCCACTTGTGTGCCCTAACTGTGGTGGATGCCATTTTGGGGATTATGCTCAGCAGTGAGTCACGTGAGATGCACACGTAGCTTTTCGGTGATTAATCCAGGTCAATGCCCTTACCCACATACTTCTGAGATGTACTGATGATGACTACATTTAAAGCTTTTTCTCCATTGGCTAGAAGTTGAGACCCATTTCAACAAAAGCACTTCCACCTCTCCTGAAGTGCATTGGGAAAACTGGAGGCCATTACTAGATTTACAGATGATGGGCCGTGCTTAAATAACCCATCTTAGCTAGACTCCAGGTTTCGTCACATATTCCCTACCTGTTGCTGCCATTGAGGGCTTTCTCTGTGCTAGGCACTACCAAATAATGCTTTGGTAACTTTGGTAATTTGGTAAACTTGGTAATTTGGTAAATTTGGTAATAAAGAGCCTTTATTCTAAAGTGCAAATCTAAGTTTGGGGTTCAGTAGCTCAAAACTCTCTGGTGGTTCCCATTATATAGAGTAACAGTCTTCATTTTAAAAAAGGTCATGTACCCTTATTAGAATTTTGTGAGCAAACAAATATGTGTGTATCGTATGTATGTTTATATGTATATCAGATGTACGCACATTAGTATGTGCTATTAAGATACTTTATATTATATAATATATACTGTATAATACCGTATATTATAAAGCATTCATAAAATGAAAATGAAGATGAAATAAATTGCATTGTAAATATTTAAAACTTTAAAAAATGCGTTACTGGTACAAAATTTTTTTGTTTCTAAAAAATTATTATTAATGAGCAATGGGACTGAATTTGCTTCACCGTTTTTTTAAAATCTTGATTTAACATTTGTCATACAGCTATTTTAACATCTTACACTAAAGTTGATTCTTGTTTTTTGGAGACAGAGTTTCGCTCTTGTTGCCCAGGCTAGAGTGCAGTGGCGTGATATCGGCTCACTGCAACTTCCATCTCCTGGGTTCAAGTGATTCTCCTGCCTCAGCCTCCCAAGTAGCCAGGATTACAGGCTTGCGCCACCATGCCCGGCTAATTTTTGTATTGTTAGTAGAGATGGGGTTTTGCCGTGTTAGCCAGGCTGGACTTGAACTCGTGACCTCAGGTGATCCACCCGTCTTGGCCTCCCAAAGTGCTGGGATTACAGGTGTGAGCCACCACGCCCAGCCTAGTTTATTCTTTTAATAGTGCTTGGGGGAGGTAGCCTCTAAGATGACCCCCAGTGATTCCCCACCTCCTGGTATTCCTGGCTCTTTTGCAAATGTCAATTCTAATTTGGTCCTAAGGTCTCTCTCTTGAGAGTGGCTATAGATTCTAGCCCTGCCCAGGAAAATAGGTTTGAATGCATTGGTCAGGTGAGACACAGAGCAGCACAGCAAGACACATGAAATAGCAGAAGTATTTTTATTACTTACTGATCCCAGAGAGGAGAGAGAGAGAATCCTGGGCCAAAACCTTTATTGGGAGTCCAGGGAGTTTCCCAAGTGGGTTTCCTAGGGCTATTATGTTACCGAAGCCAATAGTTCTAATTGATGGGTTTAAAGGGAGCAGGCACAAGCTTTGTGGGGGTCACGCTGTGATTGAGACATGGTCACTGTAGCATATTCATCTAGTACTTGTGGGGTCGGGGAACAAGAGGGGTGAGCCACATAGGCCCTATGTAGCTGTCCTGTAAAGAGGTAGGGGAGGTGGCCATCAAGAGGCATGGTGTTAGGCAGATGTCTGGAGTGGCCACATTGAGGGATTGGAAGCGGGTGTGTTTCTATGCTCCCTTAAGGATATTTTTGGAAACAACATGCTTGCTGCATACAAATATTCAAACATTTTATCTTTAAAACAAATTTTAGTACTGGTAACATTTATTAACTTTTTTTTTTTTCCTGTTCCCTAATTTGCTACCCAGCTTTTACATCAAAGCTCCTATCACAACCCTTCTTGTTTTTTTCTTTTTTTCCCTGAGACGGACTCGCTCTCTTTCGCTAGGCTGGGGTGCAGTGGCCACAATCTCGGCTCACTGCAACCTCTGCCTCCCGGGTTCAAGAGATTCTCCTGCCTCAGCCTCCCGAGTAACTGGGACTACAGGCGCATGCCACCATGCCCAGCTAATTTTTGTATTTTTAGTAGAGATGGGGTTTCACCGTGTTGGCCAGGATGGTCTCGATCTCTTGACCTCGTGATCCACCCGCCTCGGCCTCCCAAAGTGCTGGGATTACAGGGGTGAGCCACCACGCCTGGCCCCTTCTTGTTTTTGTAGCTTGTCACATGATGAATGCTTTTTACCCTGGGGGAGACCAAGACTTTGAGTAATAGTTTGCTTTTATAAGCCAGAATTTGTTCTACACATAGAAGGATAAAACTGTCTTTTCTGGCCAGGCGCAGTGGCTCACGCCTGTAATCCCAGCATTTTGGGGGGCCGAGGCAGGCGGATCACGAGGTCAGGAGATCGAGACCATCCTGGCTAATGTGATGAAATGCCATCTCTACTAAAAATACAAAAAAAAAAATTAGCCGAGCGTAGTGGTGGGCGCCTGTAGTTCCAGCTACTGGGGAGGCTGAGGCAGGAGAATGGCGTGAACCCAGGAGGCGGAGCTTGCAGTGAGCCAAGATCGCACCACTGCACTCCAGCCTGGGCGACAGAGTGAGACTCCGTCTCAAAAAAAAAAAAAAAAACAAAACTATCTTTTCTCTCTGGTTTCTTTGCTGTTCCTTTTCAGGAGAGAAATTACAATAGGATTGGTGGCCTAATGATGTAAGTGCCAAAGTTTCATTCGAGGTTTTGGGGTAGAATGTTTTTCAACTGTTTGCTTTTATCTGAGACAAAGTGGGCAAGGAATAAAGGTAGAGTGGTGAGAAGGGTGTTATCCCTTCCTGGGAACCTTTTTTTTTTTTTTTTTGAGGGGGGCAGAGTTTTGCTCTTGTTGCCCAGGCTGGAGGGCAATGGTGTGATCTCGGCTTACTGCAACCTCCACCTCCTGGGTTCAAGCGATTCTCCTGCTTCAGCCTCCCTAGTAGCTGGGATTACAGGCATGCGCCGCCACACCTGGCTAATTTTGTATTTTTAGTAGAGACAGGATTTCTCCATGTTGGTCAAGCTAGTCTTGAACTCCCGACCTCAGGTGATCTGCCTGCCTTAGCCTCCCAAAGTGCTGGGATTACAGGCGTGAGTCACTGTGCCCAGCCCTGGGAACCTTTTAATTGTCAACTGTGTAGGTGTTCATGCTGGCCTGCATAATAGAGCGCCTGCTGTTTGATTTTCAGTTTTCTGTAGAAGGAAAAAAAAAAATCAAACCAACAATAGCAAAACTCATGATACCTCCTGGTCTCTCTCTCCCTCTCCTCTGCTTGCATATTCTGGTCTATAACAGGAAATGGAACCTCCTGGAGTGAGGGGAAAATGACCTTCACATTTAGGTTTCTCACTCTAAAGTTATTTCTTAAATATTTTAGCCTGAGTTCTTTTAATAACAGACCTCAGCTCTAGTTCTTTGAAATGCATGTGGGAAAATGTTTATCAGTGTTGAAATCTGACATTTTTTTAATCTCATGAACTCCACAATTGTCTGATTATTAAAGTCCTGCTTACTTGACTGTGACTAAAATTCTACTTTCAGAAGAGTAGAATGTACCCCTACCAAATTGAAGATCAAATAAATAAAGTGGACCTGGAAAAGTAAGGCTTGCCATTGTGTGTCAAACCAGCCCTTCCCAGCTGTGGGCTTTGTACTTAACGGACTCAGAACGTGAATGGAAGTACAGACTCTGGAACATGTAGGAGCTGTTATCCCTTGCCAGTTTCATGCTTCACTGTCCATCTCCTGGCCAAATAGAGAGACAAGGGTGACATTAAAATCATGGGTTTATCTGAATTCAAATCTCAGCTGCTCACTTACTAACAGTATGACCGCAGACACCAGCAAAACGTCCCACTGCTGCTTATTTCCAAGCCTTTCCAAGGTCTTCTGGTCAGGGCAGATTCTTCTTTCTTGTTCCTAAATTTAAAGTTTCAAGAATTTAATGCGTTTTTTTTTTTTTAATGAATTTAATGCCTTTTGGGGGGTAGGTTTTCCTAATTTAACTTTATTTTTTTAAATTTTATTTTTAAATTAGTGAACAGTAAAATTGACTTTTTCAATGTATGGTTTTATGAATTTTAAGACATTTATAGATTTGTATAACTACCATCGCCACCACAGGACATAAAATATTTCCATAATCCCAATAACTTTCTTCGTGCTATTCTGCTCTCCTGCCTCCTGGCAACCACTGATCTGTTCTCATCACTATTGTTTTGTCCTTTTGAGACTGTCACAGAAATGGAAGCATCTAGTATGTAACCTTTTGAGATTGGCTTCTTTCACTGAGCGTAATGCCTTTGAGATCCATCTAAATGTTGCATGTGACAACAGTTTGTTCCTTTTCATTGCTGAGTAGTATTCCATTGTATGAATATGGCACAGTTTGCTTATTCATTCATCTGTTGAGGATGTGTTTGGGTTGTTGCTTGGTGGGGCATTGGTGATTACGAATAGAGTTTTAAGCATTTCTGTACTGTTTTTATATGAACATAATTTTTTAATTCACTTAGCATATACTCTTCCTCTGTCTGCTGTAATAAGGTACCACAAAACTGGGTGGCTTAAAACAACAGAAAATTATTCTTCCACTGTTCTGGAGGCCAGAAATCTGAAATTAGTATCACTGGGCCAAAATCAGGGGGACAGCAGGGCCTTGCTTCCTCCAGAGACTCCAGGAGAGAAATACTTCCTGGCCTCTCTGGCTTCTGGAGGCCACCTGCATTGCTTGGTTTGTGACCCCTTGTATCACTCTGACCCCTTGTTCCATTGTTTTATTTCCTGTTTTGTAATCAAGTCTCCCTCAGGCTGGGCACCCCTGAGGGAGCATGGCTCATGCCTGTAATCCCAGCACTTTGGGAAGCCGAGGAGGGCAGATTGCTTGAGCTCAGGAGTTTGAGACCAGCCTGGGCAACATGGTGAAACCTTGTCTCTACAAAAAATATTTTTAAAATTAGTTGGGCATGGTGGCATGCACCTGTAGTCCCAGCTACATGGGAGGTTGAGGTGGGAGGATCACTTAAGCCTGGGAGGTGGCGGTTGCAGTGAGCCAAGATTGCACCACTGTGCTCCATCCTGAGCAAGAGTAAGACCCTGTCTCAAAAAACCAAAACAAAATCAAGTCTCCCTCAGTCTTCCTCTTTTTTTGTTTGCGTGGGGACAGAGTGTTGCTCTGTCGCCCAGGCTGGAGTGCAGTGGCACAACCTCAGCTCACTGCAACCTCTGCCTCCTGGGTTCAAGTGATTCTCCTGCCTCAGTCTCCCAAGTAGCTGAGATTACAAGCATGCGCCACAACACCCTGCTAATTTTTGTATTTTTGTAGAGACATGGTTTCACCATGTTAGCCAGGCTGGTCTCGAACTCCTGACCTCAGGTAATCCGCCCACCTCAGCCTCCCAAAGTGCTGGGATTACAGGCATGAGCCACTGTACCCAGCCCCAGTCTTCCTCTTATAGGGACACTTGTGATTACATTTATGCCCACTAGGATGACGGAGGATAATGCCCCCATCTCAAGATTGTTAATCACATCTCCAAAGACCCTTTTCTCCCATATAGGGTACATTCATAGGTTCCAGTAATTAGGACTGGCATATCTTTTGGAGGCCCATTTTTTAGCCTACTACACTTGGCTAAAGACCTAGGAATGGGTCACTAGGTCATATGGTTAGTATGTGTTTAATTTCATGAGAAATTGCCAAACTGTTTTACAGAGTGGCAGTCATTTCACGTTCCTACCAGCACCCTTGAACGCCAGAATTCCTGGTATCCTCGGCTGAACTGGCTATTGTCGGTATTTTTAATTTTAGCCATTCTAGTGAGTATCTCATCATGGTTTTGCTTTTCCCTGACAGCTAATGAGGTGGATTGAGCATCTTTTTGTGTGAAAACCTCATATCTTTTAATTTTCCTCCTATAACCTGCATAAGTATGAGGAAGAAAAGTGTGAACTGAATCATAACTAAAGGAAAGAAGAACATTGCTGTCTTAAGCAGATCACGCCTTTGTCGTTATACAGTATGGTACAATAATCCATTACACATCTCTTTGATTCATCTTGTCTGTTAAATTTCTTTATAAAATTTGTTTAGTTGATGACACACCTGACTCTAATATAAGAGTTGAATGTTGTATCACTTTTTTTTTTCCTTTTTCTGAGACAGAGTCTCCCTCTGTCACCCAAGCTGGAGTGCAGTGGTTCCATCTTGGCTTACTGCAGTCTCCACCTCCTGGGCTCAAGTGATCCTCCCACCTCATCCTCCTCAATAGCTGGGACTACAGGCGTGAGCCACCATGCCTAGCTACTTTTTTTTTTTTTTGAGACGGAGTCTTGCTCTGTCGCCCACACTGGAGTGCAGTGGCGTGATCTTGGCTCACTGCAACCTTCGCCTCCCGGGTTCAAGCAGTTCTTCTACCTCAGCCTCCCAAGTAGCTGGGATTACAGGCATGCGCCACTGCTGCCCGGCTAATTTTTGTATTTTTAGTGGAGACGGGGTTTCGCCATGTTGGCCAGGCTGGTCTCGAACTCCTGACCTCATGTGATCCACCTGCCTTGGCTTCCCAAAGTCTTGGGATTGCAGGCGTGAGCCACTGCGCTTGGCCTCTATATAAGCTTTTAATGAATAATAAAGACTCTAAATTATGCTTATTTACTACCAAATAATCTTTTTAAATGAAAAATTTGTTATCCCTCCCAGCCCTCAGCCATGACCCGAAGTATGAAATAGGCATATCTTTTTGCTGCTATTAGGCTGTAGTTCATACTGGTTTAGTATTGCTGTTGATCACTTTTAGGGACATTTAATGATATTTTATACTAGATCTTGAGCACCAGCTATTTATTTTCTCTTGAAGCAGTGGTTTATAGTAATACATTGTGCTCAGTTCTTTTTTGGTTCTTTGTCAAGTTCAACACAGTAGCTTCTGTTGATTGAGTTCTTGTAGTTATGAGGGGAAATTAATGCTGGTGACCAGTATTTGAGAATTAAAAACCTCTGTTCAGAAAGGCAATGCAGAGTAGAATAATGAACGGATACTATAAATGACATATCTTGACACTGGGGGTTTAGTATAAATAAACAGTATTTCAATCTCTGGAAATTGTAAAGCCCGTTATTTAACCTAAAAACGTTAATGGCTCAGAAAACAGAATTACATGGCATTTCCTTGCTAACCTCCCAGAGCCTATCCCCTCCAAAGATGATAGGGCTAAAGCCTGGTCCACTAAGTTGTTGTCAGTCGTACGGGCTTTAGAGTATGTTGACTTGATCAAACATTTACTGTTTACAAATATTTGCTTCTAGCTCATATCCTGACACTTAAAGCCACGTGATCTTGTAGAAGTCACTTAGCTGATGAGGTAAAACTGAGTCTGTTTCTCCATCTGTTGAATGAGGCTGGTGATAGACTCTTTCTTTGCTCTCTCCCAGGTGGGTAGGAGATCAGGATGAGCTGATGTCTGTGAAAGAACTTTGGATACTATAAAGTGCTTTAGGAATGTATGGGGTTATTATTTTATGAAATTGTTGATTCGTCTTCATAATTTGAGATACAAGATCTCCATTCCATTGCTAATGCTTATGGAAGATTTTGTCACTTTCTTAAAAAATATTGCCAAGGCCGGGCACAGTGGCTCACACCTATAATCCCAGCACTTTGGGAGGCTGAGGCGGGAGGATCACTTGAGCCCAGGAGTTTGAGACCAGCCTGGGCAACATGGCAAGACTCCATCTCTACAAAAATTGAAAAAAAAATAAATTATCCAGGTGTGGTGGTGCACGCCTGTGTTCCCAGCTACTTGGGAGGTTAAAGAGGAAAGATCACTTCAGCCCAGGAGGTTGAGGCTGCATTGAGCCATGATTGTGCCACGGCACTCCAGCCTGGACAACAGAGACCCTGACTCAAGAAAAAAAAAATACATATATATATATATATATATATATATATATATATATATATATATCCAAGTATAAGTATATACTTAGAGGTGGGCTGGTAAAGGCTTTTTCATTATGGATTTTTCAGTTTATTTCTTCTAAGTTTTGTCAGTTGAACAGTAGGGATAAATTAAAGAGGAGGAAAAAAAATCCCCATCATCCTTCCTTCCCTCCTTCCCTCCTTCCCTTCCTCCCTCCCTCCCTCCCTCCCTCCCTCCCTCCCTCCCTCCCTCCCTCCTTTCCTCACTCCCTTTCTTTTTTGACAGAGTCTCA
Source organism: Homo sapiens (assembly GCF_000001405.40). NCBI lineage: Eukaryota > Metazoa > Chordata > Mammalia > Primates > Hominidae > Homo > Homo sapiens. Next base: position 130,750,484 of record NC_000009.12, read on the forward strand.
CTGTGTTGCCCAGGCTAGAGTGCAGTGGCGTGATCTTGGCTTACTGCAACCTCCCCATCCTGGGTTCAAATGATTCTCAGGCCTTGGCCTCCTGAATAGCTGGGATTACAGACATGAGCACCTGACCTAACATGGTTCTTTTTCTTTTTTCTTTTTCTTTCTTTTTTTTTTTTTTTTTTTTGAGACAGAGTCTCACTCTGTTGCCCAGGCTGGAGTGCAATGGCACAATCTCGGCTCACTGCAACCTCTGCCTCCTGGGTTCAAGTGATTCTTCTGCCTCAGCCTCCCGAGTAGCTGGGATTACAGGTGCTCGCCACCATGCCTGGCTAATTTTTATATTTTTATTAGACACAGGGTTTCACCATGTTAGTCAGGCTGGTCTCGAACTCCTGACCTCAGGTGATCTGCCCCTCAGCCTCCCAAAGTGCTGGGATTCCAGGTGTGAGCCACCACGCCCGGCCTACATGGCTCTTTTTCTATTCAGCTTTTTTGGTAGGATTGAGGTAGTTGTAGAGGAGTGTTGATAGGATAGTGAAGAAATTTTAACCTTTGCTAAAAACATGCAAGACAGTGTCATAATGTTTAAGAATACATAAATGTTATCATTTTGTACATGTCCTTTTGAAACTTGTTTTTTTTATTCAGCTTTTTTTTTTTTTTTTTTTTTTTTTTTTTTGAGATGGAGTCTCACTCTGTTGCCCAGGCTGGAGTACAGTGGCGCGATCTCGGCTCACTGCAACCTCTGCCTCCCCGGTTCAAGTGATTCTTCTGCCTCAACCTCCCGAGTAGCTGGGACTACAGGCACGTGCCACGACACCCAGCTAAATTTTTGTATTTTTAGTAGAGACAGCATCTCACCATGCTGGCCAGGCTAGTCTTGAACTCCTGACCTCAGGTGATCCACCTGCCTTGGCCTCCCAAAGTGCTGGGATTACAGGCATGAACCACCGCGCCTGGCCAAACCTACTATTTTTAATGGGAAGGGGTTTATTATAGATATTATATAGCTAACAGTTATGGGGAGGGCTGAAAAAGCAGGTTCTTGGTTGGGCTTCATGAGTGATTCCCAGATGGAACGGCCTCATAGACCTGGGCCACTGAGGAAGCTGCAGCCTCTTCAGGAATTGGGAAGGTGTCAGCTGTAGAATCTGCCACAATCAAAGCCTTACTGCTCCTGGCTCCAGAGCCAGGTATGGTCAGCCAGCAAAATTGATATCCTGCACTCTGCTCCTCAACACCCATGAAGCCAGTGCCTGGACACAGGACTGCTCGTCCTGCCTCAGAAAACCAAATGCTTTCCAGCCGGGCTTGCCCACAGCAACGGCAGAAGCAACAGATGTGTGCTGGGCCTCCCATCTGCTTTCCAAATCTCATGTAATTGTATCCAACTTGCAGACCCTAAATCACATTTAAACTGTAGGTGCAGGGGAGGTGGTGATGTGTCTGTTAGATTTTCAGCCTCCGCACTATTAGAAAAGAAGGGACCCTGGAAGGAGGATGGAATGGCTATGGATTATCCATCCACCATATTCGCTCCAAATTCTTAACCTGATATGAAGATGTATGGGTATAATGTAGGGATGCTTTGGACCCTGTAATTTTATGCACACTTGGGAATGTGCACCAGAACATTTTTCTTTCATTAGATTCTCAAAGGGGACGATGACCCGACAGAGGCTAAGCACCATTAACCAGATAAGTTAAGTGATGAAGTGCCCAGATTCTGAAGGCAGGCAGGCCTAGATGTGAATCCTGTCTCTGCTTCATAGCTGTTGTGAGATCTTGGGCATGTTATTTCACTTCTGTAACCCTTAACTTTCTCATCTTTAAGATAGGGTTCTGAGGATACTTTTATGGAGGTTTCATGGTACCAGCATCCTACTGGGAACTGTAACTCCTGCTGCCTACCAAATATCTATAATATCTTTGGCTTGGCACTCAAGGTCTTCTCTGAAGTAGCCCAAACATGCTTTCTTGCCCTACTGCAGGGTTGCTATGAGGGTGAAGTATAGAATGCCTCTATGGTGAATGCCTGGTATAGTGCCTGGCCCCAAAAAGCAACCAATAAGTAGTCTTCTCTTCCCAAAGCTAGTCACTGCATGTATGTATGTATTCATTCATTCCTCAGAAGAACATGGCCAACATGAAAATTAGGGTGTGCTGCTGCCATCTCTGTTAAGAATACCCCTTGGTGGCTGGGTGCAGTGGCTCATTCCTGTAATCCCAGCACTTTGGGAGGCTGAGGCGGACAGATCACTGGAGGCCAGGAGTTTGAGACCAGCCATGGCCAACATATGAAACCCCGTCCCTACTAAAAATACAAAAAATAGCTGAACGTGGTGGCGAACACCTGTAATCCCAGCTACTAGGGAGGCTGAGACTGGAGAATCACTTGAACCCGCGAGGCGGAGGTTGCAGTGAGCCAAGATCGCGCCATTGCACTCCAGCCTGGGTTACAAAGCGAGACTTCGTCTCAAAAAAAAAAAAAAAGGGCTGGGCGCAGTGGCTCACGCCTGTAGTCCCAGCACTTTGGGAGGCTGAGGCGGGTGGATCACGAGGTCAGGAGATCGAGACCATCCTGGCTAACACGGTGAAACCCCGTCTCTACCAAAAATACAAAAAAATTAGCTGGGCATGGTGGCTGGCACCTGTAGTCCCAGCTACTCGGGAGGCTGAGGCAGGAGAATGGCGTGAACCCGGGAGGCAGAGCTTGCAGTGAGCCAAGATCGCGCCACTGCACTCCAGCCTGGGCGACAGAGCGGACTCCATCTCAAAAAAAAAGAACACCCTTGGTAGCTCCTACTTGTGCTGCAGAGGTGAACTTGGCTATCACTTCCTCTGTTCCCACTGCATGCTGTGCTATTGCTGTGCTGTTTATCACAGTGGTGTTTACTGTCTTATACTTGCCTCTCTCTCATCTCTTCTTTTTTTTTCTTTTCTTTTTTTTTTTTTTTTTTTTTGAGATGGAGTCTCACTCTGTTGCTCAGGCTGGAGTGCAGTGGTGCAATCTTGGCTCACTGCAACCTCTGTCTCCTAGGTTCAAGCAATTCTCCTGCCTCAGCCTCCCGAGTAGCTGGGATTACAGGCATGTGCCACCACAACCGGCCAATTTTTGTATTTTTAGTAGAGACGGGTTTTTACCATGTTGGCCAGGCTGGTCTCGAATTCCTGACCTCAAGTTATCCACCCACTTCAGCCTCCCAGAGTGCTGGGATTACAGGCGTGAGCCACCATGCCAGGCCTCATCTCCTCTTAAATGTCTTTAGAGCAAAGATTGTGTCATAACCCCGGCACCTAGTATCATGCCTATTACATAGTAGATTTTCAATAAATGTTAAATGCATGAATGAATAATGAGTAAAGAAACTGGGTAATGTTTTTAGCTTGGAGGAGAGAAGCCTAAGGGAAGATGTGTTTGCTGTTTTGAAAATATTTATTGTCGCTGGGCGCGGTGGCTCACGCCTGTAATCCCAGCACTTTGGGAGGCTGAGGCGGGTGTATCACCTGGGTCAGGAGTTCGAGACCAGTCTGGCCAACATGGTGAAACCCCGTCTCTACTAAAATATAAAAAAAATTAGCTGGGGGTAGTGGCGTTGCCTATAATCTCAGCTACTTGGGAGGCTGAGGCAGGAGAATCGCTTGAACCCAGGAGGCGGAGGTTGCAGTGAGCCAAGATTGCACCACTGCACTCCAGTCTGGGCAACAAGAGTGGGACTCTGTCTCAGAAAAAAAAAAAAAAGAGAGACCAGGCGTGGTGGCTCACGCCTGTAATCCCAGCACTTTGGGAGGCCGAGGCGGGTGGATTACGAGGTCAGGAGATCGAGACCATCCTGGCTAACATGGTGAAACCCCGTCTCTACTAAAAATACAAAAAATTAGCCAGGCGTGGTGGCGGGCACCTGTAGTCCCAGCTACTCGGGAGGCTGAGGCAGGAGAATGGCGTGAACCTGGGAGGCGGAGCTTGCAGTGAGCCGAGATCGTGCCACTGCACTCCAGCCTGGGCGACAGAGCGAGACTCCGTCTCAAAAAAAAAAAAAAAAAAAAAAATTTACTATCATGTAAAGGGGAGTTGGTCTCACCCTACACTGCTTTGGAAGGCACAATTAGGAGCTGCGGATGGAAGTCACAAAATAAGGCACATTTGGACTCAGTATGAAAAGAGCTTTCAGATAATGAGAGCAATCAAGTAATGGGGGGGGCTTGGAAGCCAGTGATTATTGGTCATTGGAGGTATTAAAGGAGAGGCAAGATAGGAAGATATAGATGGGGTTTGAATACCGTGCGGGGCTTCTCAGCACTCTTCCTTTTCTGAGTGCTTTTAACAAGCGGACTAGGGAATAGATAGGGCCTCTGCTCTCAGGGAGATTATTGTCTGCTCAGGGAGAGAAGATATATTCAGGTGGGAAAGGGCAAAGGGTGTTAGGAATGGCTTGGCTAGGATAGTCAGAGGAGTACGTGGAGTAAGGCAGGAAAGCATGTTTGGGCTTCCTCAAAGATGACCTTGAGTACCAAGCCAAAGATTTTGGAGATATTTGGTGGACATTGGGCATTATACATACCCAGTAAGATATTAGCACCATGAAAGCTCCACAAAAGTGTCCTGAGCGCCTAGAACAGTACTTGGCACATGGTAGATCTTCAATAAATAGTTGTTGAAGGAATTTGTTAAAATATCAGAGCTATGATTTAAGAAAATTATTCTGTAATCTGAATTTAGGTTGGGAGTGGAAAGGAGTACCCTTAAGTAGGACATGAGAAGAGCCTGAAGAAAGGCAGAGGACACCAGTAGGCATCTTGGATGTGGGATTGGTCAGAGGGGAGAGAGGTAAAAATGATTCCATGACTGTGAGTCTGGCGACTAGAAATGGGGGTGACATTCACAGAGTAGGGTGGTTCCCTGTAGTTCCTCCTTGTGCAGAAGGTGAGGCTTTGCTTGTCGACCTGCTTCAGTAGTAGCATTGACAGAACAGTCTCTGTGTACTCTGTCCCCTCAGTGCTTTCTGCATATGTGTTGCTCACTCATCACTATCTGCATGTTCGTGGTCTCTGGAAAGAATCAACTATAATGATCAGAATAATTGCCTGGTAGGACGTATTTCCTTTGAGTTCAGCAAGACGTGCCCCCTCACATGGTGTTCCTGTTCATTCATAAGGCTGTAATAATGTATGAGTTAGGAGACCCTTTTGACCAATTCCCCTCTGTTTTCCATCTTGGAAAAACCAGAACTCTGTTTTCTTGAGCAAATGACGTTGCCACCAGCCCTGAAGCTCCTTTTCCTGGGTTTGTAGGGGTTGGTGGAATCCTGGCAGTCTGCCGCTCTTCCTGGCCTCCAGAGATCAGGGCTGTGACTTTCCATCTGCAGATGGCAGTTCTAGCTGCGAGGTTGGTGGCCGAGGAGGACGAGGACACAGCTCAGGGCCTGTCCTTCAAGGGCTTCCGTGTGCAGCAGCAGCACTCTGTAATATCATAGATGAATTTTTGTCAAAACACAGAGAAAAGTTGATTACACTTCTCATTTATTAAAAAAAAATGACTTGATAGCATAGTAGATGGCCCCTTATGTAAGCCACTTAGTATTATTTCAAAGGAAGCATGTCTGTGAGAAAAGGGGCAACCACTTTTCTCATAGAGAAGAACAGGTTTTTAAATGAAAAGATCAACAAATCCAAATGCTGTGGTATTTATACTGATTTAGAAAGGCAGTTGACTTTGGGAGGCTTTGTTTTCTCATTTCCCTTTTCTCCTTGACATTTGACAGACGTGGTTAGCAGAGAGCTTTCTCATTCGGTTTTCCTGGAGAGAGCTCTGCCTCTTGGGCTTCCTGCATTTGTATGGAAGTTTTAATTTTTTTTTTTTTTGTCAAATGAAAGGTTGCCATTTCATTTGTTCAGATTTCCCACACACTGTTGCAGCAATCTTTAGATTTCAAATTGGCTAATTCAGTGGGTCACTTAATTCTTAACTTTTACAACATTTTGAGTCTAAATACAGCAAAATTGGTGCCTTTTTCAGCTATTTTTCGGCGTTGCTATATTCCAAGCCACTGAGCTCTGTTTTACTCTGACATTTTCTCTTCACTTTTGGGATTCTGCTCACTGTGTTTAAGGCAGCTCGATAGCATTTTGCCAAAAAAGAGAAGTTAGGGCTAGTGTGAGTTGAGGGGAAGGGGATGTTTCTGTTGTTGCTCCTTGCTGAGTATCTTCAGATATCTAAAAGAAACTTGTAACACAGCGTCAGCCTGACACTGGCCTTTGCAGCATCAGCCTTGGTTGACTGTGTTCTAATAGGGATGCCTGATCTGTATCCTCTTTAACTTGGCTATAAGAAGGTTTTGGAGAATGTATGTCTGAGGGTGTTTTAAAAGAAAATGGAAACAAAGCTCCTTTTTGCCTTGAGCTCATGGTTTGGAATTTGGGCATTTGGAATCCTTCAAGCCCTCCTCCTGGGCAGAGCTGGAGTCCCCTTAGGGCACTGCCTGTCATCTTCACTACACAGCTGTGCTCCAGAGCAGGGAGCCGATGGAAAGGGGGACCCAGAACATTCCATTCTGCAGAATTCCCTTCCAGCCGTCTGTGAGAAGGCAGTTTGGGACCCTTTTAGAAGTTTGCTTTATAAGTGAAGAACCTGAGGCCGGCTGTGTTCATATTCTCAGAACTTGGTGAGAATGAGGTACTTTAAGATAGGCTCTAAGATCAGCAGCATCAGCCCACTCGGGAAGAGCTCCTCTGACTCCTGGAGGAGAAAGCCAGATGGGGGAAGCATTAAGTCCTGTTTTCCTATTGAAAACTGAAATTGGCCAGCCACAGTGGCTCATGTCTGTAATCCCAGCCCTTTGGGAGGCCAAGGTGGGAGGATTGTTTGAGCCTAGGAGTTCAAGACCAGCCTGAGCAACACGATGAAACCTGGTCCCTGTAAAAAATACAAAAATTAGCTGGGGCATGGTAGCGCATGCTTGTAGTCCCAGCTACTAGGGAGGCTGAGGTGGGAGGACCGCTTGGGCCTGGGAAGCAGAGGTTGCAGTGAACTAAGGTTGAACCACTGTACTCCAGGCCTTTTTTTTTTTTTTTTTTTTGAGACAGAGTCTTGCTCTGTCACCCAGGCTGGAGTGTAGTGGTGCGATCTCAGCTCACTGCAACCTCCGCCTCCTGGGTTCAAGTGATTCTTCTGCCTCAGCCTCCCGAGTAGCTGGGACTACAGGCACCCACCACCACGCCCGGCTAATTTTTTTTGTATTTTGTTATAGAGATGGGGTTTCACTGTGTTAGCCAGGCTAGTCTCGATCTCCTGACCTTGTGATTTACCCGCCTCGGCCTCCCAAAGTGCTGGGATTACAGGCATGAGCCACTGCGCCCGGCCAGGCATTTTTTTTATGTGTGTCTCAAATAAAAAGAAAGAAAACCAAAATTTTACCTGAAAGACGAGAAAGTTGATGAAGATTTTGAGAAAGTGAGGAAGCAATGGCCCCTCCAGGGCACACCCAGGTGCTGTCCCTTCTTTTCTCCTCAGTTCTCTTAGCTATAAAATGGGGCTTATAATAATCCCTTCCTTGAAGAGATGTTGTTAATAGTACTTAGATGATTTGCTAACTTATATCAAGCACTTACTCTGACCCAGGTATCGGACTGGGTGCTTGACATATATTATCTCTATTGTGTTTTGCAGAGTGGCTAAGATTTTTTTTTTTTTTCTTTTTTGAGACAGAGTCTCGCTCTGTCACCCAAGTTGGAGTGCAGTGGTGCGATCTTGGCTCACTGCAACCTCCACCTCCTGGGTTCAAGCCATTTTCCTGCCTCAGCCTCCCGAGTAGCTGGGATTACAGGCGTGTACTACCACGTCTGGCTAATTTTTGTATTTCAGTAGAGATGGGGTTTCACCGTGTTGGCCAGGCTGCTCTCGGAACTCCTGACTCCGGTGATCCACCCGCCTTGGCCTCCCAAAGTGCTGGGATTACAGGCATGAGCCACCAGAGACGGAGTCTCACTCTGTTGCTCAGGCTGGAATGCAGTGGCGCAGTCTCGACTCACTGTAACCTCCGCCTCCTGGGTTCAAGCAATTCTCCTGCCTCAGCCTCCCAAGTAGCTGAGATTACAGGCGTGCGCCACCAAGCCCAGATAATTTTCATATTTTTAGTAGAGACGGGGTTTTGCCATGTTGGCCAGGCTGGTCTTGAACTCATGACCTCAAGTGATCCATCCACCTCGGCCTCCCAAAGTGCTGGGATTACAGGTGTGAGCCACCGCATCCGGCCCCAATTTATTCAACTTTGGAAGCGTTGGTTGTGAGATGTGCAGTTGGGTGTTGTCATGGAGAAGAATTGGGCCCTTCCTGTTGACCAGTGCCGGCTGCAGGCATTGCAGTTTTCGGTGCATCTCATCGATTTGCTGAGCATACTTCTCAGATGTGATGGTTTCGCCGGGATTCAGAAGGCTGTAGTGGATCACACAGGCAGCAGACCACCAAGCTGTGACCATGACCTTTTTTTGGTGCTAGTTTGGCTTTGGGAAGTGCTTTGGAACCTCTTTCGGTCCGAACACTGAGCTGGTCATTGCTGTTTGTCGTATAAAATCCACTTTTTGTCGCACATCACAATCTGATCAAGAAATGGTTTGTTGTTGCGTAGAGGAAGAGAAGACGACACTTAAACATGATTTTTTAAAAATTTTTGCTGATGTGGGACCCGCTTAACTTCCCAATTTGCTTCAAATGCCAAATGATCATAGAATGGTCAACATTGAGTTTTTCAGCAACTTCTTTTATGGTTGTAAGAGGATCAGCTTCTGTGATTGATCTCCCAACTGGTCGTTGTCAACTTCTGATGGCCGGTCATTGCACTCCTCATCTTCAAGGCTCTCGTCTCCTTTGTAAAACTTCTTGAACCACCACTGCACTGTACGTTTCATTAGCAGCTCCTTGGCCAAATGCGTTGTTGATGTTGCGAGTTGTCTCCAGTGCTTTACAATCCATTTTGACCTTGAATAAGAAAATTGCTCGAATTTGCTTTTTGTCTAACATCATTTTCACAGTCTAAAGTAAACATAAACAGCAAGGAATAAGTCATTAGCAAAAAAATGTAAAGTGAGAAATGCCCATTAAAATAATGTATAACATAACCACATTTATTTAAGAATGTACTCGAATATCAAATGACAAATTCCAACAGTGTAAAAACTGTGATTCCTTTTGCACCAACCTCATACTAGCCAGGCATCTTTCTACTGAAACTGGCTGGAGACCATGTCTCAGTGGTGGAGCCGGTATAGGAGGCTTCACATTTCTTCCCCTAGGACACGCTGTCATTGTTTAGGTTTCTTGTTTTGTTTTTTCCTGAAACAGGGTCTCACTCTGTTGCTCAGGCTGGAGTGCAGTGGCACAGTTACAGCTCACTGCAGCTCTAACCTCTTAGGCTCAAGTGATTGTCCCATCTCAGCCTCTCAACTAGCTGGGACTACGTGCTTGTGCCACACATTTAGGTAATTTAATTTTTTTTTTTTTTTTTTTTTTTTTTGGAGACGGGGTCCCACTACGTTGTCCAGGCTGGCCTCTAACTCCTGGGCTTAGGCAATCCTCCCACTTCAGCCTCCTAAACTGCTGGGATTACAGGCATGAGCCACCACACCCAGCCAGTTGTTTAGTTTTAAAGATTTAACCTGGTTGAAATGTGGCTAGTCCCCTTATGCTTGGGTCACAGACCAATTTGGGTTAACTTTGCCATTGCCTTGCCTGCAGATCATGGTGCTGTTGGGATGTCATTTTGCTGTACCAAGGGTAAACAGTAGCTCCCTCCTTAACATCAGTCCTTTAGTGTAGGACTTCTCTATTAAGAGCTGGGACACTGTTGGCCATTAGGATTCCTGTTCCTTTTGGGTTTGTAATAGAAGCTACTGTCCCCCTGATCATTACTGATTGAAACAAGAAATCTGTTGTTCCTGGATTTCTTTCAGTTATCTTAACATAGACCCTTCCAAGTCTTACAGATGTCAAGGGTTTTTGAAAGTAGGATGTATTCTGATCTTTTTCAAGTGGCTACATCACTGACCCTCATAAAATAACGGAAAATATTGGGAGATGACTTTTCTGCTTAAATGTTAGGAAACTAAATTCTCAGTATACTGCTTCTCTAGTTGTTAAGGAAGAAAATTTCTCTTGTAAACTTTTTGGGAGACTAGATTTATTTCCTCCCCCACTTTTTTTTTTTTTGAAATGGAGTCTCGCTCTGTCGCCAGGCTGGAGTGCAGTGGCGCGATCTCGGCTCACTGCAACCTCCACCTCCCAGGTTCAAGAGATTCTCCTGCCTCAGCCTCCCGAGTAGCTGGGACTACAGGCACGGGCCACAACACCCAGCTAATTTTTGCATTATTTTTTGGTAGAGACGGGGTTTCACCATGTTGGCCAGGATGGTCTCAATCTCTTGACCTCGTGGTCAGCCCCCGCAAAGTGCTATTTCCTCCCCCGCCCCTGCTTTTTTTTTTTTTTTTTTTTTTGAGACGGAGTCTCGCTCTTTCGCCCAGGCTGGAGTGCAGTGGTGCAATCTCGGCTCACTGCAAGCTCCGCCTCCCAGGTTCACACCATTCTCCTGCCTCAGCCTCCCGAGTAGCTGGGACTACAGGCGCCCACCACCACGGCTGGCTACTAATATTTTGTTTTCGGTATGTTTTTGTATTTTTAGTAGAGACAGGGTTTCACTGTGTTACCCAGGATGGTCTCGATCTCCTGACCTCGTGATCCACCCGCCTTGGCCTCCCAAAGTGCTGGGATTACAGGCGTGAGCCACTGCGCCCGGCCTATTTCCTCCCCTTTTTATGACCATTCACAGCCTTTGGCATACCATTAAAATCTGATCATTGACTTCTAGGTGGGAGAATGGCATCTCTCTTTTCTCCTCATGATAAGGACTTAGTCTGTAAACCTTCCAGTCCCTCCCTACCCTGAAGCCTCCCATGGTCTTTTCTCTCTCCCTTGTGAAGGAAAGGTCCCTCTTTTAAAGCATTATTCAGACCGGAAGGAGGACAAAATCAAGACATGCTGAAAAACCCCTGTTTTAATCAACTCCCCTTTTAATTTTTTCAAAAGTCATTATTAGGCATCGAAAGCTGTTGACCTTCATCAAACAATGAGCACAGGATTTCTTTTCCGCATCACGCGTGGTGCCACTCCAGTGCTATGGTGTGATCAGAACACCCACATTAATAAGAACATTACTTCTCTGAAGTAATTTGAATCTTCATTTAGTAAGACTAACCATTTCTTCAAATTTTGTTTTTTAGTATACAGGAAAGTTACAGGTTTTTTTTCTCTTTTATTTGACAAATGAAAGTGATTTTATATTCATCACATTACAAAATAAATAAATGCTCATTATTTAATAAGAAAATTCACATCTGGGCTCAGTGGCTCACACCTGTAATCCCAGCACTTTGGGAGGCCGAGGCGGGTGGATCACCTGAGGTCGGGAGTTAGAGACCAGCCTGACGAACGTGGGGAAACCCCCGTCTCTACTAAAAATACAAAATTAGCTGGGCTTGCTGGCGCGTGCCTGTAATCCCAGCTACTTGGGAGGCTGAGGCAGGAGAATCACTTGAACCTGGGAGGCGAAGTTTGTGGGGACCCAAGATCACGCCATTGCACTTCTGCCTGGGCAACAAGAGCGAAACTCCCAGCTCAAAAAAAAAAAAAAATTCACAAGTACAGAAAGAGATGCTGAAGAAGGTAACAGTTACCTAGAACCCCACCCCCAGAGATAACCACCTTGTGGTAACATTTATTTCTCTGCCGTAGCCACTCTTGTCTGAAGGAGGGTTCATAGTAGATAGGCTGTTTTTGTTCATTTGCCTTTAAAAATATATATATTGTAAATATTCTTCTGTGCCATTGAATATAAAACATGGTAATTTTTAAATTTGTGTGGTGTGCATGTGTGTGCACTTTTGGGAAACTTGTTTATAGTGACTTTCAAACTGAGCATTTACAAAGAAATTAACAGTTGTTGGGTGTGTTGAATGTGCAGGGTTTTGCTGAACACTTTACAGGGGTGTCTGATCGAGTCCATCACTTCCTGTGGGCTTGTGCAATAGCCTCCTTACTGATACTCCTGCTTTCAGTCTTCCTCCTCTGCTAGTTATTTTTCATATGAAAACCTGAATAATCTGGCTGGGCGTGGTGGCTCACACCTGTAATCCCAGCACTTTGGGAGGCTGAGGCAGGTGGATCACAAAGTCAGGAGATCGAGACCATCCTGGCTAACACGGTGAAACCCCTTCTCTACTAAAAATACAAAAAATTGGCCGGGTGTGGTAGCGGGTGCCTGTAGTCCCAGCTACTCGGGAGGCTGAGGCAGGAGAGTGGCATGAACCCGGGAGGTGCAGCTTTCAGTGAGCCAAGATGGCGCCACTGCACTCCAGCCTGGTGACAGAGCGAGACTCCGTCTCAAAAAAAAAAAAAAAAAGAAAAGGAAACCTGAATAGTCTTTCAGGAATGCAAATGAGATCATGTTGCTCCTCTGCTTAAAACCTAATAGCTTCTCCTTCCATGTCACAAAAAAAGCCAAGCATATAACCAAGATCTGGCCTAGGTCCCAGCATCGCTTCATGTATCATTGGCCCATCTTTCTGTTTCTTCAGTATGACATTTGTTTCAGCCTCAGGGCCTTTGCACTTCTTTCTGGTTCCCCTGCCCTGGGACATTTGGATAATTGCTTTTTTTTTTTTTCATTTCAGGTTCTAGTTCAAATTGAATCCAAGTGAAGTGACCCCATAATACATGTTAATTGTGGAAAAAAATTTAAATTTAGCAAAGTAAAGAATAGAGCATGTCACTCTACCATCCACTCAACATTTTTGTGGTTTTTTTTCATTTAATTAATTCCATTTATTCATTCTCTTAACACAATGCCTACAATATGCCAGGTATATTATATTGGTGTTAGGTTGGGCTATAATATTAAAAAGGACAGTCATGGTTCTTGCCCTTGAGGTCTGTTAGATCAGGAATTCAGAAGTGGGTTAGCTGAGTGGTTCTAGCTTGTGGTCTCTCATGAGATTGTAGACAAGATTTCAGCTGGGACTTCAGAGTCATTTGAAGGCTTAACTGGGGCTGGCAGGCCTGCCTCCAAGATGGCTCACTCACAGGGCTGGCGAGCAGTGCTGGCAGTTGACAGGAGGCCACAGTTCCTTGCCACACGGACCTCTCCACATGCTTCTTGCGTGTCCTCACAACATGTCAGCAGCTTTCCCCAGAGCAAGTAATCCAAGAGATCACAAGGCAGAAGTGACATGTCTTTATAATCACAGATGCTACCCTGCTGTTCTGCAGTATCCTGTTGGTTCCCCAGTCTACCCTATTCAGTGAGGGAGGGCACTCACTCAGCAAATGTGCCGGGAATCAGTGGGGGCATTTTGGAGGCTTGCCACTCGCTGCCTGTAAAATGAGCATCATAATGGCACGTGTACCGCTACCACCCCCTGCCAGCACAAGGGGAACATGAACCTAACATAATGGGGGCAGGGAACGGGCAGAAGAGGCTTCCCAGAGGAGACACTTAGGCAGAGACTGGGCCGCTGAGTGGGCGTTTGGGAGGTGAGGGTGTTCCAGGCTGAGGGGAGGTTTGTAGGAAGGTCCTGAGTGGGAAGGCACTGCCTGCAGTAGCGCATGGCCTGGAGGAGACAGCAAGGCGGGCCAGGGTCAGAGAGGCCAGGACACACACATCACTGTGTCCTTGAGGGAGATCTTTCTTCTCTAGGAATATAGCTGAGCTTACCCCAGAAACCAGGGGAGAAAATAGGAGCCGAGTTTTCTGGAGTGCGTTTCTTCTGTGAAGTGAGGTTTGTGTGTAGGAGGCATCTGTCCAGAGCTTTTCAAGTTTTATTTCATTATTGCTGGAGGGAACTAGCTCTGGTCCTGTTGGTTGGGACTGAACTGTATTGCTGACCCTTTCCCATGTTCAAAGTTCCCGCTTCCATTGGGGGACTGTGCTTTGTGCTTCTTCTTGTAACAATGTGTTTAGCTTATTTAGCAGCATCAGATTCTCCTTCTGATATATGCATTCGATAAACCTGGACACCTGTGCAGATTTCTTTTTCGTGGTGGCACTGTGTTTTCTTTTGCTTGTTATGCGTAAGGTCAGATATGTTGTGTTTTGGGTCCCTGACACCTTGGGCTTGGATGAATAATGTCACTTAAGAGGAGGCAAGTAAAAGGCCAGGCACAGTGGCTCATGCCTGTAATCCCAGCACTTTGGGAGGCCAGGGCAGGTGGATCACGAGGTCAGGAGTTCGAGATCAGCCTGGCTAACATGGTGAAACCCTGTCTCTACTAAAAATACAAAAATTAGCTGGGCGTGGTGGCGCATGCCTGTAATCCCAGCTAATTGGGAGGCTGAGGTGGGAGAATCACTTGAACCTGGGAGGTGGAGGTTGCAGTGAGCCAAGATTGTGCCACTGTACTCCAGTCTGGGTGACAGAGCAAGACTGTCTCAAAAAAAAAAAAAAAGAGGATACAAGGGATACAAGTAGAATTTGTAGTGTGCTGATTAACCAAAGACAAGTTCCTCCACCCTTTTCTTTTTGGCCAGAGTTGATCATTTTCAGAATTCATCATTTTGTCAAGATGATTTTTTTGTTGTTAAATATGAATAATTTGCTTTCCTCTGGACTTCTAAGGCTTCCTGAAATTACATGCAAACATTTGTGCAGTCTCATGTTTGGTTATTGGTTTTTGGGTTTGCTATTTTTGGGCGAGGAGGTCCATATCCTTCATCAGCTTCTCAAGGGGTTTTTTCAGAGGTACAAGGGGAGGCTTTGGTTTGGTTATGACAGTGCTACAGCCAGCAACCCGGGGGCCACCTGGGTGCTGCTCCCCCACTTCAAAACGTGTAGCTAGCAGGATGGAAATCCTGTCTACATGGAAATCCTTGTGGTGTTGGATAGGCCATGATTCATTTCCCTAAGCCTCAAATGCTTCTATTGTTTGTAGTTTTTCTCCCAGAATCTTCATGATCCATTTTTGTACATTCTTATGGCCTTACGATAAATTCCTAGAAGTGGAATTTCTACATCAAAAGAATAGAAACTTTTAAAGGTTTTTGATACATATTGCCAGTTGCCCTTCTGGAAGGTCTACTGGGTACGTCAGTGTACCTGAGTGTTAACAGTGACGGATCAGTATTCATTTCTCTTATAAGGAAGGAAATGAAAGTCATTTGGTAACGTAGAGGCACAATTAGACCTGACAGCCTTTGTGTTTCTCTTCTGTTCTTTAGGCCCCCCAGTTCCCTTTGCTGCTTTCTTCTTTATGCCACAGATTTAATGCTTGAACACATATTGAAATTTTGGAAAGTTACTGTGAATCTAATGGGGCATAATAGGCAGGTTTTCTTAATCCTGGCAATGACCAAACTAATCACTTGTCTGTGGTGGCTTGGTGGAAAAACGGTTTGTCAGCAGAATTTGGTAAAGAAGCAGTCACAAGGACAGGGTGTTGGTCTCATATTTGAGTGCTTCCCTGAGGAAAGAAAAGATAAAGGGAAGAATTGGGTGAATTCATCAGACTGTATTTGGCAGATGGAGATGAAGTGGGTGCAGGTCATCGCCCACGACCTGTTTCCCAGGCTTGCAGAGAAACTGCTGCTCAGGAGCTTGTGACTGTGAGGGCCCCGGGCCGTGGCATGCGTTGGTGCGCTCTCAAGAATGCGGCCATGGCACTCACAGACACATACCAAGAAGCCTCGGCCCCCAGTGCCCCCGCCAGCCTGCTCAGGGGCATGCGGATGACTGGAGCCTGGAAGGCGGGTCTTGCTGGGCAGGACAGATGCCTTACTGTCAGGACAGATGCCTTACTGTAGGCCCAGGAAGAGATCCATGACCGCAGACAGACTTCTGCGTAGGGCCCTGAGGAAAGAGTGGTAAACATGCAGTGAAGGGCGGCCCCACCACTGGTGGCTTCTGACAGGGAGCTGGAGGGTGCAGGTACTGGATGTGTCTCATTGGGATACAAATGAGTGTGCCCCGTGGTTAGGAAGATGAGGAAGTGTAGGCACTTGCAGGGGCCTTTTCTTTTGACTTAGTGAGTTCCCACCAAACCTGGCCTTGTCTGTTTTTGATGCCTTAGGACTTGGGGACAAGGCCACAGCCTGTGACCCCAGCATCATCTCCCCCCAGGGCCTTGCCACCCTCTAGCTTTCATCCTTGCCTCCTCCTCTGCCCTCTCTTTCTTGTCCGATACAGTCACAAGTGCCTAGAATAAACCTCACACCACCCACTGCTCTGCTGTCAGGGCTACCACCCCGGCCCCACCCTGCCTTGCCCCGGCTCTGATCTCAAAGACTTCCCAGCCTCCTGTTGCCATCTGGGTCTGTCCTCCTCCTGCTAGCAGAGAGACCCTCCCTTAGAAACTTACATCAGATCTTTTCACTACCCAGTTTCCTGTCCCTCGATGGGTACCCATCTCAGTTAGAGTAATGTTCAGCTTCTCTCCACAGCCTGCGTGGTCTGGGCCTGGTTTCCCTCTCGAATTTCCCTCCTGTCACTCCCTTTGTTTACTGCCAGTGCTTTTTCCTCTTAGGGTTCCCTGGGCCCTGCCCTTCACTCAGCTTCTGGTGCCTGGCTCTTTCAGACCCATGCAGGCCCCAGCTCACATGACATCTTTTCGGAAAGACCTTCCCTGATGGCCCAGGCCACAGTACCCACACCAGCATCAGCTCTTTGTCCTCTTCCCCTTTTCATTTCTTTGCAGCTCATGCCATCTGAAACTACCTCATTCAATTATTGATAGATCTGTTTGGAATTCCAGGAGTCCCTTTGCGATCCCATTCTTCTAAAGATTCACATGGCCTCAGAATGCCATGTTACAGTGGAGAGTCTGACTTCTTGTTTTCTGAGACGGAGTCTCACTCTGTTGTCCAGGCTGGACTGCAGTGACAATCTCTGCTCACTATAACCTCCGCCTCCCGGGTTCAAGCGATTCTTGTGCCTCAGCCTCCCGAGTAGCTGGAATTACAGGTGCCTGCCACCACGTCTGGCTAATTTTTGTATTTTTAGTAGAGATGGGGTTTCAACATGTTAGCCAGGCTGGTCTCGAACTCCTGACCTCAGGTGATCCACCCGCCTGGGCCCTCCAAAGTGCTGGGATTACAGGCAGGAGCCACTGTGCCCGGCCTGACCTCATATTTGAATACCGAGTTTTAGTTCTGGAGGAGCTGCAGGTTTTATGAAAAGGGAACACATTTGATTCCTCAGAGCAGCCACAGGCCAGCTCTCTGAAGTAAAGTGCACGTGTGCATGTGTGTGCACACTCACACACACGTACACACACATTCACAAATAGGACATCTCTTTTAAACAGAAATGGCCACCTGCATTTGAGAAAATAAAGTTTCATGCAGAAGAAAGTGACATGTTAAATTCAATCATCAAGATTTAGACTGGTGGGAATTCTGCACAACAAATGACTTGGTTTAATTAACATGGAAATTGCGAGGAAAAAAATGAAGTGGAACCTATGGATTTAAAAATTAGGAAATTTTAAGATTTCCATCGTAATTTTTTTAAAACAATATATTTTACTTCCAAAACCCTGCGTTTTCACATGGTAGCTATCTGCTGGAGCTGAGTAGCCGCTGCTCTCTTGAACAGCATCACCCAGATGGGAGAGCCCCCTTCCCCCCAACCCCCATACACTCCTATGTGTACAACTTCCTGAACCCTGTAAGCATTAGAGCTTGCAGCCTCTGCTTTTTCTGTTTCCTTCTTGATGGGAAGACTGGCAGCAGGATTTACTTGGTTGCTACATTTGTGAATTTGTAAAATAATTCATGCTCTGCTAGGTCTGTAACTTGGGAGGCTTGGTGTGCACGGGCATTTAGCAGCAACTCAGAGCGTATGGAAGACTGTCACTGGCAAGAGCAAAGTCCCCCCAGGACAGAGCCAGTGACGACTAGCTGTGTATCCTCAGTCTGATGGCGGTGGAAGTGAGGCAGCACCAAGGAGCAGAAACAGGAAGTTTCCACTGATGACCACCCTGCCCCCAGCTAGGCTGAAAGGCCTCCCCAGAGCCCTTGCATCAGCCTGGCTTTGCACTGGTCTGGGGGATGTTGCTTGTTAGAGCCAGTGAAGAAGAACGGTAGTAAGTTACCTGATGGCCAAGGCTCTGTCTGACCCTGTCTGCTGTCGTGTTCCTGGCACAGAATAGTCTTTGTTGAAGGAACGAATTAGTGCATCCTTCCAAGCCTTGGAGGACCTGTCTATAATAGGCCCACTCTATAGGGTCTTTGTGAGAATTAAATTAAAACCCCTATGAGAAACCTAACTAGAGACAATTGGAAGTAACTTAAATATTTGTTCATTGGGAACAGCTACATAATTGTGGCTGTCATTCTGTACAACACTCTGTGGCTGTTAAAGAGCTAGAGGTAGTTTTATGTGGATTGATGTGTTCAATGTGTTCAATGGAAAAGCAAGGGTAATATAATCCCATTTATACTACAGAGAAAAATCGGGTCTGTAAATATGTTGAGAAAGGTCTGTCGATAGTGGTTATCTTTTGAGAGTGGAATGGATCGGGGTGGGTATGGCCTGGGGACGTGAGGGGGAATTTTTCACTCTTTATTTCACATACATCTGTCATTGGCACAGAAAATTAAGCAGTAAACCTAAAGAAACAGAATAGTGCTTGTTGTATAGTTAGATCAATAACTTGTAACTATTATAAAAGGTAGTTATAAAGTTAGTAAGGGCCAAAGGTCTAACTAGAGTAGGTCGGTTATAGAGGAAAACAGTTTAATCAGTTGTTGTTTAACTTTTATGGAATGCAACTTCTTTAGCTTTAATTTGGAGAGCCAAACTATGGCCCTAGTCTTTTTTTTTTTTTTTTTTTTTTGAGTTGGAGTTTCGCTCTTGTCCAGGCTGGAGTGCAATGGTGCTATCTTGGCTTACTACAGCCTCCACCTCCCGGGTTCAAGCGATTCTCCTGCCTCAGCCTGCCAGGTAGCTGGGATTACAGGTGTGCACCACCATGACTGGCTAATTTTGTATATATATATTTTAAGTACAAATGGGGTTTCACCGTGTTGGCCAGGCTGGTCTCAAACTCCTGACCTCAGGTGATCTACCCACCTTGGCCTCCCAAGGTGCTGGGATTACAGGTGTGAGCCACCGTCCCCGGCCCCTAGTCTTTTATTGTATTGTATTGTATTATTTTTTAGTCAGGTTTATTGAGGTATAATTTACATATCATAATATTCCCCTTCTTTATTATACAGTTCTATGGACTTTGACAAATACATACACTTGTGAAATTGCCACCCCTTTTGAGATACAGAACAGTTCTATCACCCCCTAGAATTCCCTTGTGCGGCCCTTTTGTAGTCATCCTTTCTCTCTTCTCCCAGCTGCTGGCAACCCTGATCTGTTTTTTTGTCCCTGTAGTTTTGCCTTTTCCAGAATGTCATATCAATGGAATAGTACAGTCTGAAGCCTTTGAATCTGGCTTCTTTCATTCAATATAATGGGTGAGGAGTCAACCACGTTGTTGCATGTTATCCACATTTCCTCCTTTTGTGTCTCTGAGTAGTATTCTCTTGCATAGATGTACCACAGTTTGTTTATCCATTCACCAGCTGAAGGACAGTGCTCCAGGGTCCTAGAGCACAGAACTCTGGCTTTGTTGTCTTTATTTCTACCAGTTGTCTCTCTCTCTGTCTCTCTCTCTCTCTTTTTTTTTTAAACCCTAGAAGATTATTAAGATTTATAAGACTGGGTATGGTGGCTCATGCCAGTAATCCCAATGCTTTGAGAGGCCAAGGCGGGAGGATCACTTGAAGCCGGGAGTTCAAGACCAGCTTGGGCAATGTAGCAAGACCCCATCTCTACAAAAAATTGAAAAATTAGCCGGGTGTGGTGGTGCACACCTGTAGTCCCAGCTACTCAAGAGGCTGAGGCAGGAGGATCACCTGAGCCCAGGAGTTTGAGGTGATAGTGAGCTATGACTGCACCACTGCACTCCAGCCTGGGCCACAGCATAAGCACTTGTCTCCAAAAATGTTTAAAAGATTGACAATACAGTCTTCTTCAGAGTCTCCATAGGAAAGGAGCGGCACGAAATGCAAATTATTTGGAGGTTTTGGAGGTTTCAAACTTTTAATTACTTGGCACATATAGTGCTTACTGTGTGCAGGCACTGTTCTAAATATTGCTTTCAAATATTTAAAAGTGCTTAGAACAGTTACAGCACATAGTAAATGCTATATATCTGCTTGTTAAATAAATAAAAATTTAAGTTTCCAAATAATCTGTATTTCACATAAAAGAGAAGAGATGTGGGACAATATAAATAGGCAGGAGACCAGGGTTGTAGACCCGGTACTATCACATTCCCAGCCTACCCCTTAACCTAGTCCCTTGGGTGAATTACCGACTCTGGGTCTCACTTACTAACATGAAAGGAGGTTCATAATCTGAATCCTCCTGAAGGAACAGATAATATCTCAACTCTTAATAGTTGAACTCTAAAATTTGGTCAGTATAAAAGTAATGTTATAAAATGTGTCTATATCTGTTTATTTTACATTGTATTGGGCCTGGATAATTGGTTTCTTCCTTTTTACATGTATATAACATCCTATTGGGATCTGTATTAAAAGTGTACTAAAAACATTCACCACATGGTGGTGCTCCCTTCAAAAGCCAAACTGAAAATTGTAGGCCAGCATTGAGTATTAGGCATGGAGTTGATAGGGGCAGCTGTATGTATGTATGTATGTGTGTGTGTGTATGTATGTATGTATGTATGTATGTAGAGATGGGGCCTCACTATGTTGCCCAGGCTGGTCTTGAACTCTTGGCCTCAAGTGATCTTCCCACCTCAGCCTTCTAAGTAGAGTGCCAGTTTATATTCTACATTTGTGCTTTAAGTTTTTTTTAGGGAAGTAGGGTCCTGTCATTTTATTAGCTTGATAACTTATACAGATGCCAAAATACAGGAACATTTGTTCTTTCTTAGGCATTATGACATATTCATGTACATTAACTGATGTTATACTTTTTAAGTGTTCCAAATATCTTCACTCAGAAGTTTATGTGCTTGACAGGAAAAGAAAAAATACATCTGTAAGGAAAGTATCATAGGTATTTATCCTTCAAAAGCTGATGTTTTTATTTATTTATTTATTTTTAACCTAATGTGTTCTTAAGTCATACTGGGATAGCAGCAGTACCCAGCCTAAGAGAAGCTGCAGTATAGTTTCCTTGGTCAAATGACTTTTTCTTTCTTTCTTTCTTTCTTTTTTTTTTTTTTTTTTTGAGACAGAGTCTTACTCTGTCGCCCAGGCTGGAGTGCAGTGGCAGAATCTTGGCTCACTGCAACCTCCTCCTCCTGGGCTCAAGCAATCCTCCCACCTCAGCCTCCTGAGTAGCTGGGGCTACAGGCACGTGCCACCACGCCCAGCTAAGTTTTGTATTTTCAGTAGAGATGGGGTTTCGCCATGTTGACCAGGCTGGTCTCAAACTCCTGGCCTCAGGTGAGCCGCCAGCCTTGGCCTCCCAAAGTGCTGGGATTACAGGCATGAGCCACTGCGCCCAGCCAAAAGTTGGTGTTTTTAAAAAATGCTTCCTGGTAACTGCCTTAGGGAGAATAATGTTAACATTTCAGTTGTGATTCTCTTGAAGCACAGTATTTCCCTGCCTTTTAGATTTGAAATGGATACTTCTAAGCAGTTGTGACTGGCTGGATTTCAGTCATTTACATCGGAACACTGGTCTGGTCAGCTCACCTGCATCTTTGGTAGAGAGATATCTCCCAAACATACACTCTCCCTGAAGGATTTTCATCCTTCATATGCTTATCAATTCCCTTGCCAAGTATTTACTGTTTGTCCACATGAGTACAAGGCATTGAGCTTGTGCTACTGTAGACTCACAGATGGTCATGATTTTCAGGAATTGAATAGAGAAGATGAAACACTGAGACACTGGATTCAAATGCTAGACCTTACTGGGTTGACGTTAGTAATAGACATGTGAAGAATTATAGCGGTTGAGAGGAAAGAGACATCTCCTCACTAGGGTGACTGGTCAGGGAAAAAGATGGGAGTGGTTTTTGGTGGGAGAAGAGGAGGAGACGGGATCTGGGCATATGAAGAGGCCTGGGGTACTGAGGTGGAATTTCACCACACCCCAAATCTGTTGAAAAGAGGAAAGTGTACAGGCAGGAGACACAGAATCTGGCCAGAGTGAATGTCCTGAGCAAGGGCATGGGAAGAGGAAAACGCAGGGCACAGGGATTAGGTGAGGATCCAACTGAATGCTTGCCCAAGGGGCTTCACTGTCGAGGATTTTGACTGAGATGGGGGCAAACATGATAGACAAACTTTAGGGACAATTTAGCATTGTCTTCAAACACAGGTATGAGGGAGACTTTTGCTGGTGATAGGACAGATTATCCTGAAAATTGACCTGACAAAAATACTTAGACCTGATCCCTAAAATATAATAAACATCTTTTTAATGAATAGCTGAACTTGCAAGAAAAAAGGTAAATCCCCAAGGCCTATAAAATAAAAGATGAGCTGGCCGGGTGCAGCGGCTCACACCTGTAATCCCAGCACTTTGGGAGGCCAAGGCGGGTGGATCACCTGAGGTCAGGAGTTCAAGACCAGCCTGACCAGCATGGAGAAACCCCATCTCTACTGAAAATACAAAATTAGCCGGGCATGGTGGCACATGCCTGTAATCCTGCTACTCGGGAGGCTGAAGCAGGAGAATCACTTGAACCTGGGAAGTGGAGGTTGCAGTGAGCTGAGATCGTGCCATTGCACTCCAGCCTGGGCAACAAGAGTGAAACTCCATCTCGAATTTAAAAAAAAATTTAAAAAATAAATAAAAAATAAAAGATGAGCTGAAAATAAGAAAGACAAGCCAAAACTGTAAACGTCTTGGCATTGTTTGCTAATTTCAGTAATCAAGATGCTTTTTTCCCCCAATGTTTTGTTTTTGTTGCTATTGTTTTGAAATAGGGTCTTGCTCTATCGTCCAGGCTGGAGTGTAGTGGTGCAATCATGGCTCACTGAAGCCTTGACCTCCTGGGCTCAAGTGATCCTCCCACCTCAGCCTCCTGAGTAACTGGGACTATAGGTGTGGGCCATCATGCCTGGCTAACTCTTTTTTTTTTTTTTTTTTTTCATTTTGTAGAGATGGGGTTTTGGGGTTTTACCATGTTGCCTAGGCTGGTCTTAAACTCATGGGCTCAAGTGTCCTTCTGTTTCAGCCTCCCAAAATGCTGGGATTACAGACATGAGCCATTGTGCCCGGCTCCCCAATAGTTTTATTGAGGTATAACTGACATAAAATAAACTGCACATATATAAAGTATACAATTTGATAAATTATATGTATATGCCCACAAAACGATCACCACAATTAAGATAGTGAAAAGCCCATCATCCTCAGAAGTTTCCTTATGATTCTTTGTAATTCTTCCCTGATTTACCTCCTTCCCGGTCCAATACTTACCTGTTTTCTGTCACCATAAATTAGTTTTCATTTATATAAAATTTTAGAAAATACAGTCATATACTATGTACTCTTCTTTGCCTGACATAATTATCTTGAGATTCATCCATGTTTTTGGATCAATAATTTGTTCCTTTTTATTGCTGAGTACTATTCCATTGTGTGGATGGACCATAATTTGTTTATTCATCTGCTGATGGGCATTTGTTTCCCTTTTTGGGCTAATACAAATAAAGCTGCTAGAACACATATGAACATATCTTTTTTACTTTTATTTTTTGCCTTTTTCCTGCAGTATGAGCAAAGCTTTGTGTGGACATTTGCTTTCTTTTCCTTTGGGTAAATAGGAGCAGGATCGCTGGTCATATGGTAGCTGTCGATGACACTTGAGTCTTAAGGGCTGCTGTTTGGGGAACTGGAGACATAATCTTGGGCCTATGAGTAGACAGGGACTTGGAATTCAGACTGCCCTATAAAGCTAAGATCATTGATTGGCTACACTTTGAGCAAAATGATAGACTAGAAAGAATAAGCTGTTGGCAGAATATTTAAAAAAGAAACTTGCCAGGCACGGTGGCTCATGCCTGTGATTCTAGCACTTTGGAAGGCTGAGGTGGGCGGATTGCCTGAGCTCAGGAGTTCGTGACCAGACTGGGCAACATGGAGAAACCTCATCTGTTAAAAAAACAAAAACAAAAAGCAAACAAACAAACAAAATTAGCCAGGCATGGTGGCGTGCATCTATAGTCCCAGCTACTTGAGGGGCTGAGGCTGAAGTATCTCTTGAACCCAGGAGGTTGAAGCCGAAGCTGAGATTGCACCACTGCACTCCATCCTGGGTGACAAAGTGAGACCCTATCTCAAAAAAGAAAGAAAGAAAGGAAGTTAGAAAGTGGGGGAGGGAGGGAAGGAGGAAGTGAGGAAGGAAAGAAAGGAAAGAAAACAAAGAGAAAGAAACTTGTCTGATTTGGTCTGCACTTTGAGTGAGAGGAAACAAAAACCTCCCGAGATAACTTTTATTCTAAGCATGCCTTCTTTTAAACTTTGTTTGAATTTACCTGGCCTCTGTAGTTTGTGAAATTCCAAGAAGAGACATTATTTTAGAGAGATACTAGGTTGCTAGAGTTCCTAGATTACTACAGTTCCTAGTTAGCTGGCAGAAGTCAATGCATATCCTCTTGGACTATATCTATCTTTTTCTCAGTCTTAACACCAGATTCCCAAAGATAAAGCTTCTCCAAACATGATCTCACAATCCAAAACTAAGAACATGAGAAAACAAACAACCTTGCATCACAGAGCAGGAAAATGAACAGTAGAACTATAGTACTTTATAGCTTTAGATATAAAAACTGTCAGATTCAGAATATAAAATACTGGTTTAAAAACATTTAAAGAAATAAAATGTGAAATAGAAAACAAGTAAGGACTAAAATCCTATGAAGAAAAATCAAATAATTGAAAAAGAACTAAAAAAGAAATGAAAACTACGATCAGTGAAATTAAAACTTCAGTGGATGGGTTTAACAAGTTAGACACAACTGAAGAGAGATTTAGTAAACTGAGGGATAAAGCTGAAGAAATTATACAAAACGCAGCATAGAGAGACAGAAGTCTAAAATATAAGCCTATAAGGAGAGAGAAAAGAAGTCAATAGAGATAACAGATGAGAGACAATATTTGAGGAGATATTGCTAAATAATTTCCAAGAATAGTGAAAAACAAGAATCTTTAGATTCAGGAATCAGAGCAAATCCCACGTGGAATTAAAAAAAAAAAGTCTTCTCCAAATATAAGGCCAATAGAACACCAAAGACAAAAATAAGATCTTAAAAGCAATCAGAGAGAAACTGATTACCTCCCAAGGAACCCTATTAAACTCAAAGGAGACTTCTCTACAGCAACGATGGAAACCAGAAAGAAGACAGTGGAACAGTATCTTAAAAGCGCTGAGAGAAAAATTATTGTCAACCTAGAATTTTAAACTTAGCTAAAATATAATTTAGTAATGAGAGCATGATAATGACATTTTCAGATAAACAAAAACTGATGTCTCCAGCACGGTCTCACAAAGGAACTTTTATACTTTCAAAAAAGAGAAAATGATCCAAAAAGGAAGAATGTCTGCAATGCAAGAAAGAATAGTGAGGGAAAAGAAAAAGTGGAATGAATAGAGAATTAGTCATGTGGTATCACATGGCAGCTCACTCAGGAATCATAAAGCTGGCCTTGGGATAACAGAGCTAAACTTTAGAGTCCTGAGTCCTGTTAATACTCAATCCTCTGTGAAATTCAATTAAGTGAGCTTCAAGTTAACCTAAAAAGCTGTGGTGAGGCTGGGCGCGGTGGCTCATGCCTGTAATCCCAGCACTTTGGGAGGCCGAGGCAGGCAGATCACCTGACGTCAGGCGTTCGAGACCAGCCTGGCCAACATGGCGAAACCCCGTCTCTACTAAAGATACAAAAATTATCTGGGCGTGGTGGCTACTTGGGAGGCTGAGGCAGGAGAATCACCTGAACCTGGGAGGCGGAGGTTGCAGTGACCAGAGATCGTGCTACTGTACTCTAGCCTGGGCGACAAAGTGAGACTCTATCTCAAAAAAAAAAAAAAGCAGCAGCTGTGGTGACTCTTTTCTTGAGGTCTTTGGGGGCTGCCTGTTGGTGGACAGGCTGGTGTGAAGTTGGTAGCCCTGGAGGAGCTGGGGGGAGTTGCAGGGCTAGTGTAGACAAGCTACAGAAGCCACAAGGGAGGTGCTGCTTAGAGGGGGCTCTTTATTCTTTGTTTGGTTTTAATTTGAGACGGGTTCTTCCTATGTTGCCCAGCCTGGTCCCAAACCCCTGGGCTCAAGCGATCCTTCTGTCGCGGCCTCCCAGAGCGCTGGGGATACAGGTGTGAGCCACCATGCCTGGCCTCTTTACTCTTATTAATTTAATGCTGGTTTTCCTAGATCTTTGTCTTTTTTTCTGGATTTTGGGAGATTTCTTTCCTTGAGTATTTTTCACTTATTTTCTATTAATTTTTTATTTTGGCAGTCATACTTTTTAACTACCACAGCTCTTATTTAAAAAATCCTTCTCCTAGTATCACATTCTTGATTTCTGGGCATATAATCTTTATGGGTCTCTCTGAGGATATGAGTTACGGTTTTTTGTAGTTTGGATTATCTCCAGTTTCCTGAATTATCTGTTTCCTTCAGGATAATCTGTTCATCTTGGTCTTTTTCTGTGATGCTCTAGGCTTTCCTCAGCAGTCTGGTAATCCTGGTTGTCCATTCATGCTTAAGAACATGGGAATGGAAGGGGTGTTGGGAGTCCTATATATGTGGATGGGGTTGTCCATTGGCTGGTTTCAGTATTGGACTAATGAGTAGAGGAATCAAGGAACCTCTCAGGGCTTTGTGTTGGGACGCTGACACACTGCATTAGTACCTTCTAGACTATGAGCAGGGGAATCGAGGAACCTCTCAGGGCTTTGTGTTGGGACACTGACTCACTGCATTAGTACCTTCTAGACTATGAGCAGGGGAATCGAGGAACCTCTCAGGGCTTTGTGTTGGGACGCTGACACACTGCATTGGTACTTTCTAGACTGTGAGCAGGGGAATCGAGGAACCTCTCAGGGCTTTGTGTTGGGACGCTGACACACTGCATTAGTACTTTGTAGACTGTGAGCAGGGGAATCGAGGAACCTCTCAGGGCTTTGTGTTGGGACGCTGACACACTGCATTAGTACTTTGTAGACTGTGAGCAGGGGAATCGAGGAACCTCTCAGGGCTTTGTGTTGGGACGCTGACACACTGCATTAGTACTTTCTAGACTGTGAGCAGAGGAATCGAGGAACCTCTCAGGGCTTTGTGTTGGGACACTGACTCACTGCATTAGTACTTTCTAGACTGTGAGCAGGGGAATCGAGGAACCTCTCAGGGCTTTGTGTTGGGACACTGACTCACTGCATTAGTACTTTCTAGACTGTGAGCAGGGGAATCGAGGAACCTCTCAGGGCTTTGTGTTGGGACGCTGACACACTGCATTAGTACTTTCTAGACTGTGAGCAGGGGAATCGAGGAACCTCTCAGGGCTTTGTGTTGGGACGCTGACACACTGCATTAGTACTTTGTAGACTGTGAGCAGGGGAATCGAGGAACCTCTCAGGGCTTTGTGTTGGGACGCTGACACACTGCATTAGTACTTTCTAGACTGTGAGCAGAGGAATCGAGGAACCTCTCAGGGCTTTGTGTTGGGACACTGACTCACTGCATTAGTACTTTCTAGACTGTGAGCAGGGGAATCGAGGAACCTCTCAGGGCTTTGTGTTGGGACACTGACTCACTGCATTAGTACTTTCTAGACTGTGAGCAGGGGAATTGAGGAACCTCTCAGGGCTTTGTGTTGGGACACTGACACACTGCATTAATACTTTCCAAACTTTATGTTCTTCAGAGAAGACCCCTCCTTGCTGGGGGTGAGGAGGTGGAGAAGTGGGTCAGGCGTGTGCCTTGGCTGGCTGCCGCTTCATATACAGACGTATGATCCCTGGTTTTCCCCCGCCCTCTGTGTCTCACTCCCTTCCTCCACTGCACTTGCCATCTTCATGTTTGGGGCTCTTCTGGGCAGATGGGCTTGATCCTCACCTGTGAATTCCTCTGCTCTCCTTTGCCAAGCAATGCTTGCCCATCCACTTTCAGATCCCCCAGTTTGTTGAAATATCTAGTATGATGACAGCTTCTCTGTTCTCACCATTGTCGTGGTTTATACCTTTTTTACTCCTTGGCTGTAATTTAAAGGGGTCACAGGCAGGAGGGGGATGAGTGCATGTGCTCAGTCCACCATCTTGACCGGGAGCCCCAGAGGCATCATTTCAATTCCTGTGATATTATGGATTCCTACGGGTAGGAAAAACACAGCCCATTCAACCAAATATACTTTAACCCCTAGAGATTTAGCTTTAACTTGTTTAGAATTGTTTAAAAGTCCCTTGTATTTTGCAGTTTTTTCATTTTCTCCTTGAAAGTAAAAACATTTGTGGCAAATAGGGAAGAAAAACTTTCCAGTTAATCGAGAATTAGGATAAGTGAGATTTAAATATTATCAGATACTGATAAGAACTATGGCTTTTAAAGAATGTCGTCTTAGAATCAGTTTCTAATTACTTGTGTGCAGAAGAGTCCTGCAGCTGTGAGGTGATCACAGTCTTTGGCCTAAGCCACTGCCAGGTGAGTGAAAGCCAATCTGGAGTCACAGAGTGGCAGCGACTGCACCGGAGATGTGTGTGCCATTTGTTAAGATGAGTCAAATGGTAGTTAGGGCAACGAAGATCCACAGAGGGAGAAAGAAAGATACTGGAAAAGCAGCAGCACAGTTTAATAACAGTCATCGTTCATGATGGCAAGGTTGTTTACTATAAAAATTCCATCCTTCTTGCCTCTGTGCTGCCCCCCACCATTTTTTTATTTGACATTAGGGCTTGCTGATTTATGGCATAACGCAGTACATTTCACCTCTGAAACAAAGTCTGTAAAATCTTGAGATATATTAAAGTCTTTATTCCCCAACGCTAAAGACCTCATACTGTTTAGTCCTCTATACATTTAGCCCTTTATGCTTGGGGAGGGGGAGGTTATAAATTTCTAGAGGGAACTGGATTGGCAATGGTATGTTTGATGGTGAAATGCCTTGACTAAACAAACAAGGCTGCTCCAGAAACGCACACACAGCAAACCTATATGCCATATAAGTAACGTGTTATGTGGGGAGTTACTTTAGGTTTAAAACAAATGTCATACTCTTGATGCTTTTAGGTAGCTATTATCTTGGTAAGGATAAGACAGAAATATGGTGAAGTTGCATCTGATTTTGAGGGATACTGCGGGCAAACCTGACAGCTAGCTTGGTTACTAGAGGTTTAATTAGTTACAGCTGCTCTGCCATTGTATTAATAGAGCCACTCTGCTTTCAGGCACCATGGATGCCTTTTATAATTTGGATGTTCTTAAAAAGAGCACTGTGTGAAAGTGAGCAGCCCTGGGCCGGGCGCGGTGGCTCACGCCTGTAATCCCAGCACTTTGGGAGGCCGAGGTGGCTGGATCACGAGGTCAGGAGTTCAAGACCAGCCTGGCCAAGATGGTGAAACCCCTTCTCTACTAAAAACTACAAAAAAATACTCCGGGCGCAGTGGCAGGCACCCGTAATCCCAGCTACTCTGGAGGCTGAGGCAGGAGAATCGCTTGAACCCAGGCAGCAGAGGTTGCAGTGAGCCAAGATCACACCACTGCACTCCAGCCTGGGCGACAGAGTGAGACTCAGTCTCAAAAAAGAAATTGAACAGCCCATTTTGTGAACCACTTCAAAAAAAAGCAAACACATTTTCCTCTGGCTTTTGGCTGTTTTAGGAAGAAGCCATACGGTGAACCAGGTGATGCTGAGGTTATCTGGATCCAGGCCATGCAGATGAAGCCATATTTACCTTTGTGATATTGGGGCTGATCTTGGAGCTGTCTGGATCTGACCAGTCTCCAGATGAAAACTCTTGCAACTTTCGTTTTTGGATAGTGCTCACCTCGTATCTGTACTCGTACCTGCTATTTCTAGGCGAATTGTCCCCTTTCTCCTCCCTCTTCCCTCATCTCCCTCTCTCCTCTGCCTGGCTGACACCAGGAAGGAGGAGTTTTCTTTTATTTAGATAAAAAAAAGTTGAGAGGAGGGAGCTCCAGAAATGTGGGATACTCAGCACTGGAGACATTTGGGCTGGAATTCTTGTTTCCATTCTTTTCTTACCATATGACCAAGTAAGTCCAAGAAAGTAGATAGGATTCTGAGTGGGCAGTGAAGGTGGAAATGTGGTCCTAAAGAGAACGGGCAAATTAAGAAAAGATTGTTTTAAGACAGTCAAATTGTTTTGCCTGTTGAAGAAGGTGATCAGACCCTAATGAAACTGAAAATGAGGAGAGTGTTCCCATCTCCTGCCTGGTTCTAGCGACTCTGCAAATGGGTGCCTGATTGGTCTGTTGGCTCTGAAGCCAGCCTTTGCTGGATATATTCAGCCTGTTTTGAAGTTGTGCAGAGAACCTCACTTGCGTCATTCTGAAGACGCAGTGAGTCAACGCAGTCCCAAGAGAGCAGTAATGGCCCCAAACAGAAACTTGGAATGAAAAATAGCCATGGATTTAAAGACATAGCACATTCTTCCTATGACTTCATTTGGTAATGGTAAGATTAATTCACAGAAAACCCTTCTTGAGTGGCGTACCTTAAACACATGTAGAATGATTTTTTTCTTTGCTTTTCCCATTTAGCCTTTTGAAACAGGATACACAGTAGGGTGATTGGTTTGGGAGGGCACTGGTACAGTAATTCTCCACCTCTCACTTGCCCGTGTGGGTGCCCCATCCCCACCCTCAGGCACACACGCACTCTTAGCTGCTTTTGGACTCCTCCCGCAATGTCACAATAGTTTTCTTTGAACATTCTTGACCCTCAGTCATGTTGACATGCGTTTGGATTTTCAGTGGAGAAGAATTGCCAGAGAAGAATCTTCCTCTGATTTTAACCATTGACCATATTTATATATGCAGTTTCAGCTTGACTTTTAAATTGATAATCTTTTAATAGAATTCCAGATAACATCTTACTGTAACAAACACCAAGGGGATTATCCAAATTCCTATTTGAAAATATGTCTTTTATATTACCAGATTTGCCAGCTGCATTATTATCTATTAGTGTGTACTAAAAGTATATTATTTTGGCTTATTTTGAGATTAGATAATTCCCAGTGGAATTCTCCCCTTAACCATCTAAATCTGTATTTTTTTTTTCCCCATTTAGTTTCCTAAACAGTGAGGCTTCTGGGCAGGAAATGAGAGAAGAGGAGGAGGTAATATAGAATAATGCAGTGGCTTTCAAGCATTGTGACCCATATGAGGAATACATATTCAGTTATGACTTAGCATTCACATATGCACACATACATGTACGTATATACATCACATTCACACATATGCATATATGTACATATACAGCTGAAGAAGGTCTGGATTAGTACTTTTCCTTATTGTGGAGCACAGTGAGTGATATTTTCTTTTTCTTTTTCTTTTTTTTTTGAGACAGTCTTACTCTGTTGCCCAGGCTGGAGTGCAGTGGTGTGATCTCGGCTTACTGCAACCTCCACCTTCCAGGTTCAAGCAGTTCTCCTGTCTCAGCCTCCCAAGTAGCTGGGACTACAGGCATGCGCCACCATGCCTGGCCAATTTTTTTGTATTTTTAGTAGAGACGGGGTTTTGCTATGTTGGTCAGGCTGGTCTCAAACTCCTGACCTCAAGTGATCCGCCTGCCTTGGCCTCCCAAAGTGCTGGGATTACAGGCGTGAGCCACTGTACCTGGCCGATATTTTCTATTTTATTTCATTTTGAAAAAGATAGGCTGTGACTCATTAGTAGTGGATCTCATGACTAAGAATGGATCCTGACCCAAGTTTGAAGAGACTGGTAGGGGTAAATTTAGAGCCTGGGGCTCCAAAGTTTGTCTACCCAGTTTTAAATCCTGGCTTTCCCCTTAACTTGGGTGGGATCACACCATTAACCGTGTTACCCCTCTGAAGCTTTGGCTCCCACACCTGTGAGATGTGAATGTTGATAACACACACCCACCTCATAGGATTAATGAGAACATGCCAAGATATAATGCGCTGAAGGTCTTAGCATGCCTGCGCAGAGCCCCAGCATCTGTTAGCTGCTGCTGCTGCCGCTGTGGTGGTGACTGTCCTTGCTAAGATGCTGCAGCTGGATTGGCTTCGTGGGAAGTTGTGGAATTCTGTTCCCTGAGGATGTTGGGAAGGACAGATTGTACTTACCAAGAGCATTTATTGTTGTTTTTATTTTCTTAAACATTTCCAATGAAAATCATCAAACCTATAAAGTTGAAAGAACAATGCACCTAGATTCATCAACTCTTAACACTTGCTATCTCTCTTACATAGAAACATTTCCCTTTTACCAGTCCACTTGGAAATTGGCTATATACTCACGATAGCCAAGAACAAGAACACTCTCTTACACCATCACATCATTGCCACACTTAAGGAAATCCACACTGATCCAGGAACATTATTTGATATACAGTCCATATTCAGAATCCTCCAGGTATCAGTAATATTTTAATTATGACCCATTTGGTGAATTTAAGATGGATTAGATGGCCTGTGGAGTTATTCATGGAGCTGAAGACTTCTGTGAAGTAAAAAATAACCACCCAGTGTTAAGTGTAACTCTCGTGTGGAATATTAAATCAATTGTGTGTTTTTTTTGGCATCCTTGATGTGAACTCTGGAGACCTGATGAGATGGAGGCTGTGATTGTTTACTCTGTGTTAGCTTGGACACTTAGCTTGGCAGTAATCACAAGAGCTTTAGGGAGTGCATCCTTTGCTAGTTCATAAAGATGTATTCTGATAACGGGGGACCAAAAGGATATATCCTGAATTGCAAAGTCGAGCAGTAGATTACATTTGGATTTGAATGTAAGTGGCTGTGAATTAGAAATATTTGTTGGAATTAGAAAGTGTCTAGGTAGGAATGTAAGGTCTCCCCTCAAATTGAGAATGACAAGGCTGTCTTCTAAGGACAGAATTTAAGGTGAACACTGTGGAAGTTTGTGCATGTGTTTTTTGTTTGTTTGTTTGTTTGTTTTTTGTTTTTTTTGTGACAGAGTCTCGCTCTGTCGCCCAGGCTGGAGTGCAGTGGCGCAGTCTCCACTCACTGCAACCTCTGCCTCCTGGGTTCAAGCGATTCTCCTGCCTCAGCCTCCCGAGTAGCTGGGATGACAGGCGGGCATCACCACGCCCAGCTAATTTTTGTATTTTTAGTAGAGACGGGGTTTCACCATGTTGGCCAGGCTGGTCTCGAACTCCTGAGCTCAGGTGATCTGCCCACCTCGGCCTCCCAAAGTGCTGGGATTGCAGGGATTAGCCACAGCACCCAGCTTGTGCATGTGTGTTTTTAAGAAAACGTCCACAAGGTAAGGAAATTCAAGCAACCAAGAAAAGACGCTTGATAAACAGTAAGTCCCATCTTGCTAGTTTCTTCTGTATTTCTCCAGGGCCACTTTAATTGATTCTAAAATGTACATTATTTCTCATTTTTAAAAAAAATCTCTAAAATCAGGGTACATCTTAAAAGCAATATAATGCCATGGTTTAATTGGCACATGATTTAGTGATACATAAAATAAAGGCACCTCTTGCAGTGGCATCTTCGATTTGAAGAAGTATAATATTCTACGAATATACAAATTTCTGTGTTTTTTTGTCCCCCCAACCCCTGCCCTTTTAAAGACATATAGTAATATAGTGGGGTTATAGGTTTATATACTGCTACTTAGCTGTGCAGAGAAATTACAGCATTTAAAAAAATCACCAATCTGTCTTCCTCATAAGTCATCATCTAGAAATGGGGAGAAGCAAAGAGTGGTATTTTGGCCAGTTAATAAGGTCTTATATTCTTTTGGCTTAAACAGTATCTTTTGGGTAAATTCTGGATTTTTTCATATATCCTGCCATCCCCCATTAAAAACCAGCATCTGGTCTTGGGGGATTGTGAGATTTTTGTGGAGGTGAGGGAGGCCCTGGCCTATGCTTGCTGCCTTTGCTCATCTAGTCTGGTCTGGTCTGGTCCCTGGGCCTTTCGCAGGTATCCCCTGAAGTGTGGTTGGTGGTCTTGAATTTTTTTCTTTTGTCTCCATCAGGGCCAGGGAACTGTCCTTGCTTCCTTTTGGTACATTCACCCTGCAGCAGATGTCATGGCTTCCAAGTGGAACTTCACTCTCTTTCTTACTAGTTAAGCTACAGGAGGCTTAGAGTGCTAAAACCGAGATGCTTCCCCTGCATAAGGCCATGCAACACGGCCATTTTATTCTGTAGCCATCCGTGTTGGGATGAGTGGAAGGTTGCATCTGCGAGGTGGTCTTCTCCTAGAGTTTCAATTAGGAAGTGGGGCAAAAGCCCCAGTGCCTTCCCTTCAACCTGACGACCAGTCTACCCTCTCCCCACCTGTGCTAGTTATCAATTTCTTGCTTGTTATCTCCAAATCCATTCTGCTTTGCCATGTTTCGTGACATGGGAACTGGACTCTGTCAACAGTTTTCCTTTGCCTGCTGGCGAGGTGTTAGGCTTTGTCAACAGAGTGCTGGAGGGACATGGCAAGGTCATGGTGGGAGGAGGGCGTCCTTTCCCAGTGTGCTGATTTTCACTGGTGAGTGAGTATCAGTGGACTGGCGTGCAAGATGCCCAGAAACACATATCAGCCATCATAGACAGCCCAGTGGGTGGTACCGTGCACCAGCTCCAACCACACACACCCTGCAGGGAGTTTCTCCACCACGTGGTGGGCTGCTGCCCTGGGCCAGCTCTGGATCACGCCCTCTGACAAGCATGTTTGCCACCGGCATGCTGTGTGTTCCTGTGGAGCTGTGCCCTTTCTGAAGAGTCTGAATCTCAGCTTTGGGGTTGGGGGAGGCTCTCCTAAGTTCTTAGTTCCTCCCTCTTCACTCTACCTGCCCTTTTTAAGACACATAGTAATATAGTGGGCTCTAAGTAGTAGACACTTTGTTCATTTGCTACTTCTGTACCCCTGGGTCCTCTTTTACTCTTCTGTCATTTGTTAAAAATCTCGGCCGGGCGTGGTGGCTCACACCTGTAATCCCAGCACTTCAGGAGGCCAAGGCGGGCAGATCACTTGAGGTCAGGAGTTCGAGAGCAACCTGGCCAACATGGTGAAACCCCGTCTCTACTAAAAATACAAAAATTAGCTGGGCATGGTGGTGCATGCCTGTAATCCCACCTACTCAGGAGGCTGAGGCACAAGAATCGCTTGAACCCGGGAGATGGTGGCTGCAGTGAGCTGAGATCGTGCCACTGCACTCCAGTCTGGGCGACATTCTGGAACTCTGTCTCAAAACTAAAAAAAAAAAAAAAAAAAAAAAAAAATCTCCTGTGGGACTTCAGTCTGTGGAGGTTATTGAGTGATGGCACAGAAAGGCCAATCCCAATAAAAGAAAATGGAAAATGTTTATTACTTCCATTTCCAAGAGGGGAGCATGCCACGCCACACCACACAGGCACATGGGGAAGCACCATCCACAGGGCAGAAAGGAGCTGGGGGAACGCCCAGGCCAGAGCCTTTGTTGGGCTTCTGTGGGAAAGGCCAGACAGGGCCAGGGAAACATCTGAGGATTGGCTATTTTGGATAATTCTGGGGGGCCCTGGGGCAGAGGGCCGTCCCTCGTTGTCTGGTTCCTAGCTCTGGGTGATTTAGGGTAGGAGAAATATTGGCTCTGTGTGTGAGAGTTAGATAAGGAGGTGGTTCAGAGAATGGGCTCTGGGTGGCAGGGGAGACGGAAACAGCTTTGGCTGTGTGTGAGTTTGACCCTGTGATTAGACTAATGGATGCCAAATAGATGAATACAGAATCTCAGAAAACACAGAACGCTCTCTTAGCAGTATCTACTTTTTGTTAATAATTCTTTTATTAAATTTTCCCTATTGAAATGACTGGTGTGGTTTCTGTCTCCTGACTGGTACATCACCTCTTCCTCGGAATTTGCGGGCAGGGAAGTGATGATACATGTTTGACTGCCTCCTACTCTTTGCACCCTGATGTGAGGGAAGGGCTGGACCCTTCTACATCTTTCTGTCTGGATGAAGCTCCTCTGCTGTCATTTCCTCCTCCTTCCCTAGTGCGGCAAGCAGCTCTGCCAGCTTGTCATAGAAGGGCATTTAAGTGACTTTGCCAACACAAACAGTACTGCAATGAAGATATGCCACACTTTGCAATTAGTTATTCACTTTAAAGTTCTGTTATGATATAGTAACTTAATAAGTGAAAAAAACATCTTGGACCAATAAGGATGGAAGAAAAGTATCGGAAAACTAGTCAGAATTAAAATAAGGACTAAATCACGACTTTTATTTCTGTGATTTCTTTTTGTATTTTTGAAGCTCTTTTCTTAGGTCAGGGCCACCATGGCTTTTTGTTGCATTGATCTCTTTATCATTATATGCTGTTTCTCCTTAGGCTCTGCAATATTCCTTGCTCTGAGTCTACTTTGTCTGATAGGCACTTCAGCTTTCTTTTGATCACGCTTGCATAATACACCTTTTCCCATCCTTTTACTCGTAGCCTGCCCGTGTCATTGCCCCAGTGGGGAACTGCTGTTGCTCTTTACTTGGAGCCAGGCTCATGGTAAGAGGATGGGGACTTTCTTGGTTCTCTTAGTCTGACTCCATCTTAGGCAGGTACTGTGTGCCTGGACTTCAGGATAGGGCTTTCTTAGCATTGTGTGCTTTCACCCTCCATGCCACCTGGACTCTGCCTTCTGTGTGTGTGTTTGTGTGTGTGTGTGGTGTGAGCTCCCGTGTGAGAGAGAATTTCCCACGTTTCCCCCCAACCCCACCCGAAGCTGACTTTTGCATTGTATCAGTGCAGAATCCAGCAGACGATCATATTTGCTGGTACCTCACCCCCAGGAGCAGCAGATCTTTGCCTGGGTCCCGGGGACAGGGAAGGTTTCTTGCCCTTCCCCCAGTGGATTACGGCTTTTGCATTAGGTCTGAGAGAGGGGCTCAGGAAGGAGGCAAGATTTTACCCGAGTCCGGTATTGAGGGGTGCTCTCTCCAGCCTCGTGCTCTGCTCCCAGTCGTCGTCACGAGCACCTGGTAGTGGCCCATGGAAAAGGGTTTGCAAGTGAGTTCAGACAGGAATTCTAGTGTTACACCAGCCCATGCTCAGCTCCATAAGAATTCATTAAAAATTGAGATGTTTTCCCGTCACCTGTTGACATGGCAGCCTCATCTTCCTCCTGTGCTCTGTGAAGGGTCACAGGGTTTGCGTGTCCCATTTCTCCTTGGAGGGATTTGTCACTGATTAGAATTCAGTTCACCTGATGGCCTTGTGGCCTCAGCTCTCTGATTAGCTCAAGAAAAGTTAGGATTTTGTTGATTATCTGGCTTTTTCTTTTTGTTGGGTTGAAAGTTCTCTTATGGCTTTCTGCATCTTAAGCAAGGGGAGTA
Organism: Homo sapiens; assembly: GCF_000001405.40. Taxonomy (NCBI): domain Eukaryota; kingdom Metazoa; phylum Chordata; class Mammalia; order Primates; family Hominidae; genus Homo; species Homo sapiens. The sequence goes on from NC_000009.12 coordinate 130,788,038, forward strand.
GAACTCTATTTCTTCACCTGTCCCTCAGCAGAATTATGTAAGTAAAATAAAATTTAGGTTCCTCACAGATCAGTGCAGTTTGCTAATACAAATACTGTATGTATAGTTACTCTGTTTTCCACATCCACCATTGGTTTAAGTTTGAACACCCCTGTTTTACTTTGTATTTTGAAATAATTTCAAACTTACAGAAAATTTACAAGAATAGTACAGAGAATTCCTACATGTCCTTTACTTAGTTCGAGTCATCAATTTTTAACGTATTGCTACATTACATTTGCTTTACCATTTCCCCCCTTCTATATGTGTATGGGTATAAAATTTGTTTTTCGGAATCATTTGGGAGTAGGTCACAACATTTTGTCCTTTTATCCCTTAATATTTCAAGTGTATGTTGTAAGAACAAGGATCTTCTCTTATGTAACTATAGTATAATTATTAACTTTAGGAAATTTAACTTTGATAGAATATTTTTATTTAACCTAAAATCCGTATTCCAATTTCCTCAATTCTCCCAGTAATGTCCTTTCTAGCAATTACCCCCTTGGGTGTAGGATCCAGTCCTGGATCATGGATTGCATTAATTTGTCATGATCTTTAATATCCTGTAAGCTGGAACAGTTCCTCAGTCTCTCTGCCTTGCATGACATTGGTATTTTTCAAGGACATGGAGCAGTTATTGTATAGAATGTTTTTCAATTTTGGCTGGAACATTTCAGTTTCAGTTTGTTTGATGTTTCCTTACTATTAGATTCAAGTTACACATTTCTGTTTTAGAATATTACAGAAGTAATGCTGTATCTTTCTCATGGTGTTACATCCATTTGCATACCTTGTCTTTCTGCCTGTCGTTAATGATATTAATTTTGATTATTTAGTCAAGGTACTGTCTGGTTCCTTCATTGGATAGTTGCTAGTTTTCCTCTTGCATCTATTTGCTTTTCGGTTTTTGTTTTTTCCCTTAACTTTTTCTCCCTGTGATTTCCTGAAACCTCTTGCATCTAAAAAGCAATCTGTGGGGAGACATTTTGTGACCATATAAGTAACCTGCTCCTCATGAAACATAAAATACAAACCTTGGGTTCTCTTAGAGTGGAGAAAGGGATCAGTGATCCAAGACCGTTTCTCATAAAGCTAATACCTCAGAGAGGCTACACCATCAGAGAGAAAATGTACGGGGGAGAAGCACATTACACAGTATCAATCAGAAAGGAATATTTCTGTCTGAGCTTTCACTTTGAGTGGAGGGCAAAGAAAAAAAATCACATGAGAACTTGTGGCTGCTGACCAGCTGCTCCCACATGGGTGTAGAAACTGGTTTTATCCTATCTGTGTGACCTCCAATAGCTGCAAGTTGGAAATCTTGATTTAGAGTGGACCTAGGTTTTTACCATCCCTGGGTGCTTGACAAAAGCAAGTTTAAGTCTTCCCTAACTCAGAGTTTCCATAGATCATTGCAGCCAATATGAACACACCAAAAAAGGACATACACACACACACACACACACACCCTGAAACAAGATATCATGCGCAAGAGTCAGTAGAAACAATAGTTGTTCCTGACAATTTCAGATATTGGAAATATTGAATATAGACTATAAGTTAATTTACTACCTTTGGGGAAGCAAAAGAAGGAATTGAAAATATGAGGAAAGAGAGAGATACATCAAAAACAACCAGGCAGTTTTATTTTTAAAAATCAAATATAATGTTCAGAAGTAAAAAGCATAATCATTGAGATAAAAAATTTATGGATTGGTTAAATGTTAGAATAGAAACAGCAGAAACCAGAATTAGTGAACTAGAAGATAAGTCTGAAGAAATAACACAGACTGAAGCTAATAGAAACAAAGGGATGTAAACCACGAGAGGCTCAGAGATATAGTGAGAAGGTCCAACTTATGTCTAATTGGAGTTCCAGAAGAAGATACTACAGGGAATGGCAAAGAGAGAATATTGAAACAGATAATGAGTGAGAATCTTCACAATTGATGAACAACAGGCCTTTGTCTGTCATTTGTGGAAGCTAGCACAACAGTTTAAACGGAGGCCCATAGGCCATGTCTAAATATTTAAAAGTTACAAATGTGACAGACTGTGAAATAAAATATGTCTATACTCCTACCTTGACAAATATGTCTCTCTGATACTCTAGAAGATGAGGTTTAAATGTAGAGTTCTTGAACTCCACAGAGCTCTATGCTGGCACATAGCAGCACAGAGTGAGCCAGACCTTCGCCTGTGGCCCCCACCCTTTTGTCTTTCTTCCCGCAGCTTTATCCATGCTGTGAGGGGCCTCATGCACACATGTGTACATACTTCAGCCTGCATATCTAAGCTGTGTTCACGCTCCTCACAAGCATGCTTGTAGGTGGCAACTCTGGCCTATGCCCGTATGCTGGTGCATTCTACTTTCTTTCATTTTTATTTTATTTATTTATTTATTTATTTATTTATTTATTTAGAGACAGGGTTTCATTCTGTTGGCCAGGCTGGAGTGCAGTGGTCTGATCATAGCTCATTACAGCCTTGAACTTCTGGACTCATGCAGTCCTCCTGAGTAGTTGGGACTACATTAATTACCACACCTAGTATTTTTTTTTTATTTTTATTTTTTGTAGCAACAGGGTCTCGCTGTGCTGCCCAGGCTGGGTTTGAACTCATGGCCTCAAACACTCTTTCTGCCTCAGCGTCCCAAAGTGCTGGGATTACAAGCATGAGCCACTGTGTCGGGCCAGCATTCCACTTTGATAATAGACCTGTGGAAAAGGCCCATGCAAGTCCTGAATGTGGGCATGGATTCAATTAAGTAGGGAATTCCAGGATCCTGGATACCTAGAATATGGTGATCAGACTCAGGGTGGGTGCATCTCCTTGGGCCTTCAGGCCCCTTGCCCTGTGGGGAGAGGTGGAGTCTTTTAAATTATAGAATCTAGGGTAGGGGCCTCTCTTGGAACAGGTTCTAAGGGTGGTAATGAGAGACAAAAATTCTCTGGTTCAGGAAGCCCATCAAATTCCAAAGCGGCAAAGAAGGAAAGGAAAGAAATTCATGTCTAAACATATCAGTAAACCTGTGAACCTATAGAACATCAAAACCAGAAACGATTCTTAAAAATAGGAAGAGAGAAAAGACAGATTACCTACAAAGGAACAACAATTCATATGCCAGCTGGCTTTTCTATACCAAGAGTGGAACTACTGAAACAGTGTTTTCAAAGTAGGCAGTGAAAATAACTGTTGATCTAGAATTGTGTAGCCATGAAACAGCCTTTAAATAATGAGAACGAAGTGAAATAAAGACATTAGATAAATAAAAACAAAAAGAATTTACTGCTGAGAATTCATCACTGTGATGGTTAATATTAGGTGTCAACTTGATTGGGTTGAAGGATTGTTTCTGGGTGTGTGTGTGAGGGTGTTGCCAGAGGAAACTGACATTTGAGCTGGGGGACTAGGAGAGGAAGACCCACCCTCAACGTGGGTGGGCACCATCCAGTTGGTTGCCAGTGCAGCTAGAACAAAGCAGGCAGAAGAAGGTGGGATAAGCTTGCTGAGTCTCCTGGCTTCCTTCCTTCTCCCATCCTGGATGCTTCCTCCCACTCCTCCTGCCCGTCCACATAAGACTCCAGGTTCTAAGGCCTTTGGACTCTTGGACTTGTACCAGTGGCTTGCCAGGGGCTCTTGGGCTTTTGCCACAGACTAATGGCTGCACTGTTGGCTTCCCTGGTTTTGAGGCTTTCAGACTCGGACTGAGCCACTACGAGCTCTCTTTCCCGGCTTGCAGACCTCATATCGTGGGACTTTGCCTTGTAATCATGTGAGCCAGTTCTCCCAAATAAACTCCCTTTCATATATACATATATCCTATTAGTTCTGTCCCTTTGGAGAATGCTGACTAATACCATCACTAAAGAACATCCTCAAGAAGAAGGGAAATGACACCAAGAAGGAAGGTTTAAAATTTAAGACAACATTAAGTTGATCCAGAGAGATGCATTAACTTGCCTAAAGATCACACTTGGTTCAGAACCAAGCCTAGACTTAAACCGAGACAGGATGCAAGAAAGAAATCAAGTTAACGACAGAATTTCATTTTCACCCAGGAAGTAGACACAGGGTCCCTTGGGGCTCATTTTGGGAGAAGGCCTACCTTTTTCCCAGGACACACCACCATTTACACGTCGAGTCTTACAGCCTCCAGGACTTTAAGCTTCCCACTGCTAATGTGTCATTTTTCCTTTCTCTTGCCACTGAGTTGTTTGCTCAACTAGAGGATTTTACTTTCTGCCCTTCAAGTTCACATGGTAGCTCGCATGGTAACATAAGTGAGTCTTGGCAGTGTTGCCAGGGACAGGATGACTTTAATTTCATTCCTCCTCATCTTGATGCTTTTTTTCCCTTTCCAGTTCCCATCAGCTACTTCCCTACCCCTAGTGGTCCTATGAGTCCTTCAGTTCTCCCCCTTTCTCCATGACACACCAGGAGCCATGTCAGATGTGATTTCTGACCTGGGACCCTGAATGGCACAAGGAGAAGAAGTACGGAATTGGGGGAGGGTATAAGAGGGTTTAAGATGCGTGAAAAATGTTGAGTAGGACATTTCAAGAGATAGTTCAAATAATATGGTACCTTTTGTTTACGTCACCACACTTGGCAAATTTGATCGTATGACATCTCATTTGATGTCTTTGAGATGACAGATGTTGTCCCTACTGTAGAGCTAAGATCCTCAGAGAGGTTAAATGACTTGCCTGTAATCACTAAGTTAGAAAGTGGCAGAGCCCCAGAACTACCCCATGCAGCTGCTTTCTAGTTTCTAATCAGGTGCTTTTTCACTAACACCATCTTGCCTCTACAAACTGACGGCTTACAAAATGCTACCAAAGGGTAATACTTTTTATTTTTGAGATGGATTTTCACTATTGTCACCCAGGCTGGAGTGCAATGGCACGATCTCGGCTCACTGCAGCCTCCGTCTCTGAGGTTCCAGCAATTCTATTGCCTCAGCCTCCCGAGTAGCTGGGATTACAGGTGCCCGCCACCATGCCCACCTAGTTTTTGTATTTTTAGTAGAGACGGGGTTTCATCATGTTGGCCAGACTGGTCACGAACTCCTGACCTCAGGTGATCTGCCCGCCTCAGTCTCCCAAAGTGCTGGGATTATAGGCATGAGCCACCGCGCCTGGCCAAGGGTAATACTTTTTAATCAGCCAATAAGATTCACATGGAATTTGCTTATTTTTAGTATTCCTGTCAGTATTGATGGATTTCTTTAAAAGTTTTTTCCATAGATCTATTTGCCCATCACCTCTCCAACTCCTCCAGCATCTGCCCCCTTTCTTCCGCATACATATTGTGATGTCTAACTGGGCCTTAATTATCATGAATTTTAAATTGGTGGTATCCATACTAATCAGGATTTCCTGTAATTGGAACATTCTTCACACTTTTGATATTTGCTGATTGTCCTCTCTATGCATTTTAGAAGTTTCAGACTATTTTTTCTGAGAAATAACTAGAGTCTGTGCAAGCTGTGTCGTACATTTTGACTGCAATTTTAGTACTGAGTGTTGCTTGCTTGAAAAGAGGCAGGTAAACCAAGTTATTGAGTGCAGTTTCAAACACAAGCCACCACTGTTCCATAGATCAGGGGTCCCCAATCCCCAGGCCACAGACTGGTCATGGTCTGTGGCCTGTTAGGAACCAGGCCGTATAGCAGGTGGTGAGCGGCAGGTAAGCAATGAAGCTTCATCTGTATTTACAGCCGCTCCCCATAGTACTCATTACTGCCTGAGCTCCGCCTCCTGTCAGATCAGTGGCGGCATTAGTTTCTCATAGGAGCATGAAATCTATTGTGAACAGTACATGCGATGGATCCAGGTTGCGTGCTCCTAGTGAGAATCTAATGCCTGAGGATCTCTCATTGTCTCTTATCACTCCCAGATAGGACTGTCTAGTTGCAGGAAAACAAGCTCAGGGCTCCCACTGATTCTACATTACAGTGGGTTGTATAATTATTATATATTACAATGTAATAATAATATAAATAAAGTGCACAATAAATGTAATGCACTTGAATCATCCCAGAACCACCCCTCAGTGGCCCCATCCCCAGTCTGTGGAAAAATTGTCTTCCACAAAAGCAGTTCCTGGTGCCAAAAGGGTTGGGGACTGTTGCCATTGGATCATGACACATTACTATCTTGTTGAATTAAACGTTGCAAACTGCAACGTTTGTAACTGCCAGTAGGCAGTTTTTATTTTATTTTTCATTTTTTATTTATTTTTTTACCTGTGAGCCCACATCCATAAAGTTAGCAGACTATGTCATAGTCAAGAGACTTTGCTTTATGAACTAGCTGATTTAGTTTGCTCACAAGCTTTGAAAGAGTCTTTTTTTAAAGGCCAAGTTTAAGACACCTTAGACCATAGAAATATGTGTATTTCCTGGCCATTCGATCATTTGAAGGCCAGATTTTATCAAAACAAATGAATCACTGTTTCTCCTTCCTTCATCATTCCCTAATTGGTTTCCAAAATAAAATGATTAGTGGCTGCATTTCTCAACTGCATTGTTTTGATTACAGTCTTACTGGCTGTATTGGGTGAGACATTGGGAAATGCTTTCATAACTGGTGATCACTGTTGACGGGGTTCCCTGACTTCATAAAGGCCCAGATTATGTTACCCCGAGAAAGTCTTTGAAGGAGCAAGCTCTTTCTTATGCTTTTGTTATTAAGTTAGGGAAAATGACTTTAAATAATGGAACCTTAGTTACAATGTAGGTTCCACTCTTCTTGAGATTTGTGTTACTTTTTAGACATGACAAAAGTGTGCATTTTAGAGTTCCTCTTACCCCAGGAACAATGGACTCACTTGGCTTTCAAAAGGGCAGAATATACTGAGTATTTCTGACTGCAGGTTTCTTCTTTCTGGTACCCTCAAAAATACACCATAAATAGTAGATTAATCTCCCTTTTGCTGTCCGTGAGTCCCTTCCCGTTTCTTCAGCACTGCTTGATATGACTGGTATGGAGGCCTAAAGCTGGCTGGCCTAGTTAGTGTTACCCAAGTGGTTTCTTGTGAGCATCCATTTGCATGCAGTTGGGCCTTTTGTCCATTGGTGAACTGCTCCTTGCCTTGAGGTCCTGTAGCTAGTTTGCCACTGAGTATTTCCTTCAAAAAACAGGAAGGATGCCCTGATATTATGAAGTGGGTGGTTTTAGAATTCCACTTCAGATGGCACTGACCTTTCCTTAATACAGCTGGTTTCACTTAATACATTTTGTTTAAACAAAGCCTGTTCCTGGAAGTGGTTCCAGAATAGTCTGTTCCTTGTAGCTGTTCCTTTGCTCTTAATTTTAAAAGTGTTTTCCCGACAGTATCATATGTGCTCGCACGACAGATTAGAAACTTCTGCTTGAAGTCATCACACTTATGAATTACGTTGTGTCCAGTTATGATATATTGATGATTGTATTCAGTAGCTTGAAGGTTTAAGTGATAACTTTATTTTGCAAAACTGACCACATTCTTTTGTTGCTTAGGTGTCTCCCCTTTAAGGGATTCTGATGTCTAGCAGTCTCAATGGACAAAACAGATAAAAGAGAGAATGAGTATTTTTCACTTTGTAAACATGAACAATTCTTAACAAAAAAGCCAGAGCTGGACTAATTAAATAATCAACATGTTTTAAAGTGGGATAGACATTTCTATTTTAGGTATGATACCACAATATTTAAATTTTAGGAAAGACTGGATAGAAATATAAAATAAGATACTAGTAGTCCTGCTCTGACTTTTCTAAAACAAGTTTATATTACTTTATTTAAAAATGTTTATGAGAGTGCCTTTTAAAAATAGGGATTTATAGGCTGGGCGCGGTGGCTCATGCCTCTAATCCCAGCATTTTGGGAGGCCGAGGCTGGCGGATCACCTGAGGTCGGAGTTCGAGGCTAAAACCCTGTCTCTACCAAAAATACAAAGTTAGCTGGGTGTGGTGGCATATGCCTGTAATCCCAGCTACTCGGGAGGCTGAGGCAGGAGAATTGCTTGAACCTGGGAGGTAGAGGTTGCAGTGAGCCAAGATAGTGCCACTGCACTCCAGCCTGGGTCACGGAGTGAGACTCCGTCTCAAAAAAATAATAATAAGATAAAAAATAGGGATTTATAAAACATATATGCAACTCATTAAGAACTTTTTGGCTGGCCACCATAGCTCATGCCTATAATCCCAGCATTTTGGGAGGCCGAGGCAAGTGGATTGCTTGAGCCCAGGAGTTCAAGACCAGCTTGGGCAACATAGCGAAACCTCATCTCTACAAAAAGCTGGGCATGGTGGTGCGTTCCTGTTATCCCAGCTACTTGGAAGGCTGAGGCACAAAAATCACTTAAATCTGAGAGGTGGAGGTTGCAGTGGGCCGAGATCAATCACACCACTGCACGCTAGCCTGATGAAGGAAGGAGAAACAGTGATTCATTTGTTTTGATAAAATCTGGCCTTCAAATGATCGAATGGCCAGGAAATACACATATTTCTATGGTCTAAGGTGTCTTAAACTTGGCCTTTAAAAAAAGACTCTTTCAAAGCTTGTGAGCAAACTAAATCAGCTAGTTCATAAAGCAAAGTCTCTTGACTATGACATAGTCTGCTAACTTTATGGATGTGGGCTCACAGGTAAAAAAATAAATAAATAAACAAAAAACAATGTCTTTCTCTGCCTTTTGTTAAAAAAAAAACAAAAAAACTTTTTTTGCCTGTAATCCCAGCTACTCAGGAGGCTGCGGCAGGAGAACCACTTGAACCCGGGAGGTAGAGGTTGCGGTGAGCTGAGATCACGCCATTGCACTCCAGCCTGGGCAACAAGAGCGAAACTTCATCTCAAAAAAAAAAAAAAAAAAAAAGGCACTTTTTTTTTGGCCAGGCACAGTGGCTCACGCCTGTAATCCCAGCATTTTGGGAGGCTGAGGCGGGTGGATCACGAGATCAGGAGTTCAAGACCAGGGTGGCCAAGATGGTGAAACCTTGTCTCTACTAAAACTACAAAAATTAGCCAGGCACGGTGGCAAGCGCCTGTAATCCCAGCTACTTGGAAGGGCGAGACAGGAGAATCGCTTGAACCCAGGCGGCAAAGGTTGCGGTGAGCCGAGATCGCGCCACTGCATTCGAGCCTGGGCGACAGAGTGAGACTCCATCTCGAAAAAAAAAAAAAAAAAAAAAAAAAAAAAGAACTTTGAATAAACTTCGTTGTGTCATATTCTATCGTAAGATTTATTCTTGTCTTTGGAGAACTTAGCTTATAATTAATTATATTTTAATGAATAGGATACTTTTTGTTTGTTTTGTTTTTGTTTTGAGACAAGTACTCGCTCTATTGCCCAGGCTAGAGTGCAGTAGCATGGTCTTAGCTCACTGCAACTTCTGCCTCCCAGGTTCAAGCGATTCTCGTGCCTCAGCCTCCCCAGTAGCTGGTACTACAGGCGTGTGCCGCCATGCTTAGCTAATTTTCATATTTTTAGTAGAGGCAGGGTTTTGCCATGTTGACCAGGCTTGTCTCGAACTCCTAGCCTCAAGTGATCCGCCCTCCTCAGCCTCCCAAAGTGCTGAGATTACAAGTCACCACGCCTGGCTTCCGTATTTAAGTATTAGGTGGTGACTCCATACAAAATATTTAACAGCTTGCTGGTTAACATTTAAATCTTTGTTGCTAAGACCTTTTCTATGTTTGACAGTTATTCCAAACACGTTCCATATAGGAATAGTTTGCCAAATAGAAGAACACGGGATATTCTTCTCCCATGGCTGATGTGTTGTGATTCTAGGTGCATATTTCTGTTTCCAAGAACACGGACCTGTTCTCAAGTTCAAACACTGCATCAAGAGACTGTGCCCCATGTCTTTTCACTTTTTTCCCTCTCTCTTTCTCTCCCCTTCCCCTCCTTGATTTAATTTCTTCAGCAGGTCAGAATTGATACAGCTTCCAGAAGAAATAGTAGAAGTAGGCAAAAGATTAGTTTTTAATTCTTGTTCTGTCAAATACTTTTTGATTGAAATTGTTTTTATTACAAAGGTAGCATTTGCTTTTTGAAAAACAAAATAAGAAAAATCTTTTTAATCACTTCACTATTAAGTTTGTTGAATATTCCCTCATAACTTTTTCTCCTGGCTTTTTGAGTATTTGAGACATTTCTTTCCACATTGCAGTTTTGAAACATTCTACCCCACACTCATACATGAAAGTGAAGGCTCTGCTTCTCAGAGTACAGTTTAATTTACTTTGTGGACATCATTAACAAAAGGCAGAGAAAGACATTGGACCATACTAATTGTGGGACTTAGAAAAGCTATATTAGTGATGGTTATTAAGTATCGCTTGCAGTGGAGTCTGTAACATATTCCTATGAAGTTAATCTAACTACTGAGATAGTGGGAGTGCAGAGGAGGCATGCTGTGAGATGGAGTGGTATTTTCCAGCATGGCTTTTCTGTTTCTTGAAAACCCTACAGCACTTTGCCATGGTTTCTCATCTGGATGAAATAAAGCACCTGTACCTTAGTATGTCCTGCCATGCCTTTGTATGGCATACTTGGCTTTGTTCTCCAGGCCTCTTCCCACAGTAACAACGGATTCTTTAGGAATTGGAAGGGGGGGCCGGGCATGGTGACTCACGCCTGTAATCCTGGGACTTTGGGAGGCTGAGGCGGGTGGATCACGAGGTCAGGAGTTTGAGACCAACCTGGCCAATATGGTGAAACCCTGTCTCTACTAAAAATACAAAAAAGAATTAGCTGGGTGTGGTGGGGCATGCCTGTAGTCCCAGCTACTCGGGAGGCTGAGGCAGAAGAATTGCTTGAACCCAGGAGGCGGAGGTTGCAGTGAGCTAAGATCGTGCCACTGCACTCCAGCCTGGGTGGCAGAGACTCCGTCTCAAAAAAAAAAAAAAAAAAGAATTGGAAGGGAATGGAGGAAGCAAGGTGGTTAAACAAAAATCATCTTTACACACACCACCCACTCTATGATGTATATGAGTTCAGAAGAGCACTTTGCTTTATCCTTAATAGAAATATCTGTAAAGCCAGGGGAGTCATAAAGCTGTAGGCTAAGTAAGGTGCCATGAGAAAAGGAGGCTTCACTTACGCCAGTATTTGGAGCAGCGTTTGGCCTCTTGGAGGTGTTTGCACCCATCGGAGATGCTCCATAGTGAGATTTAGGATAAGTGCAAGGTGAGCTTTGCTTTTGTAAAATGCATGAAGTGTGACCACGAAAGGGCCATGGGAAAGAATTATTGATGGGTTACAGGTGCATCGTTTCAGGCAGATTGACACTAGGAAAGAGCAAAGAGCAGGTAGAGGTTTGACAGTTTACTCCTTTAAAGTAATCCATGTCCAATAACCCATGGAAAGTCTTCATGTACTTCTAAGGGGTAGACATACCCTAGTCTAGGTGCTAATCTAGGTTCTATCATGTGTTAGCTGTGACCCTGGGCAAATAACTTTATCCTATGGCCTCAATTTCATCTTGCAAAAAAATACGGATTAGATAATGGCACTTCCTTAAAAGGTTTGATGGGATTTCAATGGAATATTGCATAGAAAGTGCTTGAGGCATTGTAAGTACACAGTAAGTGAAGTGTTGACCATTATTAATATCATGATGATAAAGTGTGTAACTTATTTTATAAGTACCATATAATTGAAATTTGCCAATAGTAACTCCTCGGAGACTTCCAGGGAACTCTGTCAATCAAAAAAAGCTTTGTGTAATAATGGACGCTACCTTGACAGAGTGTGTTAGTCAAGAGAGGATACTTATTTATAAATTTTGGGATATTTATACTTTTTTTTTTTTCTTTAGAGATGGAGTCTTGCTCTGTCGCCAAGGCTAGAGTGCAGTGGCGCAATCTCGGCTCACTGCAACCTCTGCCTCCCCAGTTCAAGTGATTCTCCTGCCTCAGCCTTCCAAGTAGCTAGGACTACAGGCACCTGTCACCAGGCCTGGCTAATTTTTGTATTTTTTAGGAGAGACGGGGTTTCACCATCTTGGTCAGGCTGGTCTCGAACTCCTGACCTCGTGATCCACACGCCTCAGCCTTCCAAAGTGCTGGGATTACAGACGTGAGCCACCGCACCCAACTATAAAATGTATTTTTATAGATACTTATTGAATTTTAGGATGTGGGCTGGGTGATTATTTTTTAAAGTACTTTTAAAAAAATTAAGGTATTATTTACATATAATATCCACCCATTTTTAAGTATACATTTTGGTGAATTACTGTGTGTCAATCATGTAACCTCAAACACAGCCAAGATTATAAAACAGTTCTCTACGCTGCTTTGGTGATGGATACACCAAAATCTCAGAAACCACCACTACAGAACTTATTCATGTAACCAAACACCATGTGTTCCCCAAAAACCTATTGAAAAAAAAAAAGAACCCAAAACCAAAAAACAGTTCTCTCAACATTAAAAGTTTTCCTGTGCCTTTTTCCAGTGGATTCCTTCCCTCAGCCTCTGGCCCCAGACAAACACTTATCCACTTTCTGTGTCTGTAGTTTTGTCTTTTCAAGAAATTCCTATGAATGGAACCATATAAAAGTTATATAAAAATCATAGACTTTTGTATTTGATTTCTTTTACTCTTAGCATCATTTTTTTGAGATTTACTCCTGTTGTATGTATTTACATTTCCTCTTTTTCTTGGTGAGTAATATTGCATTATATGAATATCTCACAATTTATCCATTTTACTAGTGGATAACATTAGATTGCTTCCAACTTGAGGCTATTATAGTACAGCTGCTATGAACATTTGTGTATTCACCATTGTGTGAGCATATGATTTTCCCTACCTTCTTTTCTATTTCACTTTCTTTTCCTTTTTCTTTCCTTTTTTTTTTTTTCTTTTTTTTGAGACAGTCTCTCTGTGTCGCCCAGGCTGGAGTGCAGAGGCACGATCTCGGCTCACTGCAACCTCTGCCTGCTGGGTTCAAGCAATTCTCAGCGTCAGCCTCCCAAGTAGCTGGGATTACAGGGGCCCGCCACCACACCCAGCTAATTTTTGTATTTTTAGTAGAGACGGGGTTTCACCCTGTTGACCAGGCTGGTCTTGAATGCCTGGCCTCAGTGACCCACCTACCTCAGCCTCCCAAAGTGCTGGGATTATAGGCCTGAGCCACAGTGCCCGGCCCTTTTTCCTTTCTTTTTTTGAGATAGGATCTTGCTCAATCATGCAGGCTGGAGTGCAGTGGCACACTTGGCTCACTGCAACCTCCACCTCCTGGGTTCAAGCGAGTCTCCTGCCTCAGCCTCCCGAGCAGCTGGGACTACAGGTGCGTGCCACCACGCCCAGTTAATTTCTGTGTTTTTAGTAGAGACGGGGTTTCACCATGTTGGCCAGGATGGTCTCGATCTCTTGACCTCGTGATCTGCCTGCTTCAGCCTCCCAAAGTGCTGGGATGACAGGCGTGAGCCACCAAGCCCAGCTGACAATGGATTTTCTTTGTTTTCTCCTTCATCTGAAGATGTCTTCCCTTTGCCTTCATTTTTAAAGGATATTTTCTCTGGGTATAGAATTATAATCCGAGAGTATAGAGGTTGACAAGTTTTTTGGTATTGGTTTTAGTTTTGGGTTGTGTCTTTTTGTTGTTGGCTTTTGTTTTGTTTTTGCCCCTTATAGATGTTTCACTGTCTTTTGGCTCATGTGTTCCGATGAGAAGTCAGCCCTTCATTGGGTCCTTGTTCTCATCTGTTTAATACCTGTTCCCATACCTGCCCTTTCTCTCTCACTGCTTTTAAGATTTGCTCTTTATCTTTGGTTTTGGAGTATTTGACTATGAAGTGCAAGCTGCTTTGTTTCTTCTTGGTGTACATTCAGCATCTTGCATCTTCAAGTATCTGCGTATCATTAAGTTTGGGCAGTTTTTGGCTCTTGTTTCTTCTAAATTTTTTCTACCCCATTCTCCCTGTCCCTCTCCTTTTGGTATTGTAGTTACCCACTGGAACACGTGACATTATGTAGCAAGTCTCTGAGTCTGTTCATTTTTTTCCTTCAGTCTTTTTTTTTTTTTTTGAAATGGTCTCTCTCTGTTGCCCAGGCTGGATGGTACAGCGGTGTGATCACGACTCACTGCAACTTTGGCCTCCTGGGTTTAAGCCATCCTCCTGCCTCAGCCTCTTTGAGTAGCTGGGACCACAGGCACGTGCCACCACGCCTGGCTAATTTTTTGATTTTTACTAGAAACAGAGTCTTGCCATGTTGCCCAGGCTGGTCTTGAACTCCTGGGCTCAAGCAATCCACCTGCCCTGGTCTCCCAAAATGCTAGGATTACAGGTGTCAGCCACTATGCCAGCCTTTTCAATTTTTTATCTCTCTTCTTCATCTTGGTTAATTTCTACTCATCTTTTTTGAAATGCACATACTGTCCTTTTCTTTGTCCATTCAGCTGAGTATATCCAGTGAATTTTTTATTTCAAAAAGTTAATTTTTTTCAGTTCTAGAATTGCCATTTAATTATTTTTTGTTGTTCCTATTTCCCCCATTGAGATTTCCTACTTCTTAGCTGAGATTTTCATTCATTGGAAACATGCCTTATACTGCTTCATTGAGATGATTATAATAGCTGCTTAAAATCTTTGTCTATTCCAGCATTTTGTTGATCTGCAGGTTAGACTGGCAGTTGAACTAATTTGTCCCACTGTCTTGCTTCTTTGTATGGTGGGTAGTTCTGGATTGTTTACTGGACTGTATGAATGTCAAATTCTGGATATTCTGGATTCTGTTACTTTTCTCTAATACTTGTTTGGTTTTATCAGGTGGTTTTCTTGGCTGGGTTTGAACACAAATGTGTTTCTCTCTGAGATCTTTAGTCTGTAGCTGAGCTGCTTTGTGTCTGTCCCATGCATGAGTGGCTCAAGGGTCAGTCAGGGATGTGATTGTACGGGGATTGGAGATCTTCCCCTGCCTTTTTCCCTTCTAGGATTACTTCAGTCTATTTATTTATTTGTTTATTTATTTAGAGACAGAAGTCTTCCTCTGTCACCCAGGCTGGAGTGCAATGGCGCGATCTCAGCTCACTGCAACCCCTACCTCCCGGGTTCAAGCGATTCTCCTGCCTCAGCCTCCTGAGTAGCTGGGATTACAGGCCCGCACCACCACGCCCGGCTAATTTTTGTATTCTTAGTAGAGAAGGGGTTTTGCCATGTTGGCCAGGCTGGTCACGAACTCGTGAACTCATGCTCTACCCGCCTCAGCCTCCCCAAGTGCTGGGATTACAAGCGAGAGCCACTGCGCCCAGCCGGCTCTCTTTGTTATTCATAGTTTCCTGGCTTCTCTTTTCTGAGCCACCCAGCCAAAAATGCTTTGACTTTTTCTATGCATGTTTCTGTCATGTCTGTGCATGACATAAATCATAATATCCTAAGACACAAAATTGTTAAAGGCAATAATTTGGAAACATACAACAATAAATAAAATGGTTATAGAGATGTAACTTTAAAAAGTTGAACATTTTGTTAAAACGATTCCTGAATATGCTGGAAAATTCAGATAGTTAACAAAATATTTTGAGGATAAAAAGGAAAGGAATCTGTTATCTGGAGGTAGAATAACTTGGCCATTTTACAGAAAGGAAACAAATTCTGATTTCACTTTTTGTATATCATCCATTTGACAATTTTCAATAAAAGGTTTATTGAAAACGGAATACATAAGGCTGGTGTTTGGACCTTTTTCCTAATTAGAAATTGTCCATGTCTCCAAAGATTATTAACTCAGTTTATTATCAGCTAAAGAGATCTTAAAGTTGACTAAACACCTGGAAATTAAAACTTAGGCCAACACATCAAAGTCTTTATGACTTGAAGTGTTTTAAGAATTAATGAGGCAAAGCACACACCTGTGGTCCCAGCTACCCAGGAGACTGAGGCAGGAGAACTGTTTGAGCCCAGGAGTTTGAAGCTGCAGTGAGCTATGATCATGCCACTGTTCTTCAGCCCAAGAGACTGAGTGAGACCTCTTAAGAAAAAAAAAAAAATGACCGGACACAGTTGCTCACGCCTGTAATCTCAGCACTTTGGGAGGCTGAGGCGGGTGGATCACGAGATCAGGAGATCGAGACAATCCTGGCTAACACGGTGAAACCCTGTCTCTACTAAAAAAATACAAAAAAATTAGCAGGGCGTGGTGGTGGGCGCCTGTAGTACCAGCTACCTGGGAGCCTGAGGCAGAAAAACGGCGTGAACCCAGGAGGCGGATCTCGGCAGTGAGCTCACACCAGTGGCTCACACTTGTAATCCCAGCACTTTGGGAGGCCGAGGTGGGCAGATCACCTGAGGTCAGGAGTTCGAGACAAGCCTGACCAACATGGAGAAACCCCGTCTCTACTAAAAATACAAAATTAGTGGGCGTGTGGCGCATGCCTGTAATCCCAGCTACTTAGGAGGCTGAGGCAGGAGAATCGCTTGAACCCGGGAGGTGGAGGTTGCAGTGAGCCAGGATCGCGCCATTGCACTCCAGCCTGGGCAACAAGAGCCAAACTCCGTCTCGAAAAGAAAAAATTCATGAGACTAAATCATTTTAAAAAGATGTCTTTTATTACAATTTCTTTCAATTAAACAGTTTTATATTTTTGAAATTTTAAACAATTTGTGCAAACGAGATCCTACTGGACCTATAAAACTAATGTAGTTAATTTAGAAGGTTTAAATCACGAGAAGTTAAGCCCAAATCTTGGGTTGATTTAATTGTTGTGTTAACATTGTTTTTATATCATAATAAAATCAGAAGGATGCATAGACTTGTTTTTAAGCTAATATTAACTTCTATTTCTAGCCCAAAGAGTCATCTATCAAAAGCCAGCTCATATTAAGTAGGGGGACCAAGAGGGAGGTCTCTCAGTTAAACAAAGTTATTGACTTGTCTTTAGACAGGCAAGACAGAGTATCTCCTCATAAGGTTTTCTTTTAACCTTTTTGTTCTGAAGTTAATATGTCTTTTAAGTGAATAATCTTGTTTATAACAACATTTTCTTTTCTGTTTTGTTTGTTTGTTTGTTTGAGACAGAGTCTCGCACTGTCACCCAGGCTGGAGTGCAGTGGCACAGTCTTGGCTCACTGCAACCTCTGCCTCCTGGGTTCAAGTGATTCTCCTGCCTCAGCCTCCCGAGTAGCTGGGACTACAGGCACATGCCACCACTCCCATCTAATTTGTTTTGTGTTTTTAGTAGAGACGGGGTTTCACAATATTGGTCAGGCTGGTCTCGAACTCCTGACCTCGTGATTCACCCACCTCGGCCTCCCAAAGTGCTGGGATAACAGGCATGAGCCACTGCACCCAGCTATAACAACATTTTCAAAGTGGCACATTTTAATATGAATAAACCTTCTACAATCACAGGCCTAGAAAGTTTTTCTTTTTCTTACGGAATTTCTTGACTGTTTACTTGTACTAGATATTTCTTCGGTATATTCATAATGACAGAACAATTGTTTATGATTGATTGATCTCCAAAGTTTCCCAAGAAAAGAGAAAAAGTAGGAGGGGAAGGAAGAAAGAAGTGAGCAGAAGTTGGCTTCAGAGAGATAGGAAGGGCCAGTTCCCTTCTCTGTTTAAGGAGGGGAGAAGACTTAGATGCAGGGAAACTCATTTTGACATGCCAACTCAAACCACAGAAGCCAGAGTCAGTTCAGCTGGTTTCAGTAGTAACTCAG
Organism: Homo sapiens; assembly: GCF_000001405.40. Classification (NCBI taxonomy): domain Eukaryota; kingdom Metazoa; phylum Chordata; class Mammalia; order Primates; family Hominidae; genus Homo; species Homo sapiens. Next base: position 130,805,749 of record NC_000009.12, read on the forward strand.
GACCTTGACAATTCTGTTAAGCCATGTCCTTTAAAAGCCAGCTCTTATTAAGTAGGGGGATGAAGGGGGAAGCCCTTCAGTTAAACAAAGTTACTGACCTGTCTTTTAGACAGGCAGGACAGAGGATCTCCTCATGAGGTTTTTTTAACCTTTTTGTTCTGAAGTTAATGTGTGTTTTAAATGAATAATCTTATTTATAACAACATTTTCAGCGTGGCAACTGCAGTTTCAGAATGGTGGAATTATACCAGTCAGAGAGAGATGCAAATGATTTAAAATAGGAAGAAAGCAGGTGTCTGGCCCAGAGGACCAGATTAAGAAGACCCCATGAGAGTTACAATAGTTAGTGAAAATGGTGCTTCTGCAAACCTCATGTCTACAGAAGCTGGTCAAAGACCAGATGCCACCAGGTAGAATCCCAGCAAACTCTTCAATGGTAGATATCTGTCACCATCCTTAGGAGGTAGGTCTGTGGAAGCTCACTATAATACCATTTGCTTAACAGATATACAAACATGGATCAGATATAATTTCAACCCACAAGGAGCTCACAGTCTGGCTCTTCTTTTGAGGCAAAAAGACTAAAGCTGTTGCCTTTATGGTAAGATAAATCTGCCTTGGAGTCAATCCAAGGTGATTTAATTACTGTAGGTAGTTGTACCAATAAGGCTTGTATCCCAGAGAACTCCATATTGCATTTAAGCTTGTTAGTAAGCCAGGCCAGCTCTATTTCCTGTGAGGACTTTAAAAAAAATTGCATTCACACATTTAAAAATTAGCATAAGCAGGGTGCAGTGATGCACGCCTGTAGTCCCAGCTACTTGGTAGGCAGAGGTGGGAGGATCACTTGAGCCCCAGAAGTTCAAGACCAGCCTGGACAACAAAGTGAAGTGAAGACTGTCTCAAAAAAATTAATTATGACATAAAATGTTATATGTCTTAATTTACACAAATATAAGTATATACTTTTAAATCCCATTCTTACACACAAAAGCTAGCATACTGTGTAAAGTATTCTGGACCTACACACCTTTATTTTTTTAACATAACAATATGTCTTGGATACATTTTCCTATTTGTCTATAGAAAGTTTCATCATTATTTTAAAAAATTTGTTTTTGGCTGGGCACAGTGGCTCATGCCTGTAATTCCAGCACTTTGGGAGGCCGCGGCAGGCGAATCAGGAGGTCAGGAGTCCGAGACTAGCCTGGCCAACATGGTGAAACCCCATCTCTACTAAAAATACAAAAACTTAGCTGGGCGTAGTGGCGGGCGCCTGTAATCCCAGCTACCCGAGAGGCTGAGGCAGGAGAATCGCTTGAACCCGGGAGGCAGAGGTTGCAGTGAGCCGAGATCCTGCCACAGCACTCCAGCTGGGGCGACAGAGTGAGACTCCATCTTAAAAAAAAAAGTTTGCTTTTATATTTCATACCTGCATGGTATTCTATTGTGTGAGTAGGCCATCATCCAGTGGTCTTCAAACTTTCCTGTGTACTCCGTAACAGAATTTGTTGTTTTGACATGCAGTCTCACTCTGTTGACCAGGCTAGAGTGCAGTGCCACAATCTCAGCTCACTGCAGCCTCCACCTCCTGGGTTCAAGAGATTCTCATGCCTCAGCCTCTTGAGTAGCTGGCGCATGCCACCATGCTTGACTAATTTTTGTATTTTTAGTAGAGACGGGATTTCACCGTGTTGGCCAGGCTGGTCTTGAACTCCTGACTTCAAGTGATCTGCCCGCCGTGGCCTCCCAAAGTGCTGGGATTACAGGCTTAAGCTACCACGCCTGGTCTTCTAATAGAATTTTTAAAAACTGTATTTACCCCCTTGCACATTTAAATTGACATCTAAGATTTTTATTATAAGTTTAAATAGTTGTAAAGGATGTATTTTCCATTATATTTTATACATTCCTTAATTTTATATATATATATATATATATATATAGTTTTTTTTTTTTTTTTTTTTGAGATGGAGTCTCACTCTGTCACCCAGGCTGGAGTGCAATGGTGCGATCTCGGCTCACCGCAGTCACTGCCTCTAGGGTTCAAGAGATTCTCCTGCCTCAGCCTCCCGAGTAGCTGGGATCACAGGCACCCGCCACCATGCCCGGCTAATTTTTGTATTTTTAGTTGAGATGGGGTTTCACCATGTTGGTCAGGCTGGTCTCGAACTCCTGACCTCAGGTGATCCCCCCCACCTCAGCTTTTCAAAGTGTTGGGATTACAGGCGTGAGCCACTGTGCCTGCCCTCCCTTAATTATAATTTAAAAAATTTTTGCAGATGTAGATTTATATAAATTGGCAAGCCAGTTCTCTTTATCAAATTAACTGATCAAAAAAAAAAAAACAGATTAACTGGTCAAACATAGATTTACTTTCTGTCAGTAAAATTTTGACTTCATTTTTTTAAATCAAATAAGCATGTTAACCCGGTATTGCTGTGACAACCTTTATCCTAATTTCTTTTCTTCTTCTTCTTCTTCTTCTTCTTCTTCTTCTTTTTTTTTTTTTTGAAATGGAGTCGTGCTCTGTCACCCAGGCTGGAGTGCAGTGGCACAATCTCGGCTCACTGCAACCTCCACCTCCCAGGTTCAAGCAATTCTTCTGCCTCAGCCTCCCGAGTAACTGGGACTACAGGCATGCACCACCACGCCTGGCTAATTTTTGTATTTTTAGTAGAGATGGGGTTTCACCGTGTTGGCCAGGCTGGTCTCGAACTCCTGACCTCAGGTGATTCGCCCACCTTGGCCTCCCAAAGTGCTGGGATTACAGGCATGAGCCATCGCACCCAGCTTTTTTATCCCAATTTCAAGATGGGTGGGCAGGTAGGTAGGTAGGCAGGTGGGTAGATAGATAGGGCCTTCAGACTTGCCTCGCATTCATCTTTTACATAAAATAAGACAGTTTCACCTTGAACACTTCTGTGGTGAGACTGTTTAGTCTTGTAGCTCTAAACTCCAGCCATACTCTGATGACTCCCACATTTATAAATCCCAGATTTGTATACTCAACTACTTATCTAACAGGTCAAAACTGAACTCTTAAAATTCTTACATTTGTGTCCACACATGATTGGCTAAGCTAATGGGGCTCAGATTTACCCTGTCACCTGAAACAACTGTAAAACTGGAGAAAATATGTCAAACTCTGAAGTTATTAGGTCTAAGGTGATTAAGAACAGCGAATCCTGAGACCTGAGAAATAGAGCCCTATGATTGCTCTGATTTAATGCTCGGAGAAAGTTTCCAGACCGCGGTGCGGGGAGAAGGAACATCAGCAGGCCCCAGCAGTCTCTCCTCATTGAAGAGGTAAAATGAAAATCCAGGGCAGCTGGGGCAGCTAGAGTTCACAGGCAGAGAAACAAAGAGGCAAGAGATGCACAGAGAAGAGAACACTGGCCTGCAGATGCCCAGGGAGCCCACTCGAGTATTCGGTTGAGTACTGATCAGTGCACCCATGTGAGGAAACCCCTTAGTTCAGGGAAGGAGCCACTCAAAAGGATTAGAGAGAACCATTTACGGAGTTCACACAGGGCCAGAAATAGTTCCTGTTCCCAGTAGCAGAGTAGAACATTTCATGATTCAGGGGTATTGATTGGAGTACTAAGAAGAGTTGTATTAGTGAAGGTTCTTGAGAGAGAGAGAGAGAGAGAGAGAGAGAGAGAGAGAGTGTGTGTGTGTGTGTGTGTGTGTGTGCACGTGTGAAGAAATTTATTGTAAGGAATTGCCACGTGATTATGGAGGCTGATAAGTCCCAAAAATCTGCAGGGCGAGTCAGCAAGATGGAGACTTAGGAGAGCCAATGATGTGGCTATAGTCCAAAGGCTGACAGGCTCAAGACCCAGGCAGAGCCAATGTTTCAGTTCAAGTCCAAAGGCAGGAAAAAAGTTGATGTCCCAGTTCGAAGGCAGTTAGGCTGGAAGAATTCTCTTTTACTCAGGAAAGGGTCAGATTTTTTGTTCAATTCAGGCCTTTAACAGATTGAATGGGGCTCACCCACATTAGGGAGGCCAAGCTGCTTTACGCATTTTGCCAGACTAACGTTTGACCAAAGATCTGAGCACGTATGGCCCAGTCAAGTTGACACATAATGTTAATCATCACAAAAGTCTTGCCTCAATAGTTGGGAAAAATTAATCCTAGAATAAATGCTATTCTGGTCTTGCTTAGCAAAGGTTAAGAGCAAGACCAAAAAGATCAAACCTTTTCCAAACAAAAGCTGAAGAATATTTTTAGGGATACAAAACCATCTAGGACCGAGTGTGGTAAAATGCACAATGTTTACCAGCCATTCCAGAATTACTAGGTATGAGCAGAAGTAGTAACATACAACCAATAACTGACCAGAAATGAGACAGATTATATAAGTAGTACATTACAGACATTAGTCATTATAATTGTATTCCATGTGTTCAGTAAGCTAAAGAAAAGATTTAATATGTTAAGTAAAGACATGAAAGATGATGGCTGGGCATGGTGGCTCACGCCTGTAATGCCAGCACTTTGGGAGGCCAAGGTAGGTGGATCACCTGAGGTCAGGAGTTCAAGACCAGCCTAGCCAACATGGTGAAACCCCACCTCTACTAAAAATACAAAAATTAGCTGGGTGTGGTAGCGTGCACCTATAATCCCAACTATACGGGAGGCTGAGGCAGGAGAATCACTTGAACCTGGGAGGCAGAGGTTGCAGTAAGCCAAGATCGTACCACTGCACTCCAACCTGGGCGAGAGAGCAAGATTCCGTCTCCACAAAAAAGAAAGATACAGAGATGAAAAATACACTGAAGACTGTCAGAATAAACATTGCACAAGTAAAGATTTGTGATTTTGAAGACTTAACCATAGAAACTATCCAAAATGAAGCAGAAAAAAAAAAGAAACCCTGAAAAAAATACATGAACACAACATCAGTAAAGTGAGGGACAACATCAGGTAGCCAAATGTGTGTGGAATTGGAGTCCCTGAAGGAAGGGAGGGTATGAGGGACCAAAAAATATATATAGAGAGAGAAAAAAAAATGGCTGAAAAATTTCCAAGTGTAATGAAAGCAGTAAACACACAGATCCAAGAATTTCAAGGAACTCCAAGCACAGGAAACATGAAGAAAAACTATATACTAAGGCACATCTTAAGCAAATTGCTTAAAACCATGGTTTAAAATGGCCAAAGAAAAAGATACATTATATACTTAAGATCAGGGTGACACCAGATTTCTCATTGGAAACAATGTAAGCCAGGTTAACAGTGGAACAATACATTTAAAGCAAAGAAAGAAAACAGTTGTCTACCTAGAATTCTTTTCTCAGTGAAAATACCTTTCAAAAATGAAGGCAAAATAAGGTCTCTTTCAGACTTTAAAAAAAAAAAGGAAGAATTTATTACCAGTAGATATGCAGTACAAGAAATATCAAAGGATGTAATTAAAGCAGAAAGAGAATGATAACTGGTAGAAAACTGGAGCCACCAGGAGTCCCAGGCTGCAGTGAGCTATGATCGCACCACTGCATTCCAGCCTGGGTGACAGAGTGAGACCCTCTGTCTAAATAAACAAACAAATAAAAGAAAACTGGAGCTATAAAAATAAATGAAGACAATGCAAAGGGTAACTAAGTGGATAAATACATAAGATATTTTTTCTTTTTGTTTCAGTCTCATTAAAAGATATGTCTTAGAGGTAATTACACATTGTAGCATTTGTAACTTACATAGAAGTAAAGTTTATGACAATAGCAGCACAAAGACTGGGAGTGGGAGAACAAATATACTCTTGTAAGCTTTTTACACTACATGTGAAGTTGTATAATGTCAATTGAAGGTAGACTGTGATAAGTTAAAGATGCATATGATAAAATCTATAGTAGCAGAGTTATAGCTAATGAGCCAACAACAATAAAAAGTTGGGATATAATCCCAACACTTTGGGAGGCCGAGGTGGGTGGATCATGAGGTCAGGAGTTCGAGACCAGCCTGACCAACAGGGTGAAACTTTGTCTCTACTAAAAATACAAAAATTAGCCGGGCATGGTGGTGGCACCTGCCCGTAATCTCAGCTACTCGGGAGGCTGAGGCAGGAGAATCACTTGAACCCAGGAGGCAGAGGTTGCAGTGAGCGGAGATAGTGCTACTGCACTGTAGTCTGAGCGACAGAGTGAGACTCCGTCTCAAAAAAAAAAAAAAAAAAAAAAAAAAGTTGGGATAAATATCTTTAAATAATCCAAAAGATGGCAGAAAAAAAAACTAAACAGGAAAAGCAAACAGAGCAGATGGGACAAATATGAAACAAAGAGCAAGATGGTAGGTTAAAATTCATATCAATAATTAATTCACCATTAAGGGCCAGGCAGAGTGGCTCATGCCTGTAATCCCAGCATTTTGGGAGGTGGATTAGGAGGATCACTTGAAGCCAGGAGTTTGAGACCAGCTTTGGAAGCCAAGTGAGACTCCATCTCTACAAAAAAAAAAAAAAAAAAAAAAATTAGCCAGGTGTGGTGGTGTAGTTCCACTCAGGAGGCTACGGTGGGAGGATCACTTGAGCCCAGGAGTTTGAGGCTACAGTGAGCTCTGATCACACCACTGCACTCCTCCAGCCTGGGTGACAGCGAGATTCCATCTTAAAAAAAAAAAATCCTCATTAAAAGCAGACATTGTGAGATTGGATAAAAAAGCAAGACCTATTTATATTTATATGCTGTCTACAGTTATCCCACTTTGAATATAAAAATACAAATACGTTAAAAGCAAAAGAGTGGAAAAAGATGTTAATATGTTAACATTAATGAAAAGAAAACCTTAGTGGCATATTAAACAAACTATATTTTAAAATGAATGTCACCAAGGATAAAGGAGAATTATTTCATAATAATAAAGAGATACATTCATCAAGACATAATTCTAAATGTTTATGCATGTATTAACAGAGATTCAAAATACAAACTTTTCAAGGAGAAATAAATCTGTAATTATAGTTGAAGGTTTAACAACTCTCTCACAAAAACTGATAGAACAAGTAGACAAAAATCAGTGAGGATATAGAAGATTTGGACAATATAATCAACTGACTTGACTTAATTGATGTTCAGTAGAACATTCGACCCCTAAACAGCAGAATACACGTTCTTTTCAAGTGCATATGGAACTGTTTCCAAGACAAATCATTTTCTGGGCCATTTTAAAAGCCTCAGTAGACCCGGCGGGTTGGCTCACGCCTGTAATCCCAGCACTTTGGGAGGCCAAGGCGGGCGGATCACCTGAGGTCAGGAGTTCGAGACAAGCCTGGCCAACGTGGTGAAACCCCGTCTCTACGAAAAATACCAAAAATTAGCTGTGTGTAGTGGTGGATACCTGTAATCCCAGCTACTCAGGAGGCTGAGGCAGGAGAATCACTTGAACCCGGGAGGCAGAGGTTGCAGTGAGCCGAGATTGCACTACTGCACTCCAGCTGGGCAACAGTGAGACTCCGTCTCGAAAAAAACAAACAAACAAAAGCCTCAGTGAATGTAAGCTGATTCAATTTGTAGAAAGTATGATCTCTGGCCAGGTGCGGTGGCTCACGCCTGTAATCCCAGCACTTTGGGAGGCTGAGGCGGGCGGATCACGAGGTCAGGAGATCAAGACCATCCTGGCTAACATGGTGAAACCCCTTCTCTACTAAAAATACAAAAAATCAGCTGGGCATGGTGGCGCTCACCTGTAGTCTCAGCTACTCAGGAGGCTGAGGCAGGAGAATCACTTGAACCCGGGAGGATGAGGTTGCAGTGAGCCGAGATGGTGTCACTGCACTCCAGCCTGGCTGAGAGAGCGAGACTCCATCTCCAAAAAAAAAAAAAAAAAAAAAAAAGAAAGTATGATCTCTGGCCACAAGGAATTAAATGAGGAATTAATAACAGAAAGGTATCTGGAAGATCTTTCAAATATTTGGAAAATAACATAATTTTAAGTAAATCATGGGTCAAAGAAAATCAACAGCGAAGTAAGTAAGTATCTGGAACTGAATGAAGGTGAAAGTGCCACATAAAATTTGTGTGATGGAGCTAAAGGGAAATTTATATAGTGCAGATGGTCCCTGACTTATGACGTCTCAACTTACATTTTTCAATTTTATGATGGGTTTTTCAGGATGTAACCCAATTTTAAGTTGAGCATCTGTATCAGAAAAGAACAAAGGTCCCAAATCAATGACCTTGGGGTCCCACTTTTAGAAATTAGAAAAAATGAAGACTAGTGAAACCCCAATTAAGCAGAAGAAAAAGCCAGTGTGGCCAGGCAGGGAGGCCCATGCCTGTAATCCCAGCACTTTGGGAGGCTGAGGCGGGCAGATCACAAGGTCAGGAGATTGAGATCATCCCGGCCAACATGGTGAAACCCCGTCTCTACTAACCATACAAAAATTAGCTGGGCGTGGTGGCGCTTGCCTGTGTAATCCCAGCTACTCAGGAGGCTGAGGCAGGAGAATCGCTTTAACCAGGGAGTCGGAGGTTGCAGTGAACCGAGATCGCGCCATTGCACTCCACCCTAGCGACAGAACGAGACTCCGTCTCAAAAAAAAAAGAAAGAAAGAAAGAAAAAGAAAAGGCCAGTCTGGAAATCAATGAAACAGAAAACCAGTACAGAAATCATGAAACCAAAAGCTAGTTATTTGAGAGAGCAATGAAACTCATAAACCTCTACCCAGACTGATCAGGGGAAAAAAGGGAAGACAATAACTGTAATATCAGCAGTGAAAGAGATGACATCACACAGATTCTAAAGATATTGAAAGTGTAATAACTGAATATTGATCAGCAATCTAGAAGAAACAGATTCCTTGAATGACACAAACTACCAAAGTTCACTCAAGAAGTAACCATCTGCCGGGCGCAGTGGCTTACGCCTGTAATCCCAGCACTTTGGTAGGCCGAGGTGGGCGGATCACGAGGTCAGGAGACCGAGACCATCCTTGCTAACACGGTGAAACCCCGTCTCCACTAAAAATACAAAAAATTCTCCGGGCGTGGTGGCGGGCGCCTGTAGTCCCAGCTACTCAGGAGGCTGAGGCAGGAGAATGGCTTGAACCTGGGAGGCGGAGCTTGCAGTGAGCCGAGATTGCACCACTGCACTCCAGCCTGGGTGACAGAGCCAGACTCTGTCTCAAAAAAATAAAATAAAATAAAAATAAAGTTTAGTAAAATAAAAAAAATCAGTAAAATACAAATAAAATTTAGTAAAAATAAAGCTGATTCTAAAATGCATGTGCAACAGAGGATCTAGAGTAGCCAAAATAAGCTCCTCTGTCTGACTTAAAGTCTTAATTAAAATAATCAGACAGGCCGGGCATGGTGGCTCACGCCTGTAATCCCAGCACTTTGGGAGGCTGAGGCAGGTGGATCACCTGAGGTCAGGAGTTACAAACCAGCCTGGCCAACATGGTGAAACCCCATCTCTACTAAAAGTACAAAAATTAGTCAGGCGTGATAGCACACGCCTGTAATCCCAGCTACTCAGGAGGCTGAGGCAGGAGAATCGCTTGAACCCGGGAGGCGGAGGTTGCAGTGAGCTGAGATCATGCCACCGCACTCCAGCCTGGGCGACAGAGTGAGACTCTCAAAATAATGAAATAAAAATAAAAAACTGAACTTCATATCTTGTCCCCAGATCTGATATAGTCACTTCTTCCTTTGTTCAGTTAAACCCAGCTTCATGTTTCTGCTTGCCCAGGGCCAATAACTTTGGGATCTTCCTTGACTCTTCTTTTTCTGTCAAACCCCGTACCAGTCTTTCAGGTAACCGTAACTTCAGAGTCTATCCAGGTCACCTCTGCTTGTCCAAGCCCCTGTCATCTCTCACTTGGATGATTTCATTAGCCTCTTGGCCAGGGTCCCTGCTTCTGCTGGTATTTCCTTAGTTTCTTCTCCCTACAGCAGCCAGAGCTAATCATTTTAAATGTCATATTTCTGTCTCGCCTCAGCTGCAAACCTTCCAGTACCTTCCCAGCTCCTTCTAAATAAACACCAGAGGCCGGGTGCAGTGGCTTATGCCTGTAATCCCAGCACTTTGGGAGGCCAAGGTGGGCAGATCACCTGAGGTCAGGAGTTCGAGACCAGCCTGGCCAACATGGTGAAACCCCCTCTCTACTAAAAATACAAAAATTAGCTGGGCGTGATGGCGCCTGTAATCCCAGCTACTTGGGAGGCTGAGGCAAGAGAATCGCCTGAACCCAGGAGGTGGAGGTTGCAGTGAGCCAAGACTGCGCCACTGCACTCCAGCCTGGGCAACAAGAGTGAGACTCTGTCTCAAAAAATATAAATAAATAAACAAACAAGCACCAGAGCCCTGGCAGTCACCTGTGAGGCTTCACCCCGTCTCCCCACCCACTATAACCTCTGACTTACCTCCTTTTACACTCCTTCTTGCTGACTCTGTTCCTTCCACATTGGCCTCTTTGCTCTTGCTTGAATGATCCCCAGTCATCCTCCCTGCCCAGGGCCTTTGCACTTGCTGTTCTCTGCCAGGAAGGTGCTTCCTCCGTAGTTCACTCTTCACCTCCTTTGGGTCTTTGCTCAGTTGTCATCTTCAGTGATGGCTCTTCTGATCACCTTATTTAATTTTTATTTTTTAATTAAAAATTTTTTTTGTGGAGATGTCTTGCTATGTTGCCCAGGCTTATCTCAAACTCCTGGACTCAAACGATCCTCCTGCCTCAGCTTCCCAAAGTGCTGGGATTACAGGTGTGAGCTACCACACCCGGCCCCGATCACCTTATTTAAAATTGCAGCTCCCAGCCCCCAACCCCAGCATACCCATTCCTCTTTTTTTTTTTTTGAGACAGAATCTTGCTCTGTCTCAAATTCCCTCCAGCCATGAGCCCTGAAATGAAACAAGTTATCTATTTCCAAAACACAACAGTGGGGCAGGCATAGGATAGACATTCCCATTCCAAAAGGGAGCAATAGGCAAGAAGAAAGGGGTAGCTGGTCCCAAGTAAGTCCAAAACCTGAGACAGAGTCTTGCTCTATCGCCCAGGCTGGACTGCAGAGTGGTGCGATCTCAGCTCACTACAACCTCCGCCTCCCGGGTTCAAGCGATTCTCCTGCCTCAGCCTCCCAAGTAGCTGGGATTAGAGGCATGCACCACCACACCTGGCTAATTTTTGTAGTTTTAGTAGAGGCAGGGTTTCACCATCTTGGCCAGGCTGGTCTCAAACTCCTGAACCTCAGGTGATTCCCCCCGCCTTGGCCTCCCAAAGTGCTGGGATTACAGGCGTGAGCCACCGCCTGGTCTCCCTCATTCCTTTTGTTATCAGTCATCCCTCCCAGCCCTGGCAACTGCTGCTCACTTTCCTGACCTTAGAATTTTGCTTATTACAGAATGTCATATAAGTAGAATTATAAAGTATCTAAGCTTTTAAGTCCTAATGCATTTAAGATCTGTAAAAAGTAAAGTAGAGGTTCCTCTTCAAAGACTTTCCTCCCCATCTAATTAGGAATAAATAGTAACTTCTCTTAGAAGAAAAATTTATTCAAAGACCTGTGCTAACATTCTTAAATATCTGCTAGCCGTAATAAAGAAATCAATGTACTTTATATTCTTAGCTCTCACAATTTAGCCTAAATATTTGCCCTGGCATGCTTATACTGGTCCAAGCAAGCATTAGGTCATGGCCTGTTCCTCTTCCTTATTTGAAGGTGTTTTTACCTTTCTCAGCACTCCACAAGTTACTTCCTCCTTCCTTTGTTCTCCTCTGCCTTTGCCTCTTTTAAAAAGTTCTAAGTTCCTAGCCAATCAGGACAAATACAGAATGTGAGGTCCTGTTCCAGCCAATGGAAACTGGACACAGCAGTAGGGTGGACGCGTCAGGTTGTAAATGACCCTGTCTCCTTTGTTCAGTGTACTCTCATGGCAAAACTGCTGGTGAGTGTACCCTTTCTGCAGAAAGTAAAAAATGGCCTTGCTGAGGAAATTAAATTTATGTTCAAGTGCTTTTTCTTCAGGGCACCAGGGAACAAGCATTTCTAACAGATCCATATGTGTCGCTGCATGTAATCAGTGGTTCATTCCTTTCTATTGCTGAGTAGTGTTCCATTGTATGGATGTACCCGTGTATTGATCCATCCATCCACTGAAGGATATTTGAGTTGTTTCCAGTTTTTTTGTGATTATGAATAAAGCCACTGTAAGCATTCACATAGAGGCTTTGGTGTGGACATAAGTTTTCATTTCTCTTCGGTAAATAATTAGGAGTAGAATTGCTAGGTCGTAGGATAAGTATATGCTTAACTTAGGAGACCCTGCCACAGTATTTTACAAAGTAAGGGTGCTATTTTGCATTACTACCAGCAGTTCACACCATATGTATTCACACCAGTTGCTCCATTTGGTCTTCGTTCTGTGACTTGTCTCTATTCTCTTAACAGTATCTTTAGAACAGCAGAAGTTTTTGATTTTGATGAAATTCAGTTTATCGGGCCAGGCTGGGTGGCTTATGCCTATAATCCCAGCACTTTGAGAGACCGAGGAGGGTGGATCACTTGAGGCCAGGAGATTGAGACCAGCTTGGCCAACATGGCGAAACCCTGTCTCTACTAAAAATATAAAAATTAGCCATACATCGTGGCGCATGCCTGTAGTTCCAGCTACTCAGGAGTCTGAGGCAGGAGAATCACTTGAACCCTGGAGGAAGAGGTTGCAGTGAGCTGAGATCATACTGCTGCACTCCAGCCTGGGCAACAGAGCAAAACTCCATTTCAAAAAAAAATAAAATAAAATTTCAGTTTATCAGTGATTTCTCTTAAGTTTCATGCATTGGGTATTGTAGCTAAGAAATCTTCACCTAACTCAAGTTTACAAAGATTCTTCTGTTTTTTTTCTAGAAGATTTATAAGTTTTAATTTAACTTTTAGGCTTATAATTCATTTCACATTAAATGGTGTATGTGGTGCCAGGTATTGCTCGAGAGTCATCATCTTGCATAGGGGTTTCGGATGTTCTAGCACCATTTGTTCAACAGATAGCCTCTTTTCATTAAATTGCCCTTTCACCTTTGTGGAAGATCAATTCAGCATGCATGTATGGGTCACTTGTATGTTTTTAATTGATTTCTAAATTCTGAAAGGAAAATGATAAAAAGGAAGATTCTTTCACTATATCTGCATTTCCAATTTCTCCCCCAAGAACGCTTTCCTAACACCTGCAGGCAGAACTAACCACTCTGGGCCCCTGTAGCTGTTGTGCGTATGTTTATTATTGAGTTTTTCTGGCCTTTGCAGTTCTTTCAGTGTCTGATTCTCCCTCTCTCTCAGCTTCTTTCTCAAGACTGTGCATCCTTGGAGGTCAGAAATTGTCTCATCCTGCCGGGCGCGATGGCTCATGCCTCTAATCCCAGCACTTTGGGAGGCCGAGGCGGTTAGATCACAAGGTCAGGAGTTCGAGACCAGCCTGGCCAACATAGTGAAACCCTGTCTCTATTAAAAATACAAAAATTAGCTGAGCGTGGTGGCACATGCCTGTAGTCCCAGCTACTCGGGAGGCTGAGGCAGGAGAATCGCTTGAACCCAGGAGGCGGGGAGGTTGTAGTGAGCTGAGATTGTGCCACTGCACTCCAGCCTGGGCAACAGAGCGAGACTCCATCTCAAAAATAAATAAATAAATAAAAGACAAAATAAATTTTCTCATCCTTTTTTGTCATCTTCATCACAGCTGCCTCTCTAATGTTCGTTGAATGAAAGGGCCATTCCCAAATCTCTGATAAGTCAAGCATTTTTAGGAGAGCTAAACCAGCCAAATGAGACCAGGAAGTGAAGAAAAATACCTTTTTTTTTTTTTTTTTTTTTTTGGAGACGGAGCCTCACTTTGTCACCCAGGCCGGAGTGCAGTGGCACGATCTGAGCTCACTGCAACCTCCGCCTCCCAGGTTCAAGCAATTCTATTGCCTCAGCCTCCCCAGTAGCTGGGACTACGGGCACACACCACCATGCCCGGCTACTTTTTTTTTGTATTTTTAGTAGAGATGGAGTTTCACCGTGCTGGCCAGGCTGGTGTCAAACTCCTGACCTCGTGATCCGCCCGCCTCAGCCTTCCAAAGTGCTGGGATTACACGCGTGAGCCACCGCGCCCAGCTGAAAAATACCTACTTTTTTTTTTTTTTTACAGCAGGAGGTGTTTCTGCTTCTACTTTGCTGTGACTTCTGTTTCTCCAGGCATTCCTGGTATGGACATTTATACCAGGTGTTTTGGTCATTGGTGGGCTCTCAGCTTCAGAGGACACTTGGCTTCTCTATACCCTATCTTTGGTGACTTCTGCTTGTTGGACTTCAGTCACTGCAGTTCACAAGTTTCACACTCATGAAATATTTATTGTTAATTAATTCCAATATTTAATTGATTGCTTCTCTTTCTCAGCACTTTGGAAACATGTTTACTACCTAGACATTTTCCTACAGTAGATTTTTAATTCTTAACATTTTGATCTTAAGCAATTTACCATGATACTTGGTTTCCATGAGAGATTTAACAGTTGGAACTGTACTGCCCATAAGATGCAGGTGGGGTCATGGTATGTAGTTGGGAACTCTACAAATGGCAGCCCTTCATGCCTTTGCAAAGGCTGCAGGTTGGAAAGCTGCCATTACTTGTGAGGGCGTCCAAATGCTTCCTGTGAATGGAAGATGTGTTTCTGTGCCTCACTGTCTTCACTGTGCTGGATTGCTGGCTTTCTCAGATGTCTTTATTTGAGTCAACCTGTATTCCATCTCCCCACTCCCACCCAGTCTTGATCATCTCATTTGTGTGTATACAACCTTCCCCTCACACACACCTCTTTGCAGAGTTTCGTTGCACTGGGCGTTGGGAGGAGAGGCGTCAGAGTTGGGTGGAATCATTTCAGGCTGACTGTCCAGACATAGCTCTCATTAGAAGCATCAGTAAATAAGCTGAAAACCAACAACACGTACAGCACAGTCTTTCTGTGTTTGCAGCTTGGAACTGAGCAGCCCTCACTGGGTGCATTTCTAATCCTTTGTCTCATCATTTATATGACATCCACTTAGAAAAAGGTGTTAAAATCATATAACATATTGCTTTTTCCCCTTTTTTATTAGCAGTTTTACTGAGGTGTAATTTATATGCCATAAAATTTACCATTTGAATGTTCAATTCAATGATTTCTACTAAATTTATAGAGTGTGCACCATAACCACAATCCAGTTTTATTTTTTATTTTTTTTTCGAGACAGAGTCTCACTCTGTCACTCAAGCTGGAGTGCAGTGGTGCAATCTCGGCTCACTGCAGCCTCCACCTCCCGGGTTCAAGCGATTCTCCTGCCTCAGCCTCCCGAGTATCTGGGACTACAGGCACGTGCCACCATGCCCAGCTAAGTTTTTTGTATTCTTAGTAGAGATAGGGTTTCACCATGTTAGCCAGGATGGTCTCGATCTCCTGACCTCATGATCCGCCAGCCTCAGCCTCCCAAAGTGCTGGGATTACAGGCGTGAGCCACCGCACCTGGCCCCACAATCCAGTTTTAGAACATTTCCAGCATCCCCAAAAGATCCCTTTTGTCCCTTTGCAGCAGTCCTACCCCCACTTCCAGCC
Organism: Homo sapiens; assembly: GCF_000001405.40. Lineage (NCBI taxonomy): Eukaryota > Metazoa > Chordata > Mammalia > Primates > Hominidae > Homo > Homo sapiens. The sequence continues at coordinate 130,821,314 of NC_000009.12, forward strand.
CCAGGCGACCATTCATTTGCTTTTTCTATAGATTTGTCTTTTCCGTACGTTTCATGTAAATGAAGTTTTATACAATATATGACCTTTTGTGACTGTTTTTTTTCCCAGCATGTTTTTGAGGTTTATCTGTATTATAGCACGTCTCAGTACTTTGTTCCCTTTTTATCACTGAGTATTATTCCATTGTACGGACATACATTTTTCTCTATTCACTAGTTGGTGAACATTTGGATTGTTTCCAGTTTTGGTCATCATTAACAATGCTACTATATATATCCATGTATAAGTCTTTGTGTGGATATACATTTTCATTTCTCTAGGGTAGATTTCTAGAAGTAAAATTGCTGAGTCTTTTTTTTTTTTTTTGAGATGGAGTTTTGCTCTTGTTGCCTGGGCTGGAGTGCAATGGCATAATCTTGGCTCACTGCAACTTCCGCCTCCCTGGTTCAAGTGATTCTCCTGCCTCAGCCTCCCGGGTAGCTGGGATTACAGGCATGTGCTACCACACCTGGCTATTATTATTATTATTTTTTTTTTTTTTTTTTGAGACAGAGTCTCGCTCTGTCACCCAGGCTGGAGTGCAGTGCGCGATCTCAGCTCACTGCAAGCTCTGCCTCCCGGGTTCATGCCATTCTCCCGCCTCAGCCTCCCAAGTACTGGGACTACAGGCACCCACCACCACCCCCGGCTAATTTTTTGTATTTTTAGTAGAGACGAGGTTTCACTGTGTTAGCCGGGATGCTCTCACTCTCCTGACCTCGTGATCTGCCTGCCTCGGCCTCCCAAAGTGCTGGCATTACAGGCGTGAGCCACCATGCCTGGCAAATTTTGTATTTTTAGTAGAGACGAGGTTTCACCATGTTGATCAGGCTGGTCTCAAACTCCTGACCTCAGGTGATCCACCCACCTTGGCCTCCCAAAGTGTTGGGATTACAGGCGTGAGCCACCACGACCGGTCAAATTGCTGTCTTATAGTAAGTTTATGTTTAACTTTTTAAGAAACTGCCAAACTATTTCCTAAAGTGACTGTACCATTTACATTCCCACCAGCAATGTGTGAGTGTTCCAGTTTTTCCATGTCCTTGCCAATAGTTGGTTTTGTCTGCCTACCTATCCCCGCCCCTGCTTTTTTTTTTTTTTTTTTTTTTTTAAGAGACAGGGTCTTGCTGTGTTGTTCAGGCTGGCCTCAAACTCCTGGGCTCAAGTGCTCCTCCCTAGTAGCTGGGACTATAGGCACACACCAGTGTACCAGGGGTTGTCTGTCTTTTGATTATAGCTATTGGAATGGGTGTGAAGCAGCATCTCGTGATTTTAGTTTCCATTTCTTGAATGACTAATGATACTGAACATCTTTTTATGTGCTTATTAGCCATTTGTATTTCATCTTTGGTGACCTGTCAATTCAAATCTTTTGCCTATTTTTTTTTATTAAGTTTGTGCACTGTCTTATTATCGAGTGGTAAGAGTTCTCTGTATTGTGGGTACAAGTTCTTTTTTTTTTCGAGATGGAGTCTCGCTCTGTCACCCAGGGTGGAGTACAGTGGCACGATCTCAGCTCACTACAACCTCTGCCTCCTGGGTTCAAGCGATTCTTCTGCCTCAGCATCCCAAGTAGCTGGGACTACAGGCTTGCACCACCACACCCAGCTAATTTTTGAATTTTTAGTAGAGACGGGATTTCACCATCTTGGCCAGACGGGTCTCAAACTACTGACCTCGTGATCCTCCCACCTCGGCCTCCCAAAGTGCTGGGATTACAGGTGTGAGCCACCGTGCCCGGCCTTCCAAGTTCTTTATCAGGTATATGATAGCACATGTAGCTTTTTATCTTCCTTACACCAGTGCAAGTTTATAGAAAGGAAAAGGGATAGTTAATAGTAATCATAATAATGTTTAATATTTGAATGTTTTTTAGGAGCTGGACACTGGGCTGCATGTTTCACGGGGATGATTTGGGTCACTCTTCAATTTTCTAAAGGTTACAGGACTGTTTCAAACACCTCTCCTTCTATTAACAGTTTTCAATGGAGAAAGAAAACAAAAGATTGATTTGGGGAATTCTTAGGTTAATGCGAGTTAGAACTGACCTTTTAACATTATTACCATAAGGACTAAATGGCTGTTACAGACCCAAAATAGGAGCAATTCAAACAAGCGAGATGCTTCTCTCTGTAACAGGCTGACAGTCGCGGTCCTGGAGGGGCACGATGGCTCCTCAGGGTCAGACACCTCCTGTCCCTTACTCTGTAAGGCACAGCTTCTACCTCAGGATCCAAAATGCCCACGCCAGCTGCCATGGCCCCTCACAGGCAGTGGACACCAGAAAGAGGAGAGGGAGTGCGTGCCTGTTGCTTTGAAGAACCTGACCCAGAAGTCTTACACAGCACTTTTGCCCACATACCATCACTTAGTCATGTGGTAGTGCCTGGCCACAAGAGAGACTGGGAAATGGAGTCTTTATTCTGGGGTGATGTGTCCCATCTGCAACTGAGGGGTTAAGGCCTAAAACTTAGGGATTGAAGGCAGGAGAAAAAACAGATGTCGAGAGCCAGTGTTGGGATTGCAGGGTCCTGTGTGGGATTCCTGTTCATTTTCATCAAAGAAAGTCTAGTTGATATGCAATTGTTGGCCTAAGTGTTATTGAGGAGTTAATTTTACTGTTGAATTACACCAGAACATTTGTCATGTGAAATAACTATAAATACGACTGATTATTGCCTAGTGTATTACAGTTCTCTCCAGAGACACAGGAAACAATAGGGTCTGTCTATCGGAATAGATATCCTAAAAGTGTATCTTTTGAAGAGATTGATTATAAGGTATTGGCTCATGAGATGATGGAGCTTAAGAAGTCCCACAGTCTGCTCTCTGCCAGATGGAGACCCAGGAAAGCTGCTGGTGTAGTTTGAAGGCCTGAGAGCTGAGGGCCAGTGATGTGGATTCCAGTCTGAAGGTCTGAGAACCCAGAGGGCTGAGGGCAGGAGAAGATCCATGTCCCAGCTCAAGCAGGCAGAGGGAGGGTAAATCCAACCTTCCTTTTTCTGTTTTTTTGTTCTAATCAGGCCCTCAACGGACTGGAGGATGCCCAGCCAAAGTGGGGAGGGCCATCTGCTTAGGCAGTTCACCAATTCAAATGCTAGTCTCTTCTAGAAACACCCTCACAGACACACCTGGAAATAATGTTTAAGATCTGGGCATCCTGGGGGTCTAGTCAAGCTGACACATACATTTAACCACCACACTTAGGGAATATGAAAATAACTTAGACATTAAATTTGATTTTGGTGTTGCTGTAAAGAATACAGATCTTAGGCACCAGCTCGTAGGAGGGGTGGTAAACAAGGAGGACAGCTTTTACCAGGTTGCCTTTGGAAGCAAAACTCTGCTTTGCTGTTTTGTTTTCAAGCGGCTGCATGGCCACTGAGCGAGCCCTTTCCTGCCATCACCACAGTGCCACTTAGTGAACAGTTTCTCCAAGGTTAACTGTAGCTGCTCTTGTTCAGTTAATATGTAGTTCTGGATTAATATGCCACATCTGTCACTTTAAGGAAGAAAAAGAGCAGTTCCGTTTAGAGATCCCATTGCTCCTCTAAGGACAGCAGTCATTTCTAACAAGCAGAGGGAAGAAATCTTCTGGTTCCATTTGTCCTTTGTGTGTGTTGAAAACCTTGACAACAAAACAAATTGGTACTGAATGGTTTGAAGAAATAAACATTAACTCCCCTTTAGTATTTCATTTCTAGGGTTTCCAGCCTTGGTAACAATTACCAAGAACTTTGCTGTCATGGGGTACAGCTCTAGGCTGCTGACAGGATCTTCATACTGGAGGAGACTATACTTTTATAGCCAATTCCAACTGCCCCAGAGATAACTTGGATAAACACTGGCTCCTCCACTACCTCCTAATCCCTGCTGGGTTTTACACTGTGGGGAGGTTTAGACAACTTGTTTTCTTTCCCTTTTAGCCCTTCTCTCTACACTCCCCTCCAGCTGCCTTCTTCCCCCACCCCCAAATGTAACGTGATCTCCTAGGCCTGCTCTGCTGCTTTTGCAGATTCTTTTAGTCTTAGAGAAAGAGAGGAAAATATTAACCATTGGTTTACCAATTCAAAGTTAACAACATTTTAAACAAAAGGAGCTTGTCAATAACCAGGGCTTGGGCTTTTCTTTTATCAGTTCCTCCTACTTGGCTGAGTTTACCTCATCATAAATCTTATCACACAGATAATAATTTGACAGCTTTAGGGTTTTTGCAGCATTGCTATTTTCTATTGCAACAAAGCTGTAACATTGCTATTTTTGATGTATTTGTTTTATAGATATCTTAATCTTCAATATTCAGATTAAAAACAAACAAGACTTAGTGATTTAAAATTATTTGGTAAAAAGGTAAAGGGACAGAGACATCTCATGAAAACATGGCAAAATCTCTTTAAGTTTAATTCAAGCACTTAGAGTTTAATAAGAATATCCCAAACCATTTTTGCTTAATAATATTTCTGTTTATAATTAAACCTTAAGGTACAGTGTTGTAACTGGATTTAAGAATTTAGAGTTTTGTTGTTTCTTCGCCATCAGCGAAATTAAGATTTAAAACCTATAGTTTGCAACAAATTTTAGTTTTTCAGCCTAGTGTCCTAAAACTTGTCTGTCATGGGTACCTAGTAGGTGTCATGTCACAGGAAAGGGATCTAACAAGGGAGTTTGAAGATAGGGGTTTTCCTTGCTCTGCCACTAACTTGCTATGTGACCTAGGGCAAGTTATATAACCTATCTGTGTCACAGTTGTCTGAAATGCAATATGGGGAAAATAAATTCTTAAAATGACAATAAAAAGATTTCTTTTTTTTTTTTGAGACAGAGTCGGCGCAATTTCGGCTCACTGCAACCTCCACCTCCTGGGTTCAGGCGATTCTCCTGTCTGAGCCTCCTGAGTAGCTGGGATTACAGGCACACACCACCACGCCCAGCAAATTTTTGTGTATTTTGTAGAGATGGGGTTTCGCCATGTTGGCCAGGCTGGTCTCAAACTCTTGAGCTCAAACGATCTACCTGCCTTGGCCTCCCAAAGTGCTGGGATTACAGGCATGAGCCACCACGCCTGGCCAAAATATATATATACATATTTTAAGTGAAGATGTGTAAGGACTAAAGGAGCCCAAAGGAGACAGTAGGGGATAAGAAAGGCAAAGAGAGTGGTAATAGATTTAGCAGAATCAAGGATGCCAAAACCTCTTCTGAGAGAGACCTTGATTAAGAGTGAGCTGGTTTGCCTGTAAGAATCTGCGGAAAGGTCAGAAATTAGAGACATTAGTACCACAGAAAGCAGGGGATGAGGCCTGAAGCTGAAATCAAGGGGATCAATTGAGAGCCTATAAAAGGAGGGTTTAGATTCTTCAAACCCCTCCCAACCCCACAGAGTCAGATGACCACCTCTCCTAACCACCTACAGGAGACCAGAGGCATTATATTGAGAAATGCCCGGCCGGGCGCGGTGGCTCACGCCTGTAATCCCAGCACTTTGGGAGGCCGAGGCGGGCGGATCACAAGGTCAGGAGATCGAGACCATCCTGGCTAATGTGGTGAAACACCATCTCTACTAAAAATACAAAAAATTAGCCGGGCGTGGTGGCGGGCGCCTGTAGTCCCAGCTACTCAGGAGGCTGAGGCAGGAGAATGGCGTGAACCCTGAAGGCGGAGCTTGCAGTGAGCCGAGATGGCGCCACTGCACTCCAGCCTGGGCAACAGAGCAAGACTCCGCCTCAGAAAAAAAAAAGAAAAGAAATGCCCCGTAGAGGCTCTGCACTCAGGAGCCTGACCCCCAGCATGGGTCCGGGTAGGCCATTGGCCGAAAATAGTGGAGTGGGCAAAGAGCAGATTTTTTAAAAGTCTGCATACTGAATAGTAAGATTCCCAGCCCTCTTCTAATACCTGCTAGCCAGGGGCCTAATAAGGAAGAGATTGAAATATTCTTTTCTAGGGGGAAAAAGTTGAATGACCCTAGAGAAAAGCCCTACAGATACCAACATTTAGGGATTCTCTTGAAAAAGCGAGTTTACCATCTCCTTTCACTGAAGCTTACCAGTGGCTGTGCCCCTTCCACGCATACAAAACTAACAGTCATCTTTTAGTTGCTCATTCATAGAGAGTGAGTGGCCTGCCAAATCTCTCTAGGCATTAGAGGAAGGTCTCTAACCTGATATTAATAGATAAAGGGTAAAACAAATAGCAGAAAACAGGAACTTGGTGGAAATAAAGACAATGCAGTCAACAGAGGAAGAGTTTAAAAGAACTATTCAGCTTGGGCACCATGACTCACGCCTGTAATCCCAACACTTTGGGAGGCTGAGGTGGACAGTTCACCTGCGGTCAGGAGTTTGAGACCAGCTTGGCCAACATAGTGAAACCCCATCTCCACTAAAAATACAAAAATTAACTGAACATGGTGGCAGGCACCTGTAATCCCAGCTATTGGGAGGCTGAGGCAGGAGAATTGCTTGAACCTGGGAGGCATAGCTTGCAGTGAGCCAAGATTGCACCACCGCATTCCAGCCTGGGTGACAGAGTGAGACTCTGTCTCAAAAATAATAAATAAATAAATAAATAAATAAATAAATAAATAAAGCTATGCATTTCCCACAAATACTGCTTAAAAAAAAAAGAACTATTCTTTGCTATCCTTGGAGAGAGAGATTGCAAATGTCAGAAAACAGGATGCTTTTAAAAACAATAACAATCAGAATAAGAATAAAAATGAATTATTTTTCTTTTATTTATTTATTTATTTATTTTTGATACATGGTCTCTGTCACCCAGGCTGGAGTGCAGTGGCAAGATCACAGCTCACTGCAGCCCCAACCTGCCTCAGCCCCCCAAGCAACTGGGACTACAGGCACGCACCACCACACCTGGCTAATTTTTAAATTTTTTGTAGAGAGATGGGGTCTCACTATGTTGCCCAGGCTGGTCTTGAACTCCTGGGCTCAAGTGATCCTCCTGCCTCAGCCTCCCCCCAAAGGGCTGGGATTATAGGCATGAGCCACCACACCCAGCAAGAATGAATTGTTTAATATTAAAAACATTATAGCCCAAATTTAAAATCCAACAGAAGATGTGGAAAATTGTCTCAGAATGTATTGGGTTGGTACAAAAGTAATTGGGGCTTTTGCCATTTTAATGACAAAAACGTTGATTACTTTTACACCAACCTAATAGAACATAAAGACAAAGACATGGACTGTTGAGAGAACAATAAGAGAGAACAGGTAAGAAAATTAGAAACTCTCGGGAGGCTGAGACAGGATAATCGCTTGAACCCAGGAGGCAGAAGTTGTAGTGAGCCGAGACTGTGCCATTGCACTCCTGCCTGGGCAAGCAACAAGAGTGAAACTGCGTCTCAAAAAAAAAGAAAAGAAAATTAGAAACTCAATCCCAGGGCTTTAATATCCTTTTTGTAGGAATTCCAGAAAGAAAACAAAAAAATAATGATAATAACGAAGAAACAAATGGAGGAGAAGTTAGGAGACGTTAAATGTAAGGAAAAATTTCAGAGTTTAGTGAAGTGAGTATTTTCCAAAACAGAATTATATAAATCTCTGGATTTATGAGTGCCCAGAATAATATATGAAAGGCCATATCATTGTGAAAGTTCAGAACACCAAGAATATTAGAAGATCCTAAAAGTTTCCAAAGAGAAAAAAAGCAAGTCATTTTAAGGGGTCAGGAACCAGAATGGGATTGCATCTCTAAACAATACTTACTGGAAACTAGATAGTAGCAGATAAATAAATGCCTTCAAAGTTCATTTGGGAAAATTATTTTCAACCTAGAATTCTATACCCAGACAAACTGTCAAGATAGAAGAAAGGTATTTTTTTAGACATGCACCCTCCCTCCCCACCTCTGTGAAGCTACTGGATGATGAATTCCAGCAAAATGAAGAAGTCAGTCAATAAGTAGAACTGAGCCCGGGCACGGTGGCTCACACCTGTAATCGCAGCACTTTGGGAGGCCGAGGCGGGCAGATCACGAGGTCAGGAGATTGAGACCATCCTGGTGTAACACAGTGAAACCCCGTCTCTACTAAAAATACAAAAAAATTAGCAGGGCGTGGTGGCGGTCCCCTGTAGTCCGAGCTACTCGGGAGGCTGAGGCAGGAGAATGGCGTGGTGAACCCGGGAGGCGGAGCTTGCAGTGGGCGGAGATCGCGCCACTGCACTCCCGCCTGGGTGACAGAGCGAGACTACGTCTCAAAAAAAAAAAAAAAAAAAAAGTACAACTGAGAATATTTGAAATGTTTTAGTGATTGGAAAAAATATCACTAGATGTTTGACAGATCTTTGAAGTATTTGAGGGAAAATGGTGATAGGTATATAGAAGACTAAATGAAAACAAGGCAATATCTCTAGGATAAACAAAGATGTATAATAAAGGAAACATTCATAGTATATTATTGGCTAAGCAGTGAAGAATATTTATATCATCCTAATAATGTAAACACTAACTATTGATTTATCCCCCAAATTGTGATTTTATTGTTTTGGGGGGTTATGGATGGTGATAGTATAATACTGCTGTCATAAGTTAATAGATAATGGATAAATCTAATGAATTCAGAAAGAGCAAGATGATGTTACTAGCTAAAAATCTGAAGGAGGCTGTCTCTGCGGAAACATACAGGGGAAAGGGATTGCTGTTTTTTATTACCAGATTTTTACAAGACTATTTTTAGCCTTTTTTACAAGACTTTTAGTACTGCTTGAGTTTTAACCATGTTATGTATATTACTTTGATTAAAAAGAAAAATTAATTTAAAAAAATGAGCATACTAATACCATTAATTTTCTCCTTCTAGAGAAAAATGTTTAACAGTTAGGTTTAGACTTGTTAATTATAAAAATATAGTAGTCTTACTGTAATGAGATTTTCTAGAAAGCGGATTTACTCTAAGGCAGTTCAGATTTGGTCCCCAGCTGAGAATTATAGCCTGGAAATACCAACAGAAAAATCAGTGTCATTTGAAGGACAGTCATCTGTGCAGCCTGTGCATGAAATCATGGGTCTGAATTAGGCCCCCATTCAAGATGCGGGGGTGTGGGGTTTGTGTTTTGCTGAAGCTGTGGTTGCAAATCTTTGCTTTAGGATGAAAGGTGGGGCTCTCTGTTACATTTGAACCTTAGTTGCTACTCCTACCTCACAGCTAGTGTTTCTTTCTCTTCATAAAATAAATTGATTTCCTGGTCCCTTGGAAAACCTCCAGACTGCTTTCTGGAATCATTTTCATATAGCATGTTTGTTAATTTGAGCTCTTGACTGAGTCCCAGTGAGATGTAGGCAGGAACACAGACCTGATACAGAAATAGTCCTCTTTTGGAAATAACAATAGCTACTGTTTATCGAGCACCTTCTGTGCTTTGGGCACTCTCCCTACATGATTCCTAATCTTCATAATAACCCTGTGAGATAACTACTCTTATGACTACCTCCCATTTTTCAGATGAGAAAATTGAGGCTCTGAGAGGTGAAGTCGTTGCCCATGGCCCCACAGTGAGTGGCAGATCTGAGACTCAGCGCTAGCCTTTGTGACACATAACTCGTGACCAGCAGGTAGTGCTACCCGATTGAAAAAATGTGAGACTTAAAGGGATGCATGTGTCCCTATACAGTGGCAAAAACTGGTATGACAGAAGTGATGTTTTAAGCTATGTTATCCTTTAGTTGGACATACACTGGACCCACAGAGCTAGAGTACCTGGCAGGCTCTTGCTGGACAATGTTTGCTGAATCAGAGAAAGTGGGCTTTGTTGGCATTTGCATGTGAAATACTGTGCACATACCTCAAGATCTTTGCTGTTCCCCCCCTAAAGCTACTAGCTATGCTGGAAACAGTGAAGGGGTCAGCCAGACCTGGGGTCACCTTGTCCTGGGGTCCCAAGCCAGGCCTCCTGTCAGGTTCATCTGTCTCTGTTCCACCTGCACTCACACCCAGTCTTGCTGCTGAGAGATGGAGCATCCACATCCTGAATCCTGCCTCCTTCCCTTGACACACTTCTATGGTGGGTGCCTGCCCAACTTTTTCTTAATAGGACTAAATTCCAAATTAAAAAAAAAATTCAGTCTCTCTCCTCTAATCATCCAAGAAGAGTCCTCTTTTGGTAACTTGTTCTAGAACTATGCCTATCTTAAATTCAGAAATTGCTTTCAAATGAATTAAATTTTAGAAATATCCATTCCTGTTCGTCCTATTCCCAGTGAAAATAAGCAACTCTTCCCTCTTCCAAAACAGTGGATTTCTTTTCTTTTTTTCTTTTTTTGAAATGTAGTCTTGCTCTGCTGCCCAGGCTGGAGTGCAGTGGTGCAATCTTGGCACACTGCAACCTCCACCTCCCAGGTTCAAGCGATTCTCCTGCCTCAGCCTCTCGAGTAGCTGGGATTACAGGTGTGTACCACCATGCCTGGCTAATTTTTGTATTTTTAGTAGAGACAGGATTTCCCCATGTTGGCCAGGCTGGTCTTTAACTCCTGACCTCAGGTGATCGCCCACCTTAGCCTCCCAAAGTGCTGGGATTACAGGCGTGAGCTACTGTGTCTGGCCCCCAAACAGTGGATTTCCATCTTACATATGCATACAGATCATCTGGGAGCTTCAGATCCAGCCCATTACACATATTCTGATTCTAGACTAGAAACCAAGACTCCGCATTTTAAGCAAGCCCCACATTATTCAAAATAGATTGTCCATGGATTATGCTTTTAGAAACATTGTTCAGATCCCATGCTTTAATGTTGGGGAGTTTATCCTTTCCTTCTAAATATTTTTTTTTTTTTTGAGATGGAGTCTCGCTCTGTTGCCCAGGCTGGAGTGTGGTGGTGCGATCACTGCTCACTGCATCCTCCACCTCCCAGGTTCAAGCAATTCTCTGCCTCAGCCTCCCGAGTAGCTGGGATTACAGATGCCCGCTACCACGCCCAGCTAATTTTTTTGTACTTTTAGTAGAGATGGGGTTTCACCATCTCAAAAAAAAAAAAAATCTTAAATAGCTCTAGTTCCCTGAATTATTTTCTCCTAAGACATGTTTTCCCAACAGTTAATGTTACTTATTTCATCTTCTGATCTTACTCATATTATCCACCTTTCACTTAAATTGGAAATTTTCTGCCATTTTACAAAGTTCAAGACTTTCCTACCTTCCTACCTCCTGGCTGTGTGAACTTGGACAGAATACTTCCCCCTCTCCCTCCAGTCAGTTTTCTTACTTGTGAAATGGAATTAAACTATACAAAATCATTAGGTTACTGTGAGGCTTAAGAGTGCCTGGCACATATTACATGCACATTAAAAATGTATTTCTTCCCAAACTAATGCAACATAGCAAACAAGTTAGTTCACAGTCTTTAATTTCTTTCCTTTTCCCTTTCTTTTTAGCTAATAGCTTTTGGGTCTTAGGCTGATTAGAAGGAATCCTTCTTGGGGTGTTCTTCTGGTAAGAAGATTGAAGCTCTCCTTTATTTGCTTGTAACAGAATGCTCTTCGTATCTTTCAAAAGCGTCAAAAGCTGGATATGGAAAGTATAGGCCAGGTTTGATACAGAAGTGTAGTTTGGCAGTTTTTTCAGTATCCATTGCCACTAATTCAGTATTTTGTTAGATCTGTTGATGTATGGTTTTATAACTAAAATTAAAAAGATTTGGGTACAGTTTATAAGCATTATTCATTTTAAGAGGATTTAAGAGGATAAGATCATTTTAGACTCAAGAGCAGAATATTAGTAATAATAATTAGCTTAAAAAAATAAACATATACCAATATAAAGAACAGCACAAGGCAAGCAAATATCTGGGCCTATATTAACAGACGGTATTCAAGGATATGGCTAGAATTTCCAAAATGCCTAATAATGTGTAATTCTTGGCATTAAGCCGCCAATTTGAATATGGCCCTTTAATATGAAATGCTATATAATGACAGACTTTATTATAGTCTGATCCAAGGCCCCTGAACTTTCCAAAAGGGCAACAAAACAGACAGATACTGTATTTTTTCACTAGTTGGTACTGGTGGCACCCTTTTGAGTGTTATTTTTGGCATTACGTGTAGAGGTTGACAGATTCAAGACAACACTAAACATGTTAGCAGTCACCACACGCAGGCTGTCCAGCAGAATGACAGCGCTTCCCAGATCCTAGAAAGCATCCAGAGTCACTGCACCCATCCCCTGGGGGCCCTGTAGTCCTGCATCTCCAGATGATGGGAGCTGCAAACTTCCCTGATGGTGCCCTCTTGGATGCTCATGAGGCCTGATCTGGTACCACGACTCTAGCAGTAGGTCCATTCAATGGCAGTAAAAATACATGTTGTATGTTGATCAGAATTTGGCAGGACACATGTGGAAAGTTAATGACATCCTGGCCGAGAACCCCTGTGATATACACTGGTTACATCCTGTCCAACTGGAGTTTTTATGTGCTGTTTTTGGCAGAGCCAAGTGAAGATCTTGTTACTTAGCCATTCCTGAGGTACTGAAGATACCCGGGTTTTTGTCATTACAGGATAGGCTAGAAAGTAGCCAGGGTCTCATAACCAAGGCTTTCTCTGAAACATATAATGACAATGCTAGTTATTTGACCAAAGATATCCAATGCTTTAATCCACTTGGAATTTATTCTTGATGTGAAGGGTCAGCATCATCCACTGGTCGGGAGCCTGATCCTTGGAGCCAGGCAGACCTGGGTTGAGTCCATCTCCGCCTGTTTCCAGCTGTGGGCAAGGTGTCTGACTTCTCTGAGCATCTGTGGGGTTTGTTTGTTTTTAAACCTGAAGAATTGGGATAATCTGTTTCCTCACAGAATCATTACGCAGATGCAATACAGTTAATGAAGGTAACATGGCACATAGGAAGAGCACAATACACGTCAGCTCTTACTCTTCATGGCTAGAAGATGTGGACTAAACTTCCCCCTTTACAGTTTTGTGATTAACACCATTTATGAAAGAAATAAATGAAATAAATTCCTTTTCCTGTCATGAGGGGAACTTACCTGATTTTATTGAATTATTTGGTGCCATTGAGTTCCTTATTGTTTCCCTCTGACCTAGATTTCTGGGTGTGCGCCAGTAACACGACTGTGATTGTTGCTGCTTTATAACATTGTCTGTGGTCAGTCCAAACAAGAGTTTAAAATAATTGAATGAAATGGATTTTAAACAATGGTCCCCCCACCCTCACCCCGTGGCACTCGGCCAAAGGAAGAGGAAAAGTTCTCTGTTAAAGAAAATGAATCAGAGAAGAGGCCCAGACCGTGCCTCCGAAAATTCTCATTGTAGGGACTAAGTCCTCTCACTCTGAACTCACACCCGTCTGTTCGCAGCCTGACCTCATATCCTGGTCTGGATGTGCGGCCTCACCGGGGTGTCGTGCGCACGTGTGGTTGTCCTGTGGGTGCCAGCTCTGACTTCCTCCCCAGACACCCACTGCCTCAGCCTTAATCACAGGACGCGCGTTGAGTAGAAATGAGACCAGTTAGTATTGGTAACTGCAGAGGAATATGCATTTTCACCAGCGTTCTCGGGTCAGAGGGTTTGCCTGGCACCGCGTACTGGGAAACTCGCCAAAAGCGGTGCAGGTTGGAGACGCCCCAGGCCGCGGTGGAGTTGCGCGCGGCTTCTAAAGTGGAGTGGAGCAGGCCTGCACCCTCCCCGCCGGGGCTGGGACGGCGCTTCCAGGCGGAGAAAGACCTCCGCGGGCCGCGCGCGGCCTTCCCCCTGCGAGGATCGCCATTGGCCCGGGTTGGCTTTGGAAAGCGGCGGTGGCTTTGGGCCGGGCTCGGCCTCGGGAACGCCAGGGGCCCCTGGGTGCGGACGGGCGCGGCCAGGAGGGGGTTAAGGCGCAGGCGGCGGCGGGGCGGGGGCGGGCCTGGCGGGCGCCCTCTCCGGGCCCTTTGTTAACAGGCGCGTCCCGGCCAGGCGGAGACGCGGCCGCGGCCATGGGCGGGCGCGGGCGCGCGGGGCGGCGGTGAGGGCGGCTGGCGGGGCCGGGGGCGCCGGGGGGGCGCGCGGGCCGAGCCGGGCCTGAGCCGGGCCCGCGGACCGAGCTGGGAGAGGGGTTCCGGCCCCCGACGTGCTGGCGCGGGAAAATGTTGGAGATCTGCCTGAAGCTGGTGGGCTGCAAATCCAAGAAGGGGCTGTCCTCGTCCTCCAGCTGTTATCTGGAAGGTAAGCCCGGGCCGCACGGGTTGGGCTGAGTAGCCGCGCGCCCTCCCGCTGCTGCTGGGCCCTTCCTAGGCCTCGCCGCCCGCGCGCTCCCGCCTGCGCCCTCCCCGGGTCTTGTCTTTTTTTTCTTTCTTCCCTCTTCTCTTCTCTTCTCTTCAGTTCTCTTATATTCTGTCTCTCTTTCTTTCTCTCTGTGTCTGTCTCTTTTCTCTTCTCTTGTCTCTCTCTTTTTCTCTCTCTCTGTCTCTTTCTCTTTCTCGCGATGGCCCCTAGGCGCCGCCGGCGGAGCGTGGCCCCCAGCCCCGGCACCAGCCCCGGTAGAGCCACGCCGGATGGTGACGGCGGCGTCCGGGGCCCCACAGTGCGGGCTCCCCCGAAAAAGTTTGAGAAAGCCAACTCGCCAGGCCTTAACATCCCTGGGATCCCACGTTGTGGAATTTCCACCGTTAATTGGGACTGTGTGTTAAAAAGATCGACCCGTGTTTGTGAAAACATGCGATTTCCATTAAGCATCATGTACACAAGGAGCACCACTCTACCATTTATGGATACAGAATTTCAAGTGATCTTTCCATCTCCCCCACCCCCATCTTATCTACAGACCACGAAGAGGTCTTAGGAATTCGCTCTCTTTTCAGGGGAGGGGAGCCCATTTAAGAAGGCGTTTCCAAGGAGTCCCCCAGAGTACTGGGGTGTCATGTTCGTTTCCTTAAGTGAAGCTCAGGGCCAGGAGGGCTTCACTTTTGCGTTCTTTCTACCTACTCTCCTTCTCTAATTACATCTGTTTTATTTTATTTTTCTTTCCTGTTGTAGTCTTTAGTTTTATAAATGGAAAAAAAGTAAATTAAGGGTTATGGGTCTTCACTTTCGTAGCTTCTAGGTGGGTATGAAATTGATCTGATTTGAGACTGGTGCTCCCAGACCATTGCCTTCAGCAGAAAGGCTATCTGTGCTTCAGAGATGGAGTGGCACTTGGACTTCTCTGTTGTTTTCAACTAAGAATATAAGAGTAAAAATGTGGCCGGGCGCGGTGGCTCAAGCCTGTAATCCCAACACTTTGGGAGGCCGAGACGGGTGGATTATTTGAGGTCAGGATTTCGAGACCAGCCTGGCCAACATGGTGAAACCCTATTTCTACTAAAAATACAAAAAATTAGCCGGGCGTGGTGGTACACGCCTGTAATCCCAGCTACTCGGGAGGCTGAGGCAGGAGAATTGCTTGAACCCGGCAGGGGGAGGTTGCAGTGAGCCAAGATCGCGCCACTGCACTCCAGCCTGGGCGACACAGCAAGACTCGGTCTCAAAAAAAAAAAAAAAAAAAAAAGAGTAGAAAGAAATGTGAAGCTCACTTTAGATCAAGTAGGATTTCTGCTAGAATGCCATGTTTTTCTTTTTAAAAAAGCAGGAGAAATAAACAGGCCTCATTTATTTTCTAACCTATTTTTCTTTCCTTAACCTCTGACTCTACCCTGAAGGCCTGCTTGGAGTCACATATGCAGATCGCACTAGTGATGTGGGTGAAACCTGTTTGCCCTTCTTGCCACAGTTTGTGTACCTCACTCCTCTTCTGTCTCTGGGATTCCAGGGGGCTGAATGGCCCAGAGAAGGCTCATCTAGGTGGAGTGGGCTCACAGAGCCTAGCATTTGGAGGGTGGAGATTGTTTATTTGTCCCTAAAAGTTGATGTCTGAGCATTCCAAATCATCTTCAATTAATACATCGCTTATTTTTTCCAAGTTGCTCAAAATTCTGAGCACATTCTCATTTACATCTGTATCGAGTTAGTGTTAGGCATCATCATCTCCACTTTGCAGATGGGTGCCTAAGGCGGGGATGAATGGACTTTTGTAAGTGCAGAGCTGGAGCAAAGTTTAGGTCACAGCTTTGCCAAGTCATTGTTTTGTTTTCCTGGGAGTAAACCGGAGATTTAGTATGGACC
This sequence comes from Homo sapiens, assembly GCF_000001405.40. Lineage (NCBI taxonomy): Eukaryota > Metazoa > Chordata > Mammalia > Primates > Hominidae > Homo > Homo sapiens. Next base: position 130,837,461 of record NC_000009.12, read on the forward strand.
TGGCTGGTTTAATTATTGTTTTGGGAAAAAAATCTAAAACTCATTCCAACATGTCTTGAAATGAATTATAATGTTGACTCTAAAGTCTCAAAAAAAAAAAAAAGTTCTAGTACAGCAGACTGCCTTGGGTTAAACCTTCTTCTAGGAAGGTGTCACTCTAGGAATTCTTTCTTACTGAGTTTTCTTCTTTTCGTTGTTATAGTTAATTAGAGAAAGTAAATGGAATTATCATTTTGTAGTTGGTAGACTTTAACAAGCCTCAGCGATAGTCTTTTAAAGACTGGAAGTGCTATTTGTCTTTTGGGAAAAATAGTTCCTAACATCTGGATGAGTAATCCAGGCTTTCCACTTTCACTGACAGCCTAAATCAGTCAATCAGTGTCGATCAGTCAGTCAGTGTTTATTGACGCCCACTCAGGGTCCCAGGCATTCCCTGTCAGGGAGAGAATTGAATGAGATCAAGTTTTTCATTGTTCTATCAAAGAAGCTTCCACCATAAATGTGGTTTGATGGTGCATGCTACCTGCTACTCAGCCTAGCTGTCAAAGCAACACTGGTAAACATAAAGATGGCTAGCAATTATTAAATGCTTACTATGTGCCAAATACTGTTTTATTACTCTATGTGATCTGATATAGTTATATTTCATGATAGCACTATGATTATTTCCATTTTATAGATGAGGAAACTGAGTCACCAAAAGGTTAGGTAACTTGTCTAGGGTCACAGAGCCAGTGAGTGGGGGTACTGGAATTTGAACTCATGCTATCTGGCTTGGGAGAGCCCACTTTTAGCCACTGGATGCTCTACTGATGTCTCTTTTGGAATTCACTGTGATTTTCAAAATGGTATCTCCAGAAACTCCTCCAATTAATCCCTGAAATGTAAGGGTAGTCTCTTTTTCTTTTCTAGAAACCTGATCCTGGCAAAATGATTAGCTTTAACAGTAGGATTAATTTTTTTTAAATGTATATAAAAATACTTGTATGTAAGAAATCCTAAAAGGGTATTTAGTGAAAAGTAATTCCCTCTCCTATTCATTTTCCCCACCTAGAGGCAATCACCCTGGAGTTTTATGTGTGTCCTTCTAGAAATACTGTGTGCACATATAAGCATTTATTATAACATGTGAATTTTGCTCTCCAGCTTTTTGTGAATATGCATGTTTATAGCAGTATCTATTCACCAGGACCGCATTTAGCTTTGCAATATTCGGTCTACTTTGAACACTGAATTTTCTGATTATTTCTTTCCCCTGGAGACGTCAAAGAAAACATGAACACTAGCCTTTTGAATTCAGGGTTTTCTTTTCATTTTATTTTCATTTGTTCATGTGTTTGTATTTACATACATTGTGCCTGAATATTGTACATGTATGTGACAGTTGTGTACTGTAGAATCAAAAACTAATGTCTGTGAACTGAACTCTTCTTGAACTTTTTGTTGTTGTTGTTATTGTTGCTTTTGGAGATAGGGTCTTGCTCTGTCACCCAGGCTGGACTGCAGTGGCACAATCACAGCTCACTGCAGCCTTGAGCTCCTGGTCTCAAGCAACCCTCCCACCTCAGCCTCCCAAGTAGCTGGGGCTGCAGGCATATGCTACCTGACTAATTAAAATTTTTTTTTTTTTTTTGTAGAGACAGGGTCTCACTATTTTTACTAGTTTGCCCGGGCCAAGCCAGTGTTGAACTACTGGCCTCAAGTGATCCTCCCACCTTGGCCTCCCCAAAGTGCATCCCTACAGGCATGAGCCACTGCACTCAGCCTGAACTTTCGAAATTTATTTTAAGGGCCCACTTTTAAATGCTTCTTTTCAGCAGCTAACTTTCCAGCGGATGCTTCATGTGGTGCCAGCCATACAGATACGCTTTTAGAACTTGAGCTTTGGAGAAGCTTATGCTTGCTTTCTGCTCTCTCCTGAGGTCATCAGATACTTCCCTTGTTCAGTAACAAAGAAAGTGAGACTCTTTCTGTTACCTAATAAAAGGCCAGTCTGTCCATTTCATTTTGGGTGCTATTAACATTGTTGACCATTTACAATGTCACAGGCCCTGGCACTGAGCACATCATGTGCAGCCTCACTTAATTTTCACACCAGTGCCCTGAGGTTTCTAGAAAAGAGGAAGGGCCCCAGTTTAGGTGGCAGTACTTTTCAATTTGGAGGCAGGAGATCCCAGTTTTCCTCTGACCTCTCTGAGCTTCCGTGTTTTTACCTCTAAGACAGAGAGACCAATCTCTGTTCAGCCACCTTAGAGGATTGTTTTGAGGGTCTATAAGATGATTGAGGGAAAGCTCTGAAACTGGTAAGAGTTAAATGTATGTTTGTGTTATGTTGATACGAGATTCCTCTGAGATGCTCTTTAGTCCAGGCAGGTTTATGGCTCACACAGCGTTCCTAGGGTCTCATTCTTCTGCACAGGCAGGCAGCTCCCGAGCCAGCCAGTCTGGACCCAAATGCCACCTGTGCTCTTGGCTGGTCTTGCGCATTCACCGAGGCTCACTGTACCTTGGTGTTCCCATTTCTAAAATAAGGCCTGTAGTAATCCCTACCTCACTGAGTTGTTGAGAGACTTCATGTAAATTGTTTAGCAGGGAGCCTGGCACAGAACAAGAGCCTAGCAGAAAAGTAAGCTGTTGTTACTTTAAGCAAATATTTAGCAGCCTAAAATGGTGGCTTTACCAGTTTCTGTAATGGTTGAAGTGATGACAGAATTCAGCCAATCCCACCCATAGTTTTTCTTGCTAATAAAGCAGTTTGTTTCTAAGTGTGTTTTGATGCGTATAATTAATACTTCCTGTCCTTGATTTTTGGCTGAAAAATGTCTTCTCTTCCTCGCACCCTCTGTTATTCCCGTAGTGAATATTTTCATTGTGGAAGAGAAATTCCCATTGGCTCATGGTTGGCATTTTATTTCTCCTGTCCAGAGACAATATTTCCACAGCCTCAAACGTGAAAACTGAAAATCTGGTGCCACTTACCACCTTGTAAAATCAAGTCATTGTAATTGTGCCAGTATAATCATTGATCTGAAATAAAAGCAGAAAATAAATCAATGGGTAGCTTTCTTAAATACATAAGAACTAAAGATCAAATGGGATATTGGAAGACTTTAACTTTTCCTCCATAATGGTGGATCTTAATTAAACACACAGAAGAACAATTTATAAAATAAATTCATAGGTTTGTTTGTTCTTTTTTAGTGTCAATTTTTAAAACTATCTCTTTTTTAATTAAAAAAAATAGAGATGGGTCTCACTATGTCGCCCAGGCTGGTCTCAAACTCCTGGGCTCAAGCAATCCTCCCACCTCAGCCTCCCAAAGTGCTGGGATTACAGGCATGAGCCACTGCACCCAGCCTAAAACTGTCTCAAAAGTAGACAGCATAATGAACTCCCATGTACTTATGATGTGGCTTTAACAATTATCAGCTTATAGTCAGTCTTGTTTTCTTACATAATAAAGTTACAGTTTCAAAGCCATTAGGAAGAATAGCTTGCTAATTATAATTACTTAGTTTTGATAGTGTAACTTTGTCCTCAGATGGGTAGAATCGTTACTCTGGAACAGGGGTGTCCAATCTTGGCTTCCCTGGGCCACATTGGGAGAAAAATTGTCTTGGGCCACACGTAAAACATACTAACGATAGCTGATGAGCTAAACCAACAAAACAAATCCCACAAAAATCTCATTTCTTTTTTTTTTTGAGACAAGAGTCTCACTCTGTCGCCCAGACTGGAGTGCAGTTGCACGATCTCAGCTCACTGCAAGCTCCGCCTCCTGGGTTCACGCCATTCTCCTGCCTCAGCCTCCCTAGTAGAGGGTACTACAGGCGCCCGGGGGTTTCACCATGTTAGCCAGGATGGTCTCCATCTCCTGACCTCGTGATCCGCCCACCTCGGCCTCCCAAAGCCCTGGGATTACAGGCGTGAGCCACTGCACCGGGCCAAAAATCTTATAATGTTTTTAAGAAAGTTTGCAAATTTGTTAGGCCACATTCAAAGCCGTCCTGGGCCATATGCAGCCCGTGGGCCATGGGTTGAACAAGCTTGCTCTAGAAATTGGTTTTCAGGCCGGGCGCGGTGGCTGACGCCTGTAATCCCAGCACTTTGGGAGGCCGAGGCAGGTGGTCACCTGAGGTCAGGAGTTCGAGACCAGCCTGGCCAACATGCTGAAACCCTGTCTCTACTAAAAATATAAAAAATTAGCCAGGCGTAGTGGGGAGTGCCTGTAATCCCAGCTACTCAGGAGGCTAAGGCAGGAGAATTACTTGAACCTGGGAGGCAGAGGTTGCAGTGAGCCGCGATCTCACCATTGTACTCCAGCCTGGGCAACGAGCAAAAACTCCAGCTCAAAAAAAAAAGTTGGTTTTCAAATCCTTCTTTCTTTACCATGTTACACCATAAATATTTTTGTTATATTGCGTGTGTTGAGTACTGGTGATAGGGAAGACAGAGAGAAATAGGTGGGAAGGAGATAGAGAGAGAGAGAGGGAGGGAGGAAGGGGAGACATAAGGGGGAAATCTATAGAGACAGAGACTGAGAGACAAATACAAAAAGGTTGAGACAGGAAAGGGAAAAAAAAACAAGCTGGGAGGGAAGGAAGACTGAGAGAAGGGAGACAAAGAGGAATAGGATGGCCAGTGGGGCTGGGGTGGGTGGGTACAGAGAGAGAATGAGTGAGAGCAAGAGAAGCGCAGGAGACAGATGATGGACAGGCAGCTGATGTATGGATGGGTAGCTGGAGAGAGAGGCCATCAGTAACTTCACATCTCTCTGTTTCCATTTCCTGCCCTCAAATGCCTTCATAATAGAGTCTACGTAATAAGGTTATAGGGATTCAGTGCAGATGAAGTGCTGGCACTTGATACGGGATCAGTAAGTATTAGCTATTATTCTATCACATTAAGTTGCATAAACTTTAACCTCATTACTCTTAAATTCTCTATAGAAACCTAGTCTTTATCTGTCTTACAAGCCCTCAAATTTAGCTAATAGCGTTGTTCATTGAATACCTTAAAATTGTATTTAAAGACAGGCCGTGAATACAATTAGGCATTGCTTTTTGAAGCCAAAATACCATGAGGGTGGGGAGGGTCATGTTCATTTACCCAGATCAGCAATAAAAATACTAATGGCTAACAAGGCTTTCTGGGGAAATTGCCTGTCATTGGGTAGCCCAGTGCCTCTGGTGTCAGCTGACCCCGGAGTCCATGAAGACATGTTAAAAGAAGAGGAAATGTGAATGCTTTCAAACCAGCCATGGCTGGCAGCAGAAGGGGAGGCCTTTCAGTCTGTTGCAAATGGCCTGTGACAATAAAAATGCCTTTGTGGGTATTAGCAGGCTGACTGTGGACAGTCTGGATCTGCGGCCACTGCAGGGATTCCTGGAACCTGTTGGGAAGGTGTCCGGCGAGCTCACTGTGGTGTCTGTTAGGAATCTGGAGCAAATCCTATTTCTTTTGAAAGCACAGAGAACTGTGTTTTTACATTATACCTTTAGGATTTTGGCCATGGTTTATATTTCAGTCAAAACAAATCATTATGTTCCCTAGGCTTTTATATAGGTTTTCCTGGTCAGGTTGCATTTGTTTTTCAACTTTACTATCTGTCATTATTGCTGCTCTTATTACAGGTTAACAGATTATTAAACTGCACTTTTCAGTACCTTGTAGCTAAAGACAGACAAGTGCAGGGTGTTCCACATCTGAGTTCACCCAGCAGTGCTGTGTTGTTGCGTTGCACTGAGCAGGCACAGAAGGCTCTGAGATATGAGAGACTTGGTCTCTACCCCAGAGGAGTTTACATTGTTGTGGTGGCAGAAGAGAAGGCGTGGCATAAGAGAAGACGCGGTTGTTCTGTAGTGAGCATCCCAGTGTCAGGTGCCACAGTTGGCATCCATGCAGAAATTCTCTGCATGCAGGATTCATTGAGCCCTCCCGACAGCCCAACTAGGTTGATGCCATGCCGTTGTTGCCCTGTTGTGCAGTTGAGAAACTGAGGCTCAGAAACAAATGTCTTCAAGACATGCTGGTGCTGAGGTTTGAACAAGGCCTGTCCACCCAGAGCCCATGCTTTTTGTACTGCTGGGGACATGTGAACAGATTGCTTACTGGGTGATAGATGCAGGGTGGTGATAGAGACAGACACCAGGTACCCAAATGGGTTAAAGGAGAAGCATCCTGTTGTGGGCGAGGTGATGGGGAGGAGGAAGGACCGGTTAGAGAAGGTTTATGGGAGATGGGGAGGCCAGGAAGAGCAGAAGAGGCTGGGGAACGAACTCTAGGGAGAGTAAATGGCACTTGTCACAGTGCAGTCAGGAGAGGCAAGCAACAGGAGGCCTGGGGGATCTGAAAGGAGTTTGGAGAGGCTGGAATGGAAAGCAGGAGTAGAGGGCCAGATGCTCCCAGTCTCAACCCTGAAGAGCCTGGCATGCCTGCTTCAGGAGCTCAGACTTTTACTATAGTGGTGGAAGGAATAACAACCCCAGCCATTTTTTGAGGGCCTGTGCATGCCTAGGCCCTCAAAAACATGTCCCATGTTAGCTGCAAACTGCCAGCTACCCTGCAAAGCACATCATGATCCCAGCATTGCCCCCGATGACACTGCCAGTAAGTGGTAGCTGACCATTGGGAGACAGGGCCACCTCCCAAGCCCATGCTCTCTTCTGCCTCTCGGCTGGCAGCCATCTCTAAGGGATTTGAAGCAAGAGAGTGACCTGGTCAGGTCTGCATTTGAGAAAGATGGCCCTGATAGTAGGGAGTGGAGGTGGAATGGCCAAAGGGGGACCCAGCCAAGGGCGTGGTAGAGCATGGAAAGGACAGAAGTGATGAGAGATTGAGGAGGAAAAGTGCCAAGATGCAGGGTGGGAACTGACAGAGGATGACTTCCAGCCTCAGTCCTGATATGGGCGTCAATGGCAGGTGTTCAGAATGGCCTTGAAGATAGTGGCATCTCTATTTATGAGTGTCTTTGTACTCCATTTCCAGTAATTGGAGACTTTTTCACCGTAGATTCTTGGAAGGTGACACAATTTTTTTTTTTTCCTTTTTGGTTGAGGGAGGGGGACAGGGACTGTGTATCTTCAGAAAGGTTAATATTTGAGGCCAAGGCAGGCAGATCACTTGAGGTCAGGAGTTCAAGACCAGCCTGGCCAACATGGTGAAACCCCGTCTTTACTAAAGATATAAAAATTAGCTGGGCATGGTGGTAGGCGCCTGTAATCCTAGCTACTCAGGAGGTTGAGGCAGGAGACTCACTTGAACCCGGGAGGCGGAGGTTGAAGTGAGCCAAGATCGCGCCACCGCACTCCAGCCTGAATGACAAGAGTGAAACTCGGTTTCCCCACCAAACAAAAAAAGAAATACCTAGTTTCTACCAGAGACAGTCACAGGCACTGTACTTCTACTCTGGTTTGTTACCTGTGTTCTTAAAAAAATTAAATGCTACATTTTAGTAAGAGGTTAGTGAAATAAAATTTTAATTTTTCCCATCAGAGGACATGGAGCCCTTGAATTCTATCCCAGACTCCCAGGGTCTTCCAGGTTAACAAGTCCTGCACTAAGGAATTGGCTCAGTAAAACCTCAGCATTCTCACAGGAAGAGCCTAAAAAGGAGACTGGGATAAATTAGTGAGAGGTCCAAATTATGCAATTTTCTTTTAAAATAAATGCAGTTTTATTACTTTCCACTTGTAGCCATTATAGGCAGTAGATTAAATGAGTTTCTAGAGAAACCTCCTTTAAAAATAAAGTTATTTAATTAGTCCAAGGTTTAAATATTTCCCCTGGAATCTTTTACATGACAATGTCTTAGCCAGACAATTTTTAAGAAACAAAATTCTCCATCCTAACTCCTATCCCCATCAACAGTCCAAATCTTAACCTTTCTTTTTTTTTTTTTAGACAGAGTCGAGCTCTGTTGCCCAGGCTGGAGCGTGGTGATGCAATCTTGGCTCACTGCAACCTCCACCTTCCGGGTTCAAGCGAAACCCCTGCCTCAGCCTCCCGAGTAGCTGGGACTGCAGATGTGCACCACCACGCCCAGCTAATTGTTGTATTTTTAGTAGAGACGTGGTTTAGTAGAGACGACCTCCCAAAGTGCTGGGATTACAGGAGTGAGCCACCACACCTGGCCAGAAACCAGGTGTTTGATATCAGGTGACGGTTGTGATCATTGTTCGCACCACTACTTTGAAATGACATAGTTGCCACTGGACCTTGTTATTTAATGTGCGAATAAAGAGACAGTTATTTAAGGCATTAATAAGAGCTATATTACAAGTTTTTAAAAGTCTTTTGAGGACTGTTTCAAAAAGTCTTTTGAGGACTGTTCTCCTTTGCAATCCTCTGTAAATGCACCATTGCATTCCAACCCGGGCAACAAGAGCAAAACTCTATCTAAAAAAAAAAAAATTCATCCACAGGACAGCGCTGGCCTTCCGTTAGACTTTTGCTGTTGAGTCTGTAAGTTTTCAGCAGCTGTGTTTCTCCAAGGAGCGGGGCTACTGCTGGTTCTTTACGTCTTTCCCCCACTGCCCTGCCCCTCCCTGCACCCTAGCAGCTGACACAGTGTTTTGGGATTTGAAGATAACACAAAGGCTGTGTTCAGTTAAACGTATGTCTGTGTGTGTGTGTGTGTGTGTGTGTGTGCTTGTGTGTGTGTGTGTTTTAATAATTTTAACTTCTCTGGGTGAAGGTGTAAATTACAAAATAAAGGACCATGTAGAAATAGATAAAATGACTTTCATCAAGCTCAAAATGTGGGAAATAATACTTTTCCTCTAAGCTCATATTTTGAAAAGTTGTTTGAGACTGTTATAAAATAACTTGAGAATAGTCTGAGCATGATCTCATCCGCTGGAACGGAGTATGAAATAAAACACGAAGCCTCTTTTTAGAAGGATCTGTTTTATAGATTTTTAAATTACAGAGATTCCTTGAACTGGAGGATAATAGCGAAGGACCCACAAAGGAAATATGAATAAAGCAGCACAAGTTTAAATAATTGAATGTGAGCAAAATTAAAGGGAACGTTTGTCACGTCTGACATGCTCCATCCTCCTGTCCCCCCCACACTGAACCGTCTCCAAGAACCTTCCGGAGAGCCCACAGTGTGAACAGTAATGAATGCTCCATAGCTGGCCGCCTTGCACTCTAGTGGGAACTATGATGTTGGGCACAAGTGCCAGCAGGAAGGTGGGAAGCTTCCCGGGGATGTTTTTCCTGGAGGTCAAGTCCCCCCTTGGGCTGTGAAGTAGCCGGTACTGGGGTTCATGGGCATTTCCCTTCCCTGACTGTTCGCCAGCGTCTGGCACAGCACCAGCAGCCCCTGGAAGTCTAGGCCAGATATGCCATGTCCGAGAATCTTTTGTAAACATTTTTCATCAGTGACTCACAGCTTTGAGAAAGGATTATTTTTATATAAAACGATCTTTCAATTTTACTTTAAAGACCCAAACCATTTTCTTAGAATACTGTCTAAACAAGTTAATCATGCACAGATCCAGTGAATTCTGTGGCCTGGTTCTTATAAAATTTCCAAATAATTTTATACTGTCATAGACAGAGCCAGAGCTTTTTAGAGGTTTGAGGCATTTTTTAGATGTATTACTGTTCTCGGTGCTCAACTAGCTAATTAGTGATTTTTTCTGAGTTTAGTTGGTGAGTGGAAACCTTTTTGTTAACATTATGACAAAATAACAATATGGTTTTAAGTGGAGTGAGAGGCACTTTTGAAGATCCAGATCTTAGATCCAGATCTTAAATCTGTTTAAAGTATGACTCAGAAAGGAGGCTGCAGAAAATGTTCACTAAAAAAATTTAAGAATAATAGCAGATGCTAAAATTTATTTCCCAAGACAATAGCCAAAAAGATCTGCTGGAAGAACAGAAGAAGGGAACTAGTTGGGGCATCTTTTTTTTTTGAATGAAGCCTTCAGCCTTCTTTAGGGGAATCTTGCTTCCTGACAGAGGGACCGGTGGAAAGTTTGTGTCTTAAGCAAGAAAGATTTAAGTACATTCTGCAACTTTGGCCTTGTAAGCTGTGATCATTTTTAAGGTTGACGAGCATAGTTCACTATGAAATGAAGCAAGTAACTTGGCATTTATACATTGTGAGTCAATTTTGACATCAGCCTGGATTGGGAATTGACTGGAAGGTTTTGGTGTTGGACTGTGGCTACACTTCAGTGTCTCGGTCCAGAGGCATGCATGAGCAATACTTCCCTTTGGGCTTTAGCCATTAATTTGTGGAATAGAGCAAGAACTGGAGAGGAAAGTCGAGAGACTGCCTTGGATCGCCTGACGTCCTGTTGAATCAAAAAGCAGTGGGAGGCCCTTTCCTTCCTAACAAAGGCCTCATCCTCTTGCATAACATTCCCAGCATCTGTCGACATGTTCGGGACCATCCCACTTTAACCCACACTTCAAGTGGATGGCCACCTCTGGGCGGGGATCTGCATTCTGCTTATTCCAGGTGTTTTCCAGGCCACTTCCCCGATTATGTAACTTTGATCAAATCCAGATGCGGCAGAATGTTTGATAGAAGAGGTCAAATGGCATTTGAGAAGAAAAGCATTTCTGTATTCATGACTTTGGTTTAATTTCCTGTGTGGGCCTGGTCTGCCAAAGTTGTATGCTCATGGCCACGAGGTTGACGCACCAGAGGGAGGCACTCAAGTGCCTTTTCAGGACAGCCTGAAGGAAGCCTCCCTCCCCAGCATGCTTTTTCATGTTAAATTATCAATTATGTAAGTTTAGGGCCAGGCGCGGTGGCTCCTGCCTGTAATCCCAGCACTTTGGGAGGCTGAGGTGAGTAGATCACTTGAGACCAGGAGTTCAAGACCAGCCTGGCCAACATGGCAAAACCCCGTCTCTACTGAAAATGAAAAAAAAAAAAAAAAAAAAAACTTAGCCAGGCGCAGTGGCTCACATCTGTAATCCCAGCTACTCAGGAGGCTGAGGCAGGAGAATCACGTGAACCTGGGAGCTGGAGGTTGCAGTGAGCCTAGATCGCACCACTGCACTTCAGCCTGGGCGATGGAGTGAGACTCCAACTCAAAAAAAAAAAAAAAAAAATTTCAATTGGCTTCTATTAAAGCTTTTTTATGTTTGTCATTGTTTTCTAGTAATAACAACAATCCACATTTTTTGTGAGAAATATACCATAATATAGAGAAGTATAAAGAAAATGTAAGGCCAGACACGGTGGCTCACGCCGATAATCCCAGCACTTTGGGAGGCTGAGGCAGGCTTATCACCTGAGGTCAGGAGTTCGAAACCAGCCTGGCCAACATGGTGAAACCCCATCTCTACTAAAAATACAAAAAAAGTAGCCGAGTGTGGTGGCGGGCACCTGTAATCCCAGCTACTCAGGAGGCTGAGGCAGGAGAATTGCTTGAACCCGGAAGGTGAAGGTTGCAGTGAGCAGAGATCACGCCATTGCACTCCAGCCTGAGTGTCAAGAACGAGACTCCGTCTCGAGAAAAAAAAAAAAGAAAAGTAAATTTAAAGCACTTAAAATCCCACCACCCTGAGTTAACTACTGTTCACAGTTTGGTGAAATTCCTCCTCGTCTTCTATTTTTTCATAGTTGGGACCATGCCTATATACTGGAATGTAATATAAACACTTAATATATTATTGCGAGTATATTCTCAAACTTAAATATTTTTTCCAAAAATATTTTGAGTGGCTTTTAAAATATATCCTATTTTATGCATGCAGCATAAACTAACTTATCCTGTGTTGATAGATATTTTGTACTTGCCCTTTTCTGTGCTGTTGTTTAAAATTAGTGTATAGAAATAATTGTGTTGATCACTTAGGATAAATTCCTAGAGGTAAATCAGATATTAAATTCTTTATAGACTTCTGGTTCATATTCCAGTTGCCCTCAATTTATACACCTACTACTAGCATTGTATGAGAGTGCCCGTTTCTCTGAAATCTTACCCACACTGGCTGTCAGCGTCAAAAAGATGTATCTGCAGATTTGGCAAGGAATTTGCATTTCAGTGATTATTATCAAGCGTTCACACACTTTCCATGTTTAATGGTAATTTTTTTTGTTTTTTTTTGAGACGATGTCTCACTCTGTTGCCCAGGCAGAGTGCAGTGCCGCGACCTTGGCTCACTGCAACCTCTGCCTCCCAGGTTCAGGTGATTCTCCTGCCTCAACTCCTTAGCAGCTTGGATTACAGGCATGCGCCACCATGCCCGGCTAATTTGTGTATTTTTAGTAGAGACGGGGTTTCACCATATTGGCCAGGTTAGTCTCAAACTCCTGACCTCAAGTGATTGCCCGCCTTGGCCTCCCGAAGTGGTGGGATTACAGGTGTGAGCCACCGCACCTGGCCTTTAATGATAATGTAAATTTTTTGTGAATTGTTTATTCGTGGCTTTGCCCCATTTTTTCCATAGTGGAGGGATTTTTCTTTTTCTTGTTGGTATGTAAAGTCCTTGTGTGTCAAGAATGCTCTGCCTCACAGTTTTTCTAATATAATGACAGTGGAAGCTCGTAACTGGCTTCCACTTGACTGACTTGCTAAATTGACCGGCACTCTTCACTTCCTTATAAAACATGCCTCCATAGTCCCTGTGCCCCATGGCACATGGGATGGGGTAGCCACACTACCACTGTCTGCTGCTGCATATGTTCCTGTCCACAAGAGCCAGTCATGTTTGTTTCCAAGCCTGGTTCTTTCAGATATAGCTGTTGTTGTAATTACTTGGTTGATATGAAACCAATGAAATGCAAGTGTGAAAAGAGAATTGTTTCTAGGAAAATTAAGATGAATGCTTTAGAAAGACTCAGTAAAGGAAGATAAATTTAACAAATTACTACAGAATTAGGTGTAAGACAACAGTAAATGATTGGAATGAATTACAGAAATCTAGAAAGCTTTGACAGTGGGAATGCGTAGTGAATGGCTCTAAGTTCTCCCTCCATCTGTAGGAAATTGAAGCTGGAAGTGAGATGATATATTCATTATAGGGAGGACTTACAGAAGAAAACATCAAGCTCTAATCACATGTCCACATTTCGTTTTGTTTACTTATTTTTTGAAATGGAGTCTCACTCTGTTGCCCAGGCTGGAGTGCAGTGGCATGATCTCAGCTTACTACAACCTCTGCCTCCTGTGTTCAAGCGATTCTCGTGCCTCAGCATCCTGAGTAGTTGGGGCTACAGGTGTGCACCACCACGCCCAACTAATTTTTATATTTTTAGTAGAGACGGGGTTTCGCTATGTTGGCCAGCATGGTCTTAAACTCCTGACCTCAGGTGATCTGCCTGCCTCGGCCTCCCAAAGTGCTGGGATAACAGGCATGAGCCACCGCACCCAGCCCCACATACCTACATTTCAAAGGACAGTCTTTGGCCCTACAGTCAAGACTACCAAACCAATGTACACTAAATGGGGGTGGGGATCACGTTGTTGTTTTTTGTTTGTTTTTGTTTGTTTGTTTGTTTGTTTGTTTTTTTGAGAGAGTCTCGCTCTGTCACCCAGGCTGGAGTATAGTGGCGTGATCTCGGCTCCCTGCAAGCTCCGCCTCCCGGGTTCACGCCATTCTCCTGCCTCAGCCTCCCGAGTAGCTGGGACTACAGGTGCCCGCCACCACGCCCAGCTAATTTTTTTGTATTTTTAGTAGAGACGGGGCTTCACCGTGTTAGTCAGGATGGTCTCGATCTCCTGACCTCGGGGATCACATATTTTAATAAAATTGATAATCCCTAATAGTGATGGCGCTAGGTGTACTTTTAGAGCCAATGTAAATAGTCGAGAAAGGGGGCCAAACATATGACTAAGCTTCTTCTACACTCTAGGAGATGTCAGTATTGCAAGATCCTGTTCCTTGAAATTATCTTTGCCCCCCGCCATTCAGAAAAATTACCAAATATTGTAATAATGTAATTTAGGACTTACCCTTTCAGAGAAACAGTTCCTGAAGGTTGACTTCAGTTAGTAGTACAGAAGCGAGACTTGAAGCTCTTCATGGTTTATGTTCTGTTGGTTTATCCCAAAGAGATGTTTTAGAGCACATTCATTTCTGAAAGTTCTCGGTCATGTTTCCGGAAGTTTGATCAGGTGGGTTCTTTTTCTTTTTTTAAAAGATAATTTTTTTTTTAAAGATAATTCAGAATCAGTCCCACCCCTGAGATGGTATTATTACCCAGGAAAGAATGCGTGAGGATCCTCTAAATCCATAGAGAAGGAAAACTAAAACAATTTTGTTACCATTTGTTTGGCTCAAGCATCTGGTAGATCCTTCAGTTCTTTTCAAATTAGAATTTTCCTCTCTTTTTCTTTTTTTTTTTTTTTTTTGAGATGGAGTCTTACTCCATTTCCCAGGCTGGAGTACAGTGGCACAATCTCGGCTCACTGCAGCCTCACCTCCCGGGTTCAGGCAATTCTCCGGCCTCAGTCTCCTGAGTAGCTGGGATTACAGGTACCCGCCACTAATTTTCATATTTTTGCCTGGCTAATTTTTGTGTTTTTAGTAGAGATGGGGTTTTGCCATGTTGGCCAGGCTGGTCTCGAACTCCTGACCTCAGGTGATCTGCCCACCTCAGCCTCCCAAAATGCTGGGATTACAGGGGTGAGCCTCCACGCCGGGCCTCTCTTTTTAAGATAATAAAAATTACTAAACATCATAATGACATGATTTGGGATTACTCTTTCAGAGAAACAGTTCCTAAAGGTTTACTTCAGTTAGTGATTTTTATTTTTATTATTTATTTATTTTTTGAGATGGAGTCTCACTCTGTCTGCCAGGCTAGAGTGCAGAGACGAGATCTCAGCTCACTGCAACCTCCGCCTCCCAGACTCAAGCGATTCTCCTACCTCAGCCTCCTGAGTAGCTGGGACTAGTAGCTGGAACTACAGGCGCCCGCCACCATGCCCGGCTAGTTTTTTCTATTTTAGTAGTGACGGGGTTTCACCGTGTTGCCCAGGTTGGTTTTGAACTCCTGAGCTCAGGCTCAGGCAATCTGCCTGCCTCAGCCTCCCAATGTTCTAGGGTTACAGGCATGAGCTACTGTGCCTGGCCCAGTTAGTGATTTTTAAATTGTAGTTCCTTAAATGAGTATTTTGGATTTCACTCCACAATGTTCTTCAACTGTAAGATCTACTTGAGGTTATTTGATTTGCTGGTTTGCAAGAACTCGTCTACACGTTGTCTTTATCACAAAGAAATTCTGGAGCGTTTGAGCCCTGTTCAAAAAAAAAAGGCAAGAAGAAACTTCAGGAACAAATAACCTATTTGACCCTGTAATGAATAATATTCACACATTTTCTAATTTAAGAGCTGTTGATTGATTTCCAACTTTTAGAATCTGTTTCAGACAAAACATGGAAGTTTAGTAACAGTTTTTTCTATTCTGTAATAATAATTGCCACAAGGTTAAAAAAAAAAATTTACAGAAGAACATATTTGAGGGTGGTCGTGGGGGCAAGAAAGCTGGAAGGACGGGTGGGGTGTGTTAATAGCCTTGTCTTGTGAAGTAAGTCCTCAGAGACGCTGTCCTAGTTGGAAGAACAGGCAGTGAAGGTGTGCGTCTGTTACGGAGAATAGGACTCCAGTGATCTAGCTGGTACTTAGAGAGGTGGGGGTGATCACCAAAAAAACAGCTCTGCCTCTGGGAGCGGAGAGGACTGGGATAGAAAGTATTTGTCTTTCATTTTAAGCCCTTCTGTACGATTTGACTTTTCTTTTTTTTTTTTTTTTTTTTTTTGAGATGGAGTCTCACTCTGTCACCCAGGCTGGAGTACAGTGGCACGATCTTGGCTCACTGCAACCTCCGCCTCCCAGGTTCAAGCAATTCTCCTGCCTCAGCCTCCCAAGTAGCTGGGACTACAGGCACCTGCCACCATGCCCGGCTGATTTTTGTATTTGTAGTAAAGACAGGATTTCACTGTGTTGGTCAGGTTGGTCTTGAACTCCTGACCTCATGATCCACCCCCGGCTTTTTTTTTTGACACGGAGTTTCTCGTTACCCAGGCTGGAGTGCAGTGGCGCAATCTCTGCTCACTGAGACCTCCACCTCCTGGGTTCAAGCGATTCTCCTGCCTCAGCCTCCTGAGTAGCTGGGACTACAGGTGTGCGTCACCATGCCCGGCTAATTTTTGTATGTCTAATGGAGACAGGGTTTCACCATGTTGGTCAAGTTGGTCTCAAACTCCTGAACTCAGGTGATCCACCCACCTTGGCCTCCCAAAGTGCTGGGATTACGGGCGTGAGCCACCATGCCCGGCTAAAGCAAGAAATTTTCATTGCATATTTTAAGCAAAGGCAAATGCATATGTGGATAGACTGTTTTAATTTGACTAAAGTCATATTGAATCCATGAATTTTAGAAGCTCAAACTATTGGGGAACAATAATTACCACCTTGGAGTGAAAATACTTAATTTCCACAAGATTTAGTAAAGGAAGAGTTTTTTAAAAACCACCTTAATGATAATAGTATGTACAGATGTTAAGAAATGAAATAGGAATGTGTAATGTTGGAAACACAAATATTTTTGCTTCTGAGAATAAAACTAATTTTTTCTCCCAATTTTCTCTTCCTTTTTCTTTTTTCTGTTCCCCCCTTTCTCTTCCAGAAGCCCTTCAGCGGCCAGTAGCATCTGACTTTGAGCCTCAGGGTCTGAGTGAAGCCGCTCGTTGGAACTCCAAGGAAAACCTTCTCGCTGGACCCAGTGAAAATGACCCCAACCTTTTCGTTGCACTGTATGATTTTGTGGCCAGTGGAGATAACACTCTAAGCATAACTAAAGGTAAAAGGGTTGTGGGCAGCTAGTGGTGGTTGCAGGAGA
The DNA here is from genome assembly GCF_000001405.40 of Homo sapiens. Classification (NCBI taxonomy): domain Eukaryota; kingdom Metazoa; phylum Chordata; class Mammalia; order Primates; family Hominidae; genus Homo; species Homo sapiens. The sequence goes on from NC_000009.12 coordinate 130,854,277, forward strand.
TAGAAATCTGGGAATTGCGGTTTGACCTACCACCCTTTGCTCGTTAAAGGAGCAGCTTTGAAATCTGGACTGCAGGGATATCCAAAACAACAACTGCATGTTTCTAAGGGAGTCGACTCTCCTTAGAGGAGTTCTTGTACAATAGCCCTGGGCAAAAACAGAACTTGCCCTATTTTTTATACTGAAAAGGACAGCTGGACAAAATACTGAACGCAATTTTTCCCCTAAGAAAAAGCATTATTTCCCTAAAATGTCTTATATTAGGAACAGAGCACTTGAATAAACATAATTGATTTATAAAAACTGAGGCTATACACTTACCTATCTGTTCAGTACAAACAGGAAGCTTCAAATGTAAACGTGAATTCTCATACACTTATAAATGCATATCTTTATGTGGACTTGTTAAAATGAAATTGGTATTTAGGAATTTGGAGATTTTTAGTAGTTACACAAGAATCAATGAAAAAGAACGAAGCTGGTTTCCAAAGCTGATATGTCTGATTTGGTTCCTTTCTTCTCAGGTGAAAAGCTCCGGGTCTTAGGCTATAATCACAATGGGGAATGGTGTGAAGCCCAAACCAAAAATGGCCAAGGCTGGGTCCCAAGCAACTACATCACGCCAGTCAACAGTCTGGAGAAACACTCCTGGTACCATGGGCCTGTGTCCCGCAATGCCGCTGAGTATCTGCTGAGCAGCGGGATCAATGGCAGCTTCTTGGTGCGTGAGAGTGAGAGCAGTCCTGGCCAGAGGTCCATCTCGCTGAGATACGAAGGGAGGGTGTACCATTACAGGATCAACACTGCTTCTGATGGCAAGGTAGGGGACCCTTGGCAGGGGGCGCTGATGGGCCCAGGGCAGGGGAACCAGAGGTCCTGCTGTCGGATTGATAAATTATTGCAAGAAAGCTCAACCAAGAAGATGTTTAAAGAATCTTTCAGGTGGGAGTCATTCCATTAGCCTTATGAAGACCCTTTATTGAGGATCCGTTCTGTGATATTACAAGTTCCTGGGACTGGTATGATTCTCTTATTGTCTTGCTAGAGTTTTGTTGTTAGCAAGTTACTTAAAATAGGAGGAATATCTGTTGGGTTTTGGACACATTTTTTACAATAAGATTCTTCCTTTAAAAAAAATATTTTATAATGATAGAAATCATCCCCAACGAGAAAAATTCAAATAATAGATAACCTTTCTTAGAGCGAAAGACCACTTTACTATCCCCTCCCCCACAGACGCCTGGCACGTGGGCTTCTTCCTGCGGATGAACACATTCATGGAGAGGTGTGTGGACATACGTGCATACACGCATGCAGTTTTCAGTGAAAACCGGGATCAAACCCACAGCTTACCAAACCCAAAGTGTGGTGTTGTAAGGGAGGTGGCCTATATGATTTTGTGGTCTTCATATAAATAATCCTTAAGAGTCCATAAAGAGAAGGGAGGAGTTAACATTGACTGAGGTATTGCTATAATACCTGCATCTTTGCATTAAAGAAAGGGAGGCATAAAGAGATCTTGCCCGATGTCAACCTAGTGAGTCACTGATGGAATAGGCTTGGATCCCACAGTTTATTCTACTGCACCAGGCTGTAGTTGAGGTACAGTGTTGATAGGTGGTCCCGATGGTGTATGTTTGTTTGTTTGTTTGTTTTTGAGATGGAGTCTTGCCCTGTCACCCAGGCTGGAGTACAGTGGTGCGATCTTGGCTCACTGCAACCTCTGCTTCCCATGCTCAAGTGATCCTCCCACCTTAGCCTTCCGAGTAGTTGGGACCACAGGCGCACACCACCATGCCCAGCTGTTTTTTGTTTGTTTATTTGTTTTGAGATGGCATTTTCGCTCTCATTGCCCAAGCTGGAGTGCAATGGTGCGTTCTCGGCTTACTGCAACCTCCACCTCCCGGGTTCAAGCATTTCTCCTGCCTCAGCCTTCCAGGTAGCTGGGATTACAGGCATGCACCACCACACCCAGCTAATTTTGTATTTTTAGTAGAGACAGGGTTTCACCATGTTGGTCAGGCTGGTCTCAAACTCCTGACCTCAGGTGATCCACCTGCCTCAGCATCCCAAAGTGCTGGGATTACAGGCGTGAGCCACCACGCCTGGCCGTTTTTGTATTTCCAGTAGAGACAGGGTCTCGCCATGTCGCCCAGGCTAGTCTCAAACTATTGAGCTCAAGCAATCTGCCCTCCTCGGCCTCCCAAAATGCTGGGATTACAGGCACGAGCCACTGTGCCCAGCCTATATTTTTTAAATAGTATGTAATGCATGCATATGGTTAAAAAAAATCAAAAGAACAAAATGAATTACAGTAAAAAGTAATCGTCTCCTAATTCACTTTTCCTGCCCAGAGGCAAGCACTGGTACTAGTTCCTTCTAGAGTTACCTGGACACAGATGGATGGTATATAGATGTTTATGTGGATGTTTATATTCAAAAAGGCACGCAAATGATACATGCACGCGAATGCATCATGCTTCTCCCGTGTGATAATACACCTTCGAGATTGTTTTATGGCAACAGGTTTAGAGCTGCCTCATTCTTACCAGTGACTGTGTACCGTGGATGGACTGTCACTTATTTCAGTAGTCCCCTGCTGGTTGACTTTTAGGTTGTTTCCAATCTTTAGTTATTGTAAATAATGCTGATATGAGGTGGCTTTCAAACCTTTTCAAAAATCTGGTTCTGCTGTAAGAAAAACTCATTTTACACCACCACCCAGCCCTCACAATATAACAAAAGTTTCATGAAGTCTTACCTACCCTTACTGTATGTAACGCACTCTGATAGTTTGTATTTCATTCTGTTCTATTTCATTTTTTAAAAATTCTGGTTGTAATCCACTAAATTTATTTCATAGACTGACTAGTGGCCCATGGCCTGGTTTGAAAATGCGTTGCACGTGCTTCTTTATGTGGGTGTAAGTGTGTGCAGATAAGTTGCCAGAACTGACTGAAGGTTATGTGCATCACCAGGTCACCCTCTATAGAAATTGTACAAATTTGTTCTCCCACAAACAATCCATGAAAGGGCTTGTTTCCCCTTAACCCACACCAACAGTTTATTATTAGACATGTAAAAACACCTTTGTCACTCTGACTGGTAAAGAATGGCATCTCATTATGTTGAATATCCATGTGGCATATTTTGGGTCATCTTTATGCCATTTAGTAAATTCATCTTTTTCCTACATGTTAGAAATATACCAAGTGTATATGTGTATCTAGGCCTGTTGACCTCTCTGTTCTCTTCCATTGGTCTGTCTATCCGTATGCCAGTACCAAACTTGTAATTGCTATGGCTTCATACCATGTTGTGGTATCTGATAGGCTAGTCCCCACTTACCTTTTTAACTTTTTTTTTTTTTGGCTGTCTTCACACATTCACTTGTACCATATGAACATACATATACTTCCTTTTTAATGTTCTTATTTTTCTTCACATCCCAAAGTCTTCTGGCTGAAATCCTATTGCCCATATCTGATGCTTTCCACCACTGCAGAATTCTTTAGTACCAACACTGCAGTGTGCGTGACGGACAAAAGAGCCTGTTATCCCTGTGTGACTAGACGTGGGCCTGTCAGCTTGCTTTTTGGGTTATTGTTCTTATCCCAGAGGTGGAGCTGCGTTCTTCCATTCTGAGGGACGTACTTCAGGACATTGGGCCCTTTGAAAGAGCCTTCAGACCACAAGGGTACCTTTCTAGTGAATCAGAACACCAGGGTGCACCGCCCATGGGGGGTGATTTTCTGGAGCAGACAGCTTGCTTCCCATGTGTGCTATTTATCCAAGGCAAGTCATGCTGCACCGAGATAGTCACTTGAGGTTTGCACCGAACAGGATAATGGTTTCTTTTCCCTAGAGCTGTTTAATCAGCAACCTTGGAACAGATGCAGGCAGGCATGATCTAGTGTGACAGCTCATTAGCTAGGGGTTGATCTAAAATACTGTTCAAATGGGCAAGGAAAGGCCTGCGTATGGGATATGTGATTTGCAGAATTTGAGATTCATCCAAAGAGGGAGAATCTGCCTAAGATGCCTCTGTCTAAAAGCTAGTATGTGCCAGGTGGGTTTGTTTCATTCCAGGTAGAGCACAGGGAGCTTATGTGACCAGGCAGTGTCCACCATTGGGCAACACATCACACTTCCCTTGGCGTCTTGCCTCCTCCCTCCCCGTCTGGCACAGACTCTCCCATCAGCCGTTTGGGCACCTGGGGACTTCTGAGCCCACAGCGTCATCCAGCAGACCGTCTGCGGAGGTTCCTTCCTGTGAGGGCCGCACTCGAGGGGGTGTATTGGGTGGGATCGTATCACTGGAATGAGTGAACATCGTTAGAGGGAGCTCCCACAGCTATGCGTGTGACCGTGTGGCTCGCCGCTGAAAAATGCTGCTCACATAGCAGAACTTCGATGCAATCCTTTTTGGATTTCTAAGGGGAAATTTTAAGACCGATAGGAGGAATAGGCTGGGGTTGAATAAGTTTGGTTCTTATTTTTAAATTAGCTCATCTTTAGAAAACAACTGAATTTAGAAGATTCTTCTGTAAGGCCCCAAAGGATTTCTTTCTGCCTCCCCGCTCTTGGCTCTTATTTGTGTCTCTCCTCGTGTTCTGAGCTTTTCAGCAGCCCTTGTGGGTCATCAGCCGAGGACCATCAGCTCGGGGCCCAGAGCTGGGGACTGGGAGTTATGAGCTGGACTCTTGAAGGGGCCAATACTAAACCGAGCCGTTGCCATTTCCTAGGAGCCTTGACAGGCTCAAACATCTCTGGGTACCCGGGGATTTGACTGTCATTGTTCTGATCCTTTCCCAAAGTTGTAACCCTCTGTTGACATAGCGGAATTGAAGATTGATTTTTCTTCACCACCTTCTGCCTAAAGTTCTTAGTTCTGAATGTGTCCACACCTCATTGACTTCTATGAGATGCCCCTGTCACGTTCCTCGATTCCTTCTAGTCCTTAATAGAGTCTTTCCTTTTCTTGAAAGAAATTTGCCCAGTTGACATTTATTTTCATCGTCTGCTGAAGTGACAGATCCAAGGCCCTAAGCTTCAGCAGAGTTGCAGGAAGGGACCATTTACACAGCCTCTTAGATGTTTAAGGTTTACCCGCCCTGACAGTGGCTCAGCAGGCGTAGGCCTCCTGGTGAAAAGCCGAGCACATGGCTAACCTGCTCTGGTGGAGGGGCTTTGGACCGTTCTTGTGTACTGCGAGGCTTGCCTTCCTGCTGGTGTGTGAGCAGCTCTCGGGGGAACTTGCTTCCTGGCTGAGCAACCTGTAAACAGTATGTCTGAGGTGGGACTCCCGGGCCCAAAGCAGCCAAAGGTTGCACAAGTCTAAGCTCCGTTAGGCCTGTCAGTGTGGCTGTCAAAAGAAACGCTGTTTCTTTTCTTTCTTTCCTTTTTTTTTTTTTTTTTTTTTTTTTTTTTGAGACAGGCTGTCACCCAGGCTGGAGTACAGTGGCACAATCTCGGCTCATTGCAACCTGCGCCTCCCAGGTTCGAGCGATTCTCCTGCATCAGCCTCTCAAGTAGCTGAGACTACAGGTGCCCACCAGCATGCCCGGCTAATTTTTGTATTTTTAGTAGAGATGGGGTTTCACCATGTTGGCCAGGCTGGTTTCGAACGCCTGACCTCGTGATCTGCCCTCCTTGGCCTCCCAAAGTGCTGGGATTACAGGCGTGAGCCACTGCTCCTGGCAAAATGCTGTTTCTAAGCGTTTCTTTGACAAGTCCCATCCTTCAGGTTCATGCATGATTAGGGAGAGGCAGCAGCCCTGACTGAGCACCTGAGTGTTCATGGAACCAGGTGCATAGCGTAATGACATGCCATTCATGACACTACTTTCTTCCCTGAACATGCCATGAATTCCTGATGATTACACAGTTCCCCAACAAGTGCTGCTCAAAACCTGGAACTAATCAGAAGGAAGCACCAGCCTTGACTGTTAGTGGGACACGGGGAAGATGGCTGTGAACCAAATATGCGGTGCCTTTGGGGGAGAATGGTTTTAGTATTTAGTAAGTGTCAGTATGTAAGTTTTATGTTGAAAAATGAACTAAGTCACAACAAGGTCTATAAATTTAATTATTGAAAAGGATAAAGTTGGGCCATTCAGTGAAACCTCCTGTAACTGAAGTCTCTAACACAGTAGCCAATGGGGGAATCAAATGAGCCCAAGAAGAAATTCTGCGTAAACTAGGACTTAGGGGAGCCCTTAGCATTCCACTTTGGAGTGAAGGAACCCGATCCGCCAGTTGGGGAACGCTCCTTTGAGGCCCATGTGCTTCCTGCTCCGACGGGAGAGAGGGATAATGAGACTTGCTCCCAGGTGCCCTGCCCTGGAGCCCAGCAGGCCACACGGGCTCTTTGACTCTGTACTGTGCCAGTGATTTCCAAGATGGGAGTGGTGCTCTGATTGCAGGAATGTCTTCTTGGAATGGCTTTTCTCACTTCTCTAGAGTCCTTGGTAGGGAGCACATCATCAGCTGAGCTAACGTGAGAACAGGGGTTGGAGCACTTGCCACCGGCAGTGAAGTAATCGGACAGCTGACAGTCTTTTCCAGAGGGTCGGGGATTGGGAGCTGACCCCAGGTCCCGCTCCGTTTTCTTTGTGTGCAGCACTTGTGTTGGTGACCAGCAGTGAAGAGAGTGCGTGGACGTCACCGTGTGGTTATGAAGCTAACGGCAGCCCTCAGCGGTGCCGACTTCCGCTCCCCGACACATTCCTGTGTGCACGTTCGTGGGTCTGAGCGTGACTCATGGTGTGTGTCCCTAGAGCAGTTCACTCAGAGGCTTCTCTTCCGTGCTCTCAAGAATAAAAGCAGGGCCGCCACATCCTGATAAGTCTTGCCATTCAGCGGTCCTGTCTTGCAGAGGGATAAGCCAGTGTCCCCAGGCCACAGTCCTTACACCTTGAGCAAGTTCCCCAGAGTGAAGCAATCTTTCTAGACAAGTTTTGCGTTTCTCAGAATTTTATTTTAGTGATATTGTTACCAAAAGATTGTAACCCCAAAATGTGTGCCTTTGGCTTGCCTGTTTTAGGAATTCACTTGTGTTATCTCCCCAAGCAAAACAAAAGAAAGAGAAACCTTCCTGTTGACGAATCCTTTTTACCTTCTTGAGAGTTGTCAATGGGACTAACTTGTATATTTCTTTGCTACCTTCTTTTAAAAACATTTTTCTTATTTACTATTACAGACGTATAGTAATGGTGCCTGACATAACCCACAGCCAAAGGCCTTGGCCTTGCTGTGTGTATTTCAGGCTTTTTCTTCCCTTTTCTTTTTTTTTAAGTAATAAGATATTACAGTTATAGCTGAAGCCTGATCCTGTTCCCTTTTCTCCCTCTCGTCCCAAGCATCACCACTGTCCCAAATCTGCTCCTTCTTCCCACATCTTTGCAGTTTGGGCAAGTCTTCTGAATGCCTAGTCATGATTTTAAGTCTTCTTTCCACCTTCAGTGATGGTTGGCTACCCTGAGCAAGCCAGTAGATTCAGTTATGTGCCTGGAGTCCAGATGTTTTATGTGGATTTTTCATGTGGAATTGTTTTTGGTAAGGAAGTATTCCCTTGCCACACCAATGAAAAGAGAAGAAAACAGGTAGCTGGCACCCACTGCATTGTTGCTTTCTGCCAGCCTGCTCCTTCTCCTTCCTCTCCAGCTCTGTTGTGTCCAGATGCAAACTCTACATGCAGGGTTTGACCCTAGGTCCTCACCTGCTGTAGCTCTCACACGGGGACCGAATGCTCTTGTGTCGTAAATCCTTCCTTTTGCTTCCTCGTGTTGGATGTGTTTAGTGGTTTTCATCTTCTGGTCACTATTTCATTCTAGGTTTATCCCCTTTAAATTATAAATTAAATGAATTCTTCGCTTTTCCTACCAGCAACTACCCACCAAGTTCTACCATGTGTTAATTTAATCAACAGTTATTTATTGAGTACTTATTACATGTTGATTTCCTGTTCTCAACATTGGAATGAAGACAGCTTAGGGTTCTGCTTTCATGAAGCTTGCATGCTCTTAGGTGGAGACAGACAGTAATTAAGCAGATAAACAGGAAATTATGAGCTAGTAGTGGGTCCATTGCTGAGAAGTAAGACAGGTGGTAGGATGACCCGTGCCGTGTGATGACTTTAGATTGGGTGGTTGGGGAAGACTTCACGGACCTTAAAACTGGCCTTGGAACGGGAAGCGAGAACTGGGCACGGAAGATGAGGGAGTGGGAGATTTCAGGCAGAGGGAGCAGCAGCAGGTACAGAGGCCCTGAGGCCTTTTATTGTGTCTTTTTGCTTGAGCGAGTAACTTAGAGCACACGTAGAGAAAGACAGCAGAAGTGATCTTCTAAACACTCTGTCCTGTGTGGAGAGCTCCTTATGTGAGATTTTGCTGTGTAGTGAATTAAGGCTCAGCCAAACTGGCTCACGTGAGCTCTTTGAGCTTGCCTGTCTCTGTGGGCTGAAGGCTGTTCCCTGTTTCCTTCAGCTCTACGTCTCCTCCGAGAGCCGCTTCAACACCCTGGCCGAGTTGGTTCATCATCATTCAACGGTGGCCGACGGGCTCATCACCACGCTCCATTATCCAGCCCCAAAGCGCAACAAGCCCACTGTCTATGGTGTGTCCCCCAACTACGACAAGTGGGAGATGGAACGCACGGACATCACCATGAAGCACAAGCTGGGCGGGGGCCAGTACGGGGAGGTGTACGAGGGCGTGTGGAAGAAATACAGCCTGACGGTGGCCGTGAAGACCTTGAAGGTAGGCTGGGACTGCCGGGGGTGCCCAGGGTACGTGGGGCAAGGCGTCTGCTGGCATTAGGCGATGCATCTGCCTGGAAGTCTACCTCCTGCCTGCTGTCCGAGGGCTTCATTGGCGCCACGGAATTGACTTTTCCGTCTTATATCATTCCTGTGTCTTTGTAGGAGTGGAATCATTCTCATAGTCCGAGTGTGTTTCCACATATGGTGAGAGCTGACAAGCATGGAGGGGTTTTGGTGTAAAAAGATTAGTCATTTGGAGAGGTTTTCTCATTTTATGGCAAGGTTCTTTTAAAGCCGTGGATTTCCATGCTGTTCGTGCGGCATGGAGATCACTTCCTACCGAGAGTTAAGGAGGAAAAAAAGATCTCTGAGTTTTGAAAGAAGATTTAACCAAAATGCATTTGACTCTTCTGTGGATTTTTGTTGGCTGATTTGGAAGGCAGGTGCCCTGGGCATCCCCAGTGGGTTCCAATTCTGCAGCTGCCCAGACTCCTGCAGGCAGAGGTGGAAGTGTCCCCGCTAGAAAGGCATCCAGGAAACTCGCTTTTGACCAACTCAGATACAGTCTGGTCTTTCTTGTTAACTGGGACTTTACCCTCTCCACTAATGAATAGTGTTTGTAGTTTCCAGGCAGGTTTTTTTCTTCTTTTGAAGTTCTTTGAAACCCTTAGGACGCCAAGGGAAGGAAGTTTTCATTTTCAGCCCTTTGCATTCTTCAAAATGTGATCCAGGCTTTTCCCTGTGGCGAGGGTGTCCCCTAGTGTTGACTTACATTATTTCCACTTGTTTTAAATGAACTTTGATTACCTTGACCTGTGCACAGAAATCAAGAGAGGCAGCCCCTTTTTAGAGCTGTTAGAAAAGAACTGAAACATCCACCTCTGGGAAAAATAGAGTTTAGTTTGTGCATGTGTCTCAGAAGTCAGGTGCACACATTGAGACTGGTGCAGCCACATGCCTGCCTTTTAGGGACTCCTTGACTGACCTGATGCCTTCACCCAAAGGCATAGTGAAATGGGAAGTATGATTTCTGACTGGTATGAAGTGGCTGCTTTAGAGAAAAGATCACATTCTTTAGTCCTAGAAACCAAAGGTGGCTTCCTGATGCTCTTATTCAGCACGTGCCTGTCTTTGAGGCAGGACTGGCACTGGGGTGGGGGCATGGTTTGGGGTTACCTTAAGGACCCTGGATATTTCTCAGATAGGACTTTTTCTTTTCTTTTTTTGAGACGGAGTCTTACTCTGTTGCCTAGGCTGGAGTGCAGTGGCATGATCTCAGCTCACTGCAACCTCCGCCTCCCCAAATTGGCGATTCTCCTTCCTCAGCCTCACGAGTAGCTGGGATTACAGGCACCCGCCACCACACCCAGCTAATTTTTGTATTTTTAGTAGAGATGGGGTTTCGCTGTGTTGGCCTGGCTGGTCTCAAACTCCTGACCTCAAGTGATCTGCCTACCTCAGCCTCCCAGAGTGCTGGGATTATAGGCATGAGCCACCACACCCGGCCCTGGACTTTTTCTTAATTGAATAAATATTTATCAAGTTCTTCACTTCTATTTGACGGTTCCTGGGCTCAACACTGGATTAGAAAATGAATGGGACAGAGTTCTTCATCTGAGACATAGGGTGGTCCAGGTAGTAGGAGGAAGAAGGATTGCAGCGCAGCAGTCCTCGGGACACCACCAGGGGGTGAACGAAGGAGGGACGGGGGAGCTGTGCAGGTGCCCCAGCTCCTTGGGTTGCACAGGGTTGAAGACCAGACCCAAGAAATGGGGCCTTGACCAGCTCAGCAAACTGAGAATGGCCTAGATTTCAGCACACTTTCACCAGGATTTGTCAAATGAAGGAAGATTCCAAGCGCAAAATACCCTAGATTTCAACCAGTAAAAGCTTGTCTGAAAACTTCCAAGATCGGGTTGTACAACTTGACATTTGAGGAAACGCTACTTCAGTAGATGGTGCTGTGGCATTGTTTTCTGAACAACTGAAGGAGGAGACTCCAGAGAAGGGTACCTGCTGGAGACCTGTGTGGTTTGTGGGGTGGGTTTCTTATATCACTGAATCTAAAGTGGGTGCCTTTCAGAATGTGCTTTACTAATAATGTGTTACTCTGCTTTTAATTATACTTCTAATAATTTTTCCCAAGAGCCTAATTAACTTACGATCTCACAGTTGGTAAAGAATTACAGGATGTCATTGCGTGGATTTCTGTGGGCAGTCACCCGGAGTGGTATCTAATTAGGGAAAAGGCAGTATGTCCCTTTCTGGAAGTGTGTTAACTGAAAATACGGTACTAAGCAACTGCTAAATAAATTAGCCCTCCTTCCTCCTGGCCGTGCGCAGAAACATCCCTGCAGTATGTTGCCTATTTGTCAAATAAGATTAGTGTAAATATGGGGCATTTACCTTTGCTATAGAAGCTGAAATTGCCAGGCACGGTGGCTTACGCCTGTAATCCCAGCACTTTGGAAGGCCAAGGCTGGTGGATTGCTTGAGCCCAGGAGTTAAAGACCAGCCTGGGCAACATGGCAAAACTCTGCCTCTACAAAAAATACCAAAAATCAGCCAGGCGTGGTGGTGCGTGTGTATTCCTAGCTACTTGGGAGGCTGACATGGGAGGATTACCTGAGCCCGGGAGGTTGAGGCTGCAGTGAGCCGTAATCGTGCCACTGCACTCCTACCTGGGGAGCAGAGTGAGACCCTGTCTCCAAAAAAAAAAAAAAAAAAAAAAGCTGAAATCCTTGAGTGGATTCTAAATCATGGCAGTGGCTAACATTCAGCTTCATCGTGCCCTTGCTGTGTGCCTGGCAGAGACCTCTGTGCTTACTACATGTCGCATCTCATTGAATCCTCACAACCTTAAGATCCTTCCAGGTTGAGCATCCCGGACCCTAAAATCCCAAATCCTAAATGCTCCCAAATCCAAAACTTTTTGAGCACCGGCATGCAGCTCAGAGGAAATGCATACTGGAACATTTCAGATTTTGGATTTTCTAATTTGGAGTGCTCATCTGGTAATATAGTGTGGATATTCCCCAATCTGCAAAGATCTGAGCTCCGAAACACTTGTAGCCCCAAGCCTTTCAGTTAAGGGACATTCACCCTGTATCAACATTTTAATGCTGAGAAAATGGAAGAGAGAGAGGTTAAGTGACTGACCTGGCATCACACAGCCAGGAGTGGCAGCATCAGGATTTGAACTGGGGCACTCAGCTCCAAAGCTCAGCTCTTCTTTTTTAAAATTGAACCCAGATTCTTATTTCTCAAATACCATAAAATATTTACATAAGCCACAGTTATGCCTTTTAAAAAAAAATCACCTTTTCCCCCCACTCTCCCATTTACTTCCTTTGCAGTTTGTGGCTACGATCTACCTTCCTCTTCAAAACCCTTGAAAAATCCTTGCAGCCTTGCCCAAGCGTCCTTCCCTCAGCCGATTTTTGGGCCTCAGTTTCCTCCCATCCAGCCTGTTTCCTATCGCTGGCTTCTCCAAGGGCAGAGCCAGAGTCCTCTTTTGCCAGCAGGGGGAGCAAGGGCCTACTTTTAACCGCAACTCCATAGTGAACAAGTCAAGCAACCTTGGGTCATTCATATACCTTCCAGGCAGAAGGAAGACAGAAGAGAACAGGAAAAAAGCAGGACACTAGGCTGACCCCTGCAGATGGGAAGCTGGAATTACAGCAAAGGCTCATTGATTGGGAACTGCACCCTTGAATTTTGATAGTATTGGGCAGGACATAGTCTTGCTATCTGTGTTAAAGGGAGGACGTGCTTAAGAAAACCAACAGTCAAGTACAAGAAGCTCTAATTTTTTTTGAGGTGGGGGAACGGGGTCTCACTGTGTTGCCCAGCTGGCCTCAAACTCCTGGCTCAAGCAGTCCTCCCACCTCAGCCTCCTGAGTAGCAGGGATCACAGGCTTGTGCCACTGTGCCCAGCTAAGAGGCTGCAATTTTTTAATGAACTGTATTCAGAGTTTGTACATCAGTGTCTTTTTTTTCTATGAATCAGTTCTCTAAGTAATAGAATTTGGAAAAGACCGCTGGTGATCTAGCTGTGGCATTTAGATTGACTCATGAGCTAACTGACAAATTTACTACTTAAACAGTGGAAAATAATGTGCAGGATATATTTTTTTGAATAGGTTGTCCCACCCTCGAGTTCTGTGTCTTTCCTGAGTCCGCATATGTGAACCTTGTTTTAACCAGGTGACAGCATCCCATAGGCACGGATCTCTGTCTTCTGTTGTCCACATCATGTGTCTTGGCAGTTGTTCCTTATTGATATACATAAGGTTGTCTTGTTTTTGTATGGATATATTTTAACATGTACCAGTGTTCAGTGGGCCTTTCTCTTATTTCCAATATTTTGCTGTTCTAAACAGCAGCACAGTGATTCCCCTCATTTGCATGTATGTGAAACTATCCTGGTGGGTCCGCTTCCAGAAACTACTGGATCAGGGACCATGTGCATTTATGGCCTTGACCATACTGCCAGAGTACCTTCCAAGGAGTTTGTGTCATCAATTTGCACTCCCCAGTGGTGTTGAGAGAGTGCCTGTTTCCTCCACCCAGCACAGTGTGTTTCGGTTTTATTTCTCCCAGGAAATGGGTGTTAGTTGGGGAGCTCCAGAAAGAAGCCGAGAAGAAGGGCAGTCGTACCCTTGGCAGTTGTACGCAGTGGCTCTCTGGCCGCACAAGGAGGGCTCGGAGCCTGCTGTTGCCAGGTTGCACTTGCTCTTGCAAGACAGGCATTCCTTGCAGTGGGTTCTCCTCTGGCCAGGGAGATGAGTTCTGGGGGCTCCTCTACGAGGTGGTCTCTCCTGGGCTTTCCTCTCGAGCTTCAAGTCCCACCTCTGGAGTGTGAATCGCCTTCCTCAGTCTAACTCTATCCCTCCAGTGGTTTTTTTTTTTTTGCTTTTTGTTTTTGTTTTTGTTTTTTTGAGACAGAGTCTCACTCTGTCACCCAGGCTGGAGTACAGTGGCGTGATCTCGGCTCACCGCAAGCTCCACCTCCCGGGTTCAAGCAATTCTCCTGCCTCAGCCTCCCGAGTAGCTGGGACTACAGGTGCCTGCGACCACGCCGGCTAATTTTTTGTATTTTTAGTAGAGACAGGGTTTCACCATGTTAGCCAGGATGGTCTCGATCTCCTGACTTCATGATCTGCCCTCCTCGGCCTCCCAAAGTGCTGGGATTACAGGCGTGAGCCACCACACCCAGCAGTCTCTTCAGTGTATTTAGCTGTGTTGATCCTGATTCATCTGATGGGTGAAGGAATATTGGAAATAAGGATAATCCCTGTGGTGTTTCACTGTGCCTGTAACCTCTCTCACCTAGCATTTGGTTAACCAGAAACAGATGTGGAAACTGATCTATCTGTAGATAATGGCCCTGCTCAGGGAGGGGGTCCCTGCTGAGAGCGAGACATTGAAAGCCTGCTACACAGAAACTGCTGGAAGGCCAAGCCATTTCTTTTTTCTTTTTCTTTTTTTTTTTTTTTTTTTTTCAGACAGAGTTTTGCCCAGTAGTTCAGGCTGGAGTGCAGTGGCATGATCTCAGTTCACTGCAACGGCCTCCCAGGTTCAAGCAATTCTTCTGCCTCAGCCTCCTGAGTAGCTGGCATTACAGACTCCTGCCACCACGCCCGGCTAATTTTTGCATTTTTAGTAGAGACACGGTTTCACCATGTGGCCAGGCTGGTCTCGAACTCCTGGCCTCAAGTTATCTGCCTGTCTCGGCCCCCCAGAGAGGCCAAGCCATTTTTAAAAACAGTGTTCTTTTTCATGCTGTAGAATACCTGTGCTTGGGGGTGAGCAAAAAGGAGGAAACTGATTAGAAAATACCTATGAGGGCCGGGTGCAGTGGTTCATGCCTGTAATCCCAGCACTCTGGGAGGCCGAGGAGGGCAGATCACAAGGTCAGGAGATCAAGACCATCCTGGTTGACATGGTGAAACCCCGTCTCTACTAATAATACAGAAAATTAGCTGGGCGTGGTGGCAGGTGCCTGTAGTCCCAGCTACTCGGGAGGCTGAGGCAGGAGAATGGTGTGAACCTGGGAGGCGGAGCTTGCAGTGAGCCGAGATCGCGCCACTGCACTCTAGCCTGGGCGACAGAGCAAGACTCCGTCTCAAAAAAAAAAAGAAAATACCTGTGAGATGTTGAGTCTGGGAGAATGTATCTGTGAGAAGACAAACAACCCTAGTATTCATTAAAGAACCAGCCTTTGTTTTCTACAAGCTATCTGTTCGGTCTACTCAGGAATAGAGATAAACTGCCTTAATAGTAATAAAAGCAAGCACCGCTGAGTGAGTGCTGGCCTCATGCCAGGAACTGCTCTTGGCACTCTGTGCACAAGGGAGATACTGACATTCTTTCTGTTGTGCAGATGAGAAAACAGGCTCAGAGAAGGTGAGTAACTTACCATGGTCACACAGCAGCAGAGCTAGGTCAGTATAATCCACAAGTCATTCTCTTAACCGCTCCGCCGTACCGCCCAGAATGTTCATCTGCATCTGGGCCAGCCTCGTCAGTCCGTGCAAAGAGGCCAGTTGACCCATCTCCCTCCCTAACAAGCACAGAAGAGACCAGGCTGAAAATTCATAGCTTTCACTCAAAGTGTTTCCTTCACCTCATTCATCTGAGTTAGCTTTATTTTACTATATAAAGAGAATTTTCTTCAGCAAAATGATAGGAATTTTTTTAATGAAAGTAAAGGAATGTCACAGAATTGCGTCAGGGATATTTCCAGTTTAACACAACTACAAACGTAGGCTGTTTTGTTGTTGTTGTTTTGGTTTTCTATTTTGAGATGAAGTCTCACTCTGTCGCCCAGGCTGAAGTGCAGTGGTGCGATCTTGGCTCACTGCAACCTCCTGCTCCCGAATTCAAGTGATTCTCCTGCCTCAGCCTCCTGAGTAGCTGGAACTACAGGCATGCGCTACCACGCCTGGCTAATTTTTGTATTTTTAGTAGAGATGGGGTTTCACCATGTTGACCAGGTTGTTCCGGAACTCAGGTGATCCACCTTGGCCTCCCAAAGTGTTGGGATTACAGGCATGAGCCACCACACTCGGCCAGCTGTTGTTAATAGTTAAAATTATAAATTGGACAAGGTCTGATTCCAGCAGGGGGAGACAAATTCACATTGATTTTTCTATAAGAAAAGGAATTATTTGTACTTTCCTCCCTTGTGTGTTTGTGTGTATGTAAGAGAGACAGATGAGAAGAGGGCTGCCTTTGAGAGCCATGTTCCTTTTGCATGTACATACCTCTCAAGATTATTACATGGGTCTTTTAGAAGAGGGTCAGTAGCTATAAAAGCAAATGATATTTATGAAATGATTTCATTGTATGTGGTTTATTATGTAGTCTTCAAAACAGAAAAACCCCACTTGCTTCGAAAGCTTCCTTTGAGAGCTACTTTTTAACCATATTGTTGATCAAGCAAGATTCTTAAAGCCCCAGTCCTATACGTGAGCAGCATTGAATCCCCGGATACTGGCAGGCGTTCACTGTCCAGCCTTTGACATTAGCATGTCACCCTGGTAAATCAGAGCACTCCATGCCAAAAAACAGCATGGTCTGCTGAGCACATTAAGGAGCAGAGAGGGCTCAGAAGAATTAAACGGCCAATGGGGTGGTGACAGAGGTGAGCTCTTTCCCCCTCGGACAGCTTGGCATGGTGACTACCAATGAGGTTTAATTGACATTAAGAGCAGCTCACCATTTTTAAAGAGCGATAAATTGTTTCCAAGTTTCAGCCTCACGGAGCCCTGAGCTAAGAGATAATGGGCTGACACATAGCCTCATTGGTCACGCTTCACTTGTAAACAGGATTGGCCAAAGCAAGAAGGCTGTAAGTAAAGGTTGGCCCGTCCTCTGGAAGCCTCCCCCACAGCAGGGTGGGGAACTGGGGCAGCCATAGCAAGCAGGACCATCAGGACACGGTGTCTCCCAAACGGGCCGGAACATACAAGGTTCTACGTTTAATAGAAAGTTGATCAAGCCTTCCTCTTTGGGGAGCCTAATTTTTAAGCCATTCACTCTCTGTTCCCCTGCAGTCTTTTCTCTCCAAACTCTGTTGAAACTTGGAGGCATCTCGCTTCCTCCTTTGGCCTTTGTAGCCAGGTTTTCGCAGCAAACAGACCATATCATTTAACACCCACCTGCTTCTTGTTCTGATAGTCAGTTCAGTAGACAGTAGCATTTTTTAAGTCAAAAAGAGGCTTAGTGATGTAGGCCAAGGTCAAGGCTCTGTGTCATGGGGCTCTCCCCAGGGCTCAGTGCCACGGCACTTCAGACTTGACCCCAGACTGAAAAGATGAGAGGACCTGTAGAAGTCACGGCCTGTCTGTCCCGGGCCCATGCTCCTATCTTTTTCTCCCCCTTGGCATTTAGATACCATGGACTTGTTAAAATGTGACATGTACTGATGATCCTTATGAATTTGTTGGTAGGGGAGCTGCTGGTGAGGATTATTTTAGACTGTGAGTAATTGACCTGACAGACAGTGATGACTGCTTCATTAAGAGCCCACGACCACGTGCCAGAATAGTTCAGCATCCTCTGTTGCTACTGTACTTTGAGACATCGTTCTTCTTTGTGATGCAATACCTCTTTCTTGTCATGAGGGTCTCTTCCCTTAAATCAGGTACATTTCAGATTCTTCAGGTGATGTTTTTTAGGCTGAGTGTGTTAGCACCCCTTGGAAACCAGGTTCCCTGGGGAAAGTGTGTCACGTTTGTGGTGTTTGCCCGTATAGCTCTCCCACACCCCCACGAGCTCCAAGAGGTGGGGAAGCACATGTGGCCTGCCTAGCAGGCACCAGAAGCAGGTTGTCGGCACATGCAAGCCAGCTTTGCCCTGTTGCCTGGGGGAGAATTGAAAAGTTTGGCCCCAAAGGGGAAAATTCTTTCTGCCATCAAGTTGCTGGTCAGCTGTCATGGAACCTGTCTGCAGCAATGTGGCTGTCACAAAACGCAGCCCAGGACGAGTATGCGCTGAAGCTCCATTTTGCATTAACTAGTCAAGTACTTACCCACTGAAAAGCACTTCCTGAAATAATTTCACCTTCGTTTTTTTCCTTCTGCAGGAGGACACCATGGAGGTGGAAGAGTTCTTGAAAGAAGCTGCAGTCATGAAAGAGATCAAACACCCTAACCTGGTGCAGCTCCTTGGTGAGTAAGCCCGGGGCTCTGAAGAGAGGGTCTCGCGCCGCACCCCCAGGGTGACACAGGCGCTGGGGAAGACGCACGGGCGGCTCACTGCACAAAACCTCGTTGGAATATTTGTGCTCTGCCGACGTTCAGCCGCGGGTAAAATGAGGCCTGTATGGGATGGGTGTGTGCGTGTGTGCACATATGCACATGTATGTATGAGAGGGAGAATGTGATTATTTTAAGTGGATACCTAAAAGCAGTCAAATGCAAATCTGAAATTAGTTTCTGAAACTTGGGCATTTTCCAGAGTTTTCTCACTGAAGTGATTCTGTAAGTAGACACATAACCATCAGACCTAACCATTCAGGGGTAAACTGACGGTGGTGAAGGTCATTTGAGGTGGGGCCAGGTCTGCGTCTGAATTCTGTGGCAGCCTCTCCCTGCGTAAATTCAAGTTCACTGGCTTGAGAAGAAGAAAAGAGCCTGGCCATGTCCCTCCCACACGAGCACAGTCTCAGGATGCAGGTGCTTGGGACCATGTTGGAAGTTGGGCCCAGGACTGAGGAGCAGAGTCAGAATCCTTCAGAAGGCTTTTTCTTTAGACAGTTGTTTGTTCAGTTGGGAGCGGAGCCACGTGTTGAAGTCCTCGTTGTCTTGTTGGCAGGGGTCTGCACCCGGGAGCCCCCGTTCTATATCATCACTGAGTTCATGACCTACGGGAACCTCCTGGACTACCTGAGGGAGTGCAACCGGCAGGAGGTGAACGCCGTGGTGCTGCTGTACATGGCCACTCAGATCTCGTCAGCCATGGAGTACCTGGAGAAGAAAAACTTCATCCACAGGTAGGGGCCTGGCCAGGCAGCCTGCGCCATGGAGTCACAGGGCGTGGAGCCGGGCAGCCTTTTACAAAAAGCCCCAGCCTAGGAGGTCTCAGGGCGCAGCTTCTAACCTCAGTGCTGGCAACACATTGGACCTTGGAACAAAGGCAAACACTAGGCTCCTGGCAAAGCCAGCTTTGGGCATGCATCCAGGGCTAAATTCAGCCAGGCCTAGACTCTGGACCAGTGGAGCAGCTAATCCCCGGAGTAAGGAATATTTCATTTTTGAACCATTTTGGGCTAAGTGGAATATTAAATGAAGTTCATAAAAGGCGTCCTTCCTAATAATCACAGTCCCCTCTGAAAGAGAGTACTCATTGTTCCTCCGGGGCCAGCGCCCAGCAGTAATGGCCTCTTCCTGGGAGCCGCTGGCATTGCTTTTACGCAAACTCATGGGAACAACCAGTACATGGCTTTTGTTTTTTAGTGTGTGTGTCTTTTTTTCCTGCTTTCTCTTTATTATCTTTTCATTCTCCACTTAACTTGCTGTCCTCTGATTCAGGGATGTTTCCACAATTGTCAGAATTGTGTATGTGGAGGTCTAAATTAAGTGTCTTTGCTGTTTTAAACCCTGAAGTGTTTTGACCTTCAAATGTGCCACAATTATCTTGGTCTTCAAATTCTTTGCTGGTGGAAATGGCTTCCCAGCAAAGCGACGGCCTGTGCAGGACAGAGCCTGATGGGCTTTGCTGGCGTCTTTTATACGAGATGTTCTCCACACCACCACTGTGACCTTTCCTACCCAATTAGCTCAAGTATGAAACCTCTACATGAGATTTCATAGCAAGGAATAAGGGTAGCATGTGTGAAATGCTGGCGGCTCCTTGTAAGACAGATTTTCTATGCTCCATGAGAGCCTGATCCAGATACTCCTGGCTTTCAGGAAAGTGAATCCTCTGATGCTGCAAATTGAGATTGCTTGACTTCTGGTTTGCCTGGCACGGCCGGGTCCGTTCCTTCTTCATTCAAGCGAACTTAAAATGCTTTATCAAAATCCTCTTAGGCACAACTCTTCTGTATTTAATTTCACTCTTGTTGCTGACGATCAGGCTATCTCACGCAGCCATCACCTCAAGCTGCTGCCCCCTCTCATTCCGCTCTTCCCGTTTGCCTTGTGATTTCATGGTTAATGTTCATGAACCAAAGATTAGACTCCTACCTCCCTGGGAGAATCAGGAAGTGAGAGGAAGCAGATTATACAGGAGAGAGTTTTTTAGGATACATTTGGGTACACCTCAGGAAGAAAGAGGGAAGTAGGAAACACAGTTTGGGTAAAGAATGCCATGGGCTTTGTTTTATTTTGTCCCATCAAGTCTGAATAGGACAAGTGGAGATGCACTCTGATAGAAGTTTCTTGCAATCAAGGACTGGGCTCAGTGTTTGTCTCCGTGCCTGGCATAGAGTAGCAATAACTGCACTTACTATTCTCGACACTTCAATCAAAGCACTTAGCATATTAATTAATTACACTCACAGCAACCCTAAGAGGTAGGTGCCATTATTATCGTCTTCATTTTACGGATGAGGTAACTGAGTCCCAGGGTAATTAACTTGCTCCAGGTCATGAGGCCAGGGAGCCCGCTCCCAGCACCAGCCTCTCCCCATGTTGGGATCTCAGGGTGTGTTTGCTGAGAGGCTGGCACTGTGTTAATTGCCGTGGGCATTAATACAAACTTCCAGGGCATTGGACTCAATCTTTCCATTGTCAGCATTGCACCTTTGCTCAGCAGTGGTGGATTTGTGAAGTGGAAGGTTGGCCAGGAGCTCTCATGGGTGAACATTTTCCTTTCTTAGAGATCTTGCTGCCCGAAACTGCCTGGTAGGGGAGAACCACTTGGTGAAGGTAGCTGATTTTGGCCTGAGCAGGTTGATGACAGGGGACACCTACACAGCCCATGCTGGAGCCAAGTTCCCCATCAAATGGACTGCACCCGAGAGCCTGGCCTACAACAAGTTCTCCATCAAGTCCGACGTCTGGGGTAAGGGCTGCTGCTGCACTGAAGTGGTCCTTCCTGACTACAGGAGGGTTTTTTTCTGCCTCTTTCTTGCTCTTCCCTTTCTTTTCTTCCTTTCTTTTTGTTTTTTTGAGACGGAGTCTCACTCTGTCACCCAGGCTGGAGTGCAGTGGTGCAATCTTGGCTCATTGCAGCCTCTCCCTCCCGGGTTCAAGCGATTCTCCTGTCTCAGCATCTTGAGTAGCTGGGATTATAGGCACCCGCCACCACACCCAGCTAATTTTTGGTATTTTTAGTAGAGATGGGGTTTCACCATGTTGGCCAGGCTGGTCTAGAACTCCTGACCTCAGGTGATCTGCCTGCCTTGGCCTCCCAAAGTGCTGGGATTACAGGTGTGAGCCACTGTGCACAGCCACCCTTTTTTTTTTTTTTTTAACTGTGTATTTGGCCTGAGGTCCAAATATGGTGCACAGTGTATCTGCTGATCTGTTAAGTCTCCTCTATAAGCCCCCTCTCCATGTCTTTATTTCCCTTGCTGTTTATTGAAGAAACCATCCTTAGAGTTTCGTACGTTCTGGGTTTTGCTCATTGTCTCCCATGGTGTGATTTAATATGTTCCTCTGACTTCAGTATTCCTAGTAATGGGTGGCTGGATCTGGAACGGCCTCATCACATTCAGGTTTGACTGTTTCTCTTTTAGTAAGAGTGGATCAGGGGAGATGGTGTGCCCTTCCATCAGTAGATACAAAATGCTTCATTTATTTCCTTCCTTCCTTTCCTCCCCTCTCCCTCCCCTCCTCTCTTCTCCTTCTCCTTCCGACGGAGTTTCGCTCTTGTTGCCCAGGCTGGAGTGCAGTGGCACGATCTTGGCTCACTGCAACCTCTGCCTTCTGGTTTCAAGCGATTCTCCTGCCTCAGCCTCCTGAGTAGCTGGGATTATAGGCGCATGCCACCACCCCCGGCTAATTTTTGTATTTTTAGTAGAGACGGGGTTTTACCATGTTGGCCAGGATGGTCTCCAACTCCTGACTTCGTGATCCACCCACCTCGGCCTCCCAAAGTGCTGGGATTACAGGCGTGAGCCACCACGCCTGGCCCCAAAATGCTTGATTTGCTATCGTTTTTTTGTGGGGGTTTTTTTTTGAGTAATTTTTGGCAGTTACTGATATACAGTGCCTAGATCCAATAGTTTGCTAGGTATTGCCAGGTAGGAATTCTCTAATTCTGTCATTCCTGTTAAGTTACTAGTGGAAACTTGTATGAGGAGAAACAGTTCCTCATCTGTGTGGTTACTCAGTGGTACAGTTCATGTAGGAAGAGCAGGGTCAATTCTTGCTTCTTTGTTTTTATTTACCAGTTTTTAAAATAACAAATTACTTTTTCTTTTTTTTTTTTGGAGCCAGAGTCTTGCTTTTTCTGGGGTACAAAGTACAGGCTGGAGTTCAGTAGCATGATCTCGGCTCACTGCAACCTCCGCCTACCAGATTCAAGCAATTCTTCTGCCTCAGCCTCCCAAGTAGCTGGGATTACAGGTGCCTGCCACCACGCCTGGCTAAATTTTTTTGTATTTTTAGTAAAGATGGGGTTTCACCATGTTGCCCAGGCTGGCCTTGAACTTCTGAGCTCAGGCAGTCCACCTGCCTTGGCCTCCCAAAGTGCTGGGATTACAGGCGTGAGCCACCATGCCCTGCCACAAGTTGGTTTCTTTTTTTTTTTTTTTTTTTTTTTGAGACAGTCTCACTCTGTCGCCCAGGCTGGAGTGCAGTGGCATGATCTCAGCTCACTGCAAGCTCCGCCTTCCGGGTTCACGTCATTCTCCTGCCTCAGCCTCCCGAGTAGCTGAGACTATAGGCGCCCGCCGCCACACTCGGCCAATTTTTTTTCTATTTTTGTAGAGACGGGGTTTCACTGCGTTAGCCAGGATGGTCTCGATCTCCGGACTTCGTGATCCGCCCACCTTGGCCTCCCAAAGTGCACAAGTTAGTTTCTTAATACCCTTCAGTGGTGGCCAATTAGGTTTTTGCTGTCATTGGTGGTATTATGAACTCTCAGATTTATATATATCTGATGTGTTTCAGTCCACTGCGGTTATTTTCCCTGTTGATATTCAGATTGTCTCGTCTTTGGCCAGTGGGAACTTCACATTAGCTCCTAGTCATTTTGACATTAACTTTGTAGTTTTCCATGACGTCCGCGCCCTCAAATGACAAGCTATTGCAGGTTCATTCTGTGCCCCAGGCCTGAATCACCCATTTCTCTAAGGAATCTTATCCTTTAATGGGAAATGGAATTTTAAGGCAATAATCTCAGATTTCAAAACTTTCAAAGATTTCATAAGATTTTTATGAAATGTTTAGAGTTAGAAGGGGCTTTGGAGATAGTCTTGTGCACCCAGAAAGCAGTGGTGGCCGGTTAGGCACAGAGCTGGTTGGTCACAGAGCTAAGAGTTAACATGGCCAGCTGACTTCCGGCGCCAGGTTCCTTCTACCACATATCCCAGCAAGATGGTCACATTACCTAAAAGACCCCACAGGGTCTGAAACTCATCATCTGCCCTCCTCTAGCATGTTTGTGGGGTAAGTTTACTGAGTCTTGTTCTGTCCTGGTCTCCTTTTTTTTTTTTTATTTTTGAGACGGGGTCTTGCTCTGTCGCCCAGGCTGGCGTGCAGTGGAGCAATATCAGCTCACTACAACCTCCGTCTCCTGGGTTCAAGCAATTCTCCTGCCTCAGCCTCCAAAGTAGCCAGGACTACTGGCGTACACCACCACACCTGGCTAAATTTTTTTTTTTTTTTTGAGATGGAGTCTCGCTCTGTCACCCAGCCTGGAGTGCAGTGGCGCGATCTTGATCTTGGCTCACTGCAAGCTCCACCTCCTGGGTTCACACCATTCTCCTGCCTCAGCCTCCCGAGTAGCTGGGACTATAGGCATCTACCACCACGCCCGGCTAATTTTTTTGTATTTTTAGTAGAGACAGGGTTTCACCATGTTAGCCAGGATGGTCTCAATCTCCTGACCTCGTGATCCGCCCGCCTCGGCCTCCCAAAGTGCTGGGATTACAGGTGTGAGCCACCGTGCCCGGCCCCTAATTTTTGTATTTTTAGTAGAGATGGGGTTTCGCCATGTTGGCCAGGGTGGTCTTGAATTCCTGACCTCAAATAATCCTCCCACTTCAGCCTCCCAAAGTGCTGGGATTACAGGCGTGAGCCACCGCACCCAGCCTTGTCCTGGTCTTCTGATGATAAAGAGCCTGGTAAAATGTCAGAGCCTGGGCTGCTGCTGGGGCCATCCCTTCTGAGGTCTGCTGCAAAGGTAACTGATTTTAAATGTAGTGTAGTGAAATGCTACACATCTTGAACAGCCTTTCTCTTTCGGTTTTCTTTCAGCATTTGGAGTATTGCTTTGGGAAATTGCTACCTATGGCATGTCCCCTTACCCGGGAATTGACCTGTCCCAGGTGTATGAGCTGCTAGAGAAGGACTACCGCATGGAGCGCCCAGAAGGCTGCCCAGAGAAGGTCTATGAACTCATGCGAGCATGTAAGCCTTCCTCAGCCTGTTCTCACGAGTATATGTGGGCATTCCAGGAAATTCAACTGTGCAGGAGTGTGTACACAAAGTTGAAAGTTTTTCCATGAGCTCTCTCCATTCCAGTTCTTCAGATGCAGCTAATGTAGCCATTTGCTACCTATTGACCTTTATTTACAGATAAATAGTATGTGCGTGACTTGTCTTTTAAAGCAAAAATGGTATTGATAGATACCAAACCTGGGTGTATTCCTAAATACAGATTCCTGGGCCCTGCTTTCACAGACATTCTGCTATAGTAGCTAAGCTCATGAGGTGATTTTTTTTTTTTTTTTTTTTGAGACGGAGTTTCGCTCTTGTCGCCCAGGCTGGAGTACAATGGCGCAATGTTGGCTCACTTCAACCTCCACCTCCCTGGTTCAAGCGATTCTCCTGCCTCAGCCTCCCAAGTAGCTGGGATTACAGGCATGCACCACCACGCCCGGCTAATTTTGTATTTTTAGTAGAGATGGGGTTTCTCCATGTTAGTCAGGCTGGTCTCCAACTCCCAACCTCAGGTGATCTGCCTGCCTCGGCCTCCCAAAGTGCTGCGATTACAGGCGTGAGCCACCACGCCCAGCTGCGAGGTGATTTTTATCTGGTCGTTTTATACTGATTACATATGTGTTATCTGTACTATGCACACACAGGATGTTTTCATATATCTTATAAGGTATTTATATGGCCATTTCTTACACTGTTTTCCCACACATGTCTTTCCACGTCCATATATTCAGATCTCTCCCTCTCCCTACCTCTTATTTATGTATAGCTGCCCAGTACTCCATTTCACTCATTCATCCGGTCCTCTTTTGATGTGCATTTGGTTGTTTTACACATTTGTTTGGTTTTTGCCCTTATAAACAAAGCAGAAACAAATATTCATGTACACGAATCTCTGGGCACTTTGGCTGGTATTTCTAAAAGTTGAACTGTTGGTTCCAAGAACTGTGTGGGTTTTAAATTTTGATACATTTTACCAAACTGTTAAAAAAGGTTGTGCCATTGTATGCTCCAGTCAGACGCATATGGGAGTGACTGTTCCTGGTCCCCAGTACTAGGCTTTGTCAGTCTGTTTAGTCCTCATGTTAGTCTCATTTTCATGAGAATTTCTTTACTTCAGACTTTGATAACCGTGAAGAAAGAACAAGATAGAAGGTGAGCTGTTTGGCTTAGTAATTTTCTACACCTACTAGAGCGGGACTGGGAAAAATATATTTGTAAATGCAGTTCTTGCTGTCACTGTCTCTCTGGGGTTTTACAATCCATATTCCTGCCAGCATCTAACGTCTTTTCAAATTCTTAATGTCTATAACAGGACATGATGACATTCATCGTTTTGACTTGTTGCAGCAAAAGATGGTTAGCAGGATTGGAATGTTGCTTTCATTCTAGACTTTTCCTTGAGAACTGCTAGCCCCGTATTGCTAGCCAGATCTCATGGATGATCTGACTTGGGTTTCATCTGTCCAGGTTGGCAGTGGAATCCCTCTGACCGGCCCTCCTTTGCTGAAATCCACCAAGCCTTTGAAACAATGTTCCAGGAATCCAGTATCTCAGACGGTAAAGTACCCATCCCGGGGTACCTGCAGTGGGGTGAAAGGGCAGCCATGTGGGACTGCAGCCTGGGTCATTCGGTTCACTTCCTGGTGAAAGTTCACAGACCAGCCTGTCCTGAGACCAGAAAGCTGGGCAGAGGTGTGGAGTATTGTGCTTTCTTGTCTGCTGCAGCCCTGCAGAGTTCTAAGAAATGCTAAGGGCTGTTTCTCCGGTATCCACGTGCCTTTTCTTTAGTTGTATGCAGATGAGCACTGTTACCTTACAAAGAAAGAGAACCACCACACCAAGCCAACACCAGTACTGATGGCTGCTGGATTTTTGTTTCTGTCCCTGTATGATTCTTAGAAGTGGAAAAGGAGCTGGGGAAACAAGGCGTCCGTGGGGCTGTGAGTACCTTGCTGCAGGCCCCAGAGCTGCCCACCAAGACGAGGACCTCCAGGAGAGCTGCAGAGCACAGAGACACCACTGACGTGCCTGAGATGCCTCACTCCAAGGGCCAGGGAGAGAGCGGTAAGTCCCCCGCTTCCCCCAACCCCACTGCTCTTCCCTTCCCTGCCAGAGGCTACATTCAGGCCATCATAGGCCAACGGGAAGCTGTGAATGGAGCCCGCACAGAAGGGCAGCCATGGCCTTTGTCAATGGTTCAGCTTCGGAAGGAGGAAGGTTCTCCTCTCCCCACCTGCCTCCTATCCCCTCCCTCTGAGAGTCCCCGAGGAGCATAGGCTCCAGCAGTGAGTTCAGTCCTGTAGGCAGAGGTGCTTCTGAAGCCCGCCAAGGAGCTAGCCCATCTCCCACCTATTACCCGCGGCATCTGTGGTTGCTGTCTCAGAGCAGATTCAACAATAGTAAGCACCAGGCTGCGTGACAAGCAGCTCACGGTGAAGGCACTGATGTGAGAAGCTCGCTGCAGCCAGGTGGAACCAGGACACGCACATGGACAGAACCCGTGTCCTGGTGGTCTCTGGGAAGAGCATCTTTCTGGTGCCATTGCCTAGGCGAGCAAGGGAGTTGGGATCAGCTCAGGAGGGGGTCTCAAGACACTAGCAAAAATAATAATGGCCAACATTTATGTAGTGTGCCTACTACAGGCCAGGCTCTGTTCTATGTTCATGGTTGACCCCCAGAACCAGCAGTCCAGGTTCTGCTGCAGACCAGCTGAACAAAAGCATTGAGGGGTGTATTAGTCTGTTTTCATGCTGCTAATAAAGGTATACCCAAGACTGGGTAATTTATAAAGGAAAGAGGTTTCACTGACTCACAGTTCCACATGGCTGGGGAGGCCTCACAATCATGGCTGAAGGTGAATGAGGAGCAAGGTCACATCTTACTTGGCGGCAGGCAAGAGAGCTTGTGCAGGGGAAGTCCGCTTTATAAAACCATCAGATCTCGTGAGACTTATTCACTACCACGAGAATGTGGGAGAAACCTCCCCATGATTCATTGATCTCCACCTGACCCCACCGTTGACACGTGGGGCTTATTACAATTCAAGGTGAGATTTGGGTGGGGACTCAGCCAACCCATATTGGAGGTGGGGGGTAGGCCAAGCATCTGGGTTCACAGAGGATCCTGGGGATGGCAATGGTGGACTCCATTCTAATGGACTGCAGACTGGGTACATGTGAAGGGACTGGACAAAGCCCTACTTCTTGAAGATTTATGGTGGGATGTTTACTGACAGCAGAATCTATAAACCTGAGTTTTATCACGTACTCTCATTAGTAAAAAAAAAACAAAAAAAAACAGAACATGCAGCCCATATATATGGTATATAAAGTACGTATGTCCACTACTGTAGGAGTAGAGTGCGTATGTTATGTACCAAAACGCACATTTAAAAGGCTTGCATGCTAAATAAGTCCAAATTTGCAATACTTCCCGCCCCGCTGGGCCATCTCACTCACCTACTTGGAGGTTATGGCGTATAGACTCTCCAGAATCTTCCACCCTTCCTCCTCTTATCGGTTTTCCTGATTTCAGGTGGCTGAGCAGTAGGGAGGAGAGGCCTCTGGGAACGCTGTGCTTATTAAGAACCCAGTGATCAGCAGTCATGTTCATTTACGCCCGTCAGTTTCATCTGAGGGGTATTTTGATAGTGATCTCTTGGTGAGCCGAGGGTGTCAATTAACTGCTCAGTGCTGAAACTGAGTGGTGCATAATTCATTGCAATTTCACTCTCCTGGCCTCCTTCCACTAGATTAAAGTTTTGGGAGGGCTTTGGTGTTCCCTGATTCAGATGTCCCGCGTGCTGCCTTGGGTTCTGATAAATGCATACTGGTACCTCTGTTGAGTTACAGGTGCCAACAGAAAACCTCTTCTTGCAAGCTGACCTCTGAGGGAGAATTCTGTTACTCACTAGCAGGAGCTTGGCAACACCAAAAAGATTTCCTTTTTTTTTTGAGATGGAGTCTCACTCTGTTGCCAGGCTGGAGTGCAATGGCATGATACCAGCTCACTGCAACCTCCACCTCCTGGGTTCAAGCGATTCTCCTGCCTCATCCTCCTGAGTAGCTGGGACTACAGGCGTGTGCCACCACACCCAGCTAATTTTTGCATTTTTTAGTAGAGACGGGGTTTCATCATGTTGGCCAGGATGGTCTCTATCTCTTGACCTCATGATCCGCCCACCTCAGCCTCCCAAAGTGCTGGGATGACAGGCTTGAGCCACCGCGCCTGGCTACCAGAAAGATTTCTTATGAGCTATGATTCATATTTAAAGAGTGCCCATTAAAAAACTGTTGGCCGGGCGTGGTGGCTCACACCTGTAATCCCAGCACTTTAGGAGGCCGAGGTCAGCGAATCACAAGGTCAGGCTCCCGTGGCACAAGCTGGGGGCTGCCCCCACCCCATGCTCCCCAGAGGAGCACCCAAGCGTCTGGGCTCAGACAGGCCTGGATCTGATAACCGGCTCTGATGCCACCATCCCTGAGGCCAGGCAAGTCCCAGCCGGGCTACAGCACTGTTGTGAGAATGCAGATGAGGTTGTAAAGGTGAAGCACGTGTCACGCTTCTCTCAATAAAGCCATCATTGCTGTTAGGATTGTCATTAGGAAAGGCTTTGGGCCGGGTGCAGTGGCTCATGCCTGTAATCCCAGCACTTTGGGAGGCCAAGGCGGGTGGATCACCTGAGGTCAGGAGTTTGAGACCAGCCTAACCAACATGGTGAAACCCCGTCTCTACTAAAAATACAAAATTAGCCAGGCGTGGTAGCGGGTGCCTATAGTCCTAGCTACTTGGGAGGCTGAGGCAAGAGAACCATTTGAACCTGGGAGGCGGAGGTTGCAGTGAGCTGAGATCGTGCCACTGCACTCCAGCGTAGGCAACAAGCGAGACTCCAACTCAAAAAAAAAAAAAAACCACACACACGCTTTGGTCTCTTTCCCTGAAGATGGGAACAAAAAGCTGGACGGCCCTGGCCTCTTCATCCCTGCACTGGTTTACTTGAAGGCAGCAGCCCCCCACCCACCCACATCACTCTCTAGTGAGTATAAAAACGATGACAAGGCCAAGCAAAGGGTCAAAACCTGTGGCTCTCCTGCCAGCCAGCTAGCCGAGAGGCCTATGAGGAGCTCTGGGAATAAGGGGCTGTGTCCCACAGTGGGGAAGGGACAATGGGCCATTATGCACAGGAGATAAGAAGGGATGACCTTTGACAATTTTTTTGTTTGTTTGTTTGTTTGTTTTGAGATGGAGTCTCACTCTGTCTCCTGGGCTGGAGTGCAGCAGTGGCACTCTGCCTCCCGGGTTCAAGCGATTCTCCTCTGTCAGCCTCTAGAGTTGTCTGGAGTTGTCAGCTCTTCCCCTTGCGTTTCAGATCCTCTGGACCATGAGCCTGCCGTGTCTCCATTGCTCCCTCGAAAAGAGCGAGGTCCCCCGGAGGGCGGCCTGAATGAAGATGAGCGCCTTCTCCCCAAAGACAAAAAGACCAACTTGTTCAGCGCCTTGATCAAGAAGAAGAAGAAGACAGCCCCAACCCCTCCCAAACGCAGCAGCTCCTTCCGGGAGATGGACGGCCAGCCGGAGCGCAGAGGGGCCGGCGAGGAAGAGGGCCGAGACATCAGCAACGGGGCACTGGCTTTCACCCCCTTGGACACAGCTGACCCAGCCAAGTCCCCAAAGCCCAGCAATGGGGCTGGGGTCCCCAATGGAGCCCTCCGGGAGTCCGGGGGCTCAGGCTTCCGGTCTCCCCACCTGTGGAAGAAGTCCAGCACGCTGACCAGCAGCCGCCTAGCCACCGGCGAGGAGGAGGGCGGTGGCAGCTCCAGCAAGCGCTTCCTGCGCTCTTGCTCCGCCTCCTGCGTTCCCCATGGGGCCAAGGACACGGAGTGGAGGTCAGTCACGCTGCCTCGGGACTTGCAGTCCACGGGAAGACAGTTTGACTCGTCCACATTTGGAGGGCACAAAAGTGAGAAGCCGGCTCTGCCTCGGAAGAGGGCAGGGGAGAACAGGTCTGACCAGGTGACCCGAGGCACAGTAACGCCTCCCCCCAGGCTGGTGAAAAAGAATGAGGAAGCTGCTGATGAGGTCTTCAAAGACATCATGGAGTCCAGCCCGGGCTCCAGCCCGCCCAACCTGACTCCAAAACCCCTCCGGCGGCAGGTCACCGTGGCCCCTGCCTCGGGCCTCCCCCACAAGGAAGAAGCTGGAAAGGGCAGTGCCTTAGGGACCCCTGCTGCAGCTGAGCCAGTGACCCCCACCAGCAAAGCAGGCTCAGGTGCACCAGGGGGCACCAGCAAGGGCCCCGCCGAGGAGTCCAGAGTGAGGAGGCACAAGCACTCCTCTGAGTCGCCAGGGAGGGACAAGGGGAAATTGTCCAGGCTCAAACCTGCCCCGCCGCCCCCACCAGCAGCCTCTGCAGGGAAGGCTGGAGGAAAGCCCTCGCAGAGCCCGAGCCAGGAGGCGGCCGGGGAGGCAGTCCTGGGCGCAAAGACAAAAGCCACGAGTCTGGTTGATGCTGTGAACAGTGACGCTGCCAAGCCCAGCCAGCCGGGAGAGGGCCTCAAAAAGCCCGTGCTCCCGGCCACTCCAAAGCCACAGTCCGCCAAGCCGTCGGGGACCCCCATCAGCCCAGCCCCCGTTCCCTCCACGTTGCCATCAGCATCCTCGGCCCTGGCAGGGGACCAGCCGTCTTCCACCGCCTTCATCCCTCTCATATCAACCCGAGTGTCTCTTCGGAAAACCCGCCAGCCTCCAGAGCGGATCGCCAGCGGCGCCATCACCAAGGGCGTGGTCCTGGACAGCACCGAGGCGCTGTGCCTCGCCATCTCTAGGAACTCCGAGCAGATGGCCAGCCACAGCGCAGTGCTGGAGGCCGGCAAAAACCTCTACACGTTCTGCGTGAGCTATGTGGATTCCATCCAGCAAATGAGGAACAAGTTTGCCTTCCGAGAGGCCATCAACAAACTGGAGAATAATCTCCGGGAGCTTCAGATCTGCCCGGCGACAGCAGGCAGTGGTCCAGCGGCCACTCAGGACTTCAGCAAGCTCCTCAGTTCGGTGAAGGAAATCAGTGACATAGTGCAGAGGTAGCAGCAGTCAGGGGTCAGGTGTCAGGCCCGTCGGAGCTGCCTGCAGCACATGCGGGCTCGCCCATACCCGTGACAGTGGCTGACAAGGGACTAGTGAGTCAGCACCTTGGCCCAGGAGCTCTGCGCCAGGCAGAGCTGAGGGCCCTGTGGAGTCCAGCTCTACTACCTACGTTTGCACCGCCTGCCCTCCCGCACCTTCCTCCTCCCCGCTCCGTCTCTGTCCTCGAATTTTATCTGTGGAGTTCCTGCTCCGTGGACTGCAGTCGGCATGCCAGGACCCGCCAGCCCCGCTCCCACCTAGTGCCCCAGACTGAGCTCTCCAGGCCAGGTGGGAACGGCTGATGTGGACTGTCTTTTTCATTTTTTTCTCTCTGGAGCCCCTCCTCCCCCGGCTGGGCCTCCTTCTTCCACTTCTCCAAGAATGGAAGCCTGAACTGAGGCCTTGTGTGTCAGGCCCTCTGCCTGCACTCCCTGGCCTTGCCCGTCGTGTGCTGAAGACATGTTTCAAGAACCGCATTTCGGGAAGGGCATGCACGGGCATGCACACGGCTGGTCACTCTGCCCTCTGCTGCTGCCCGGGGTGGGGTGCACTCGCCATTTCCTCACGTGCAGGACAGCTCTTGATTTGGGTGGAAAACAGGGTGCTAAAGCCAACCAGCCTTTGGGTCCTGGGCAGGTGGGAGCTGAAAAGGATCGAGGCATGGGGCATGTCCTTTCCATCTGTCCACATCCCCAGAGCCCAGCTCTTGCTCTCTTGTGACGTGCACTGTGAATCCTGGCAAGAAAGCTTGAGTCTCAAGGGTGGCAGGTCACTGTCACTGCCGACATCCCTCCCCCAGCAGAATGGAGGCAGGGGACAAGGGAGGCAGTGGCTAGTGGGGTGAACAGCTGGTGCCAAATAGCCCCAGACTGGGCCCAGGCAGGTCTGCAAGGGCCCAGAGTGAACCGTCCTTTCACACATCTGGGTGCCCTGAAAGGGCCCTTCCCCTCCCCCACTCCTCTAAGACAAAGTAGATTCTTACAAGGCCCTTTCCTTTGGAACAAGACAGCCTTCACTTTTCTGAGTTCTTGAAGCATTTCAAAGCCCTGCCTCTGTGTAGCCGCCCTGAGAGAGAATAGAGCTGCCACTGGGCACCTGCGCACAGGTGGGAGGAAAGGGCCTGGCCAGTCCTGGTCCTGGCTGCACTCTTGAACTGGGCGAATGTCTTATTTAATTACCGTGAGTGACATAGCCTCATGTTCTGTGGGGGTCATCAGGGAGGGTTAGGAAAACCACAAACGGAGCCCCTGAAAGCCTCACGTATTTCACAGAGCACGCCTGCCATCTTCTCCCCGAGGCTGCCCCAGGCCGGAGCCCAGATACGGGGGCTGTGACTCTGGGCAGGGACCCGGGGTCTCCTGGACCTTGACAGAGCAGCTAACTCCGAGAGCAGTGGGCAGGTGGCCGCCCCTGAGGCTTCACGCCGGGAGAAGCCACCTTCCCACCCCTTCATACCGCCTCGTGCCAGCAGCCTCGCACAGGCCCTAGCTTTACGCTCATCACCTAAACTTGTACTTTATTTTTCTGATAGAAATGGTTTCCTCTGGATCGTTTTATGCGGTTCTTACAGCACATCACCTCTTTGCCCCCGACGGCTGTGACGCAGCCGGAGGGAGGCACTAGTCACCGACAGCGGCCTTGAAGACAGAGCAAAGCGCCCACCCAGGTCCCCCGACTGCCTGTCTCCATGAGGTACTGGTCCCTTCCTTTTGTTAACGTGATGTGCCACTATATTTTACACGTATCTCTTGGTATGCATCTTTTATAGACGCTCTTTTCTAAGTGGCGTGTGCATAGCGTCCTGCCCTGCCCCCTCGGGGGCCTGTGGTGGCTCCCCCTCTGCTTCTCGGGGTCCAGTGCATTTTGTTTCTGTATATGATTCTCTGTGGTTTTTTTTGAATCCAAATCTGTCCTCTGTAGTATTTTTTAAATAAATCAGTGTTTACATTAGAATTCTTGGCAGATTGCTTCGGCCTGTGATCCTGCCCTGTTGTTCTGAGCCTGTGCGGTGGCGGGGCCGGGATGTAGTGGGTTCTGGTTTCCCGACGGGGCTGGGGCCCGGCATCAGGTCTTACAGAGCAGAACGGTGGCAGGTTGCCCCCAGCTGCCCAGGGCCTCTGCGGCCTGGGTGCCCACAGCCATCTTTCAGGCACTTGCCCTGCTATGCTCGGACCCTTTCTGTACCCTTGGCGCTTACCTGCTGGCAGCCTGGCCCCACCGGCATCACTGGGAGTGGGCTGTGCCACCATACAAGCCACATCTGACTGGCGGTATCAGGCTGTCGCAGCGACGTGGAAGTGGGGTGAGGAGGTCACGTCCCGTGCTTCTTGCTGGCTGAGGGCAAATCCCTCCCCACGTGCGCCTGTTCTCTCTCCACCTTTCCGCCCTAAGCCCCCAGGTGCCCTTACTCACTCATGTTCCTTGAGCCAGGTGTCTTAGGTCTTTGTGTGGATGAGGAGGAGCGGAGGTGTGAGGTGTGCTGGGCCTTCAGGGCCTGGGAAGGCCATCCCAGACTGAGCCCCACCGCCCTTTCCCAGCTCAGTCCCCACCGAGCTGACAGCTTGGAAAGGGGCGGTTGGGAAGTGAGTAGCACCCTCTGATAATGATACTGATCAGGCCAGCAGGTTTGTCAGGGGTGCACATCCTGCTCAGCAGAGCATATGAAGATCACAGCTTGGTGAAGCTCCACTCGAGAGACCTGGAGCGAGACTGCTGTGCGGTGGGTGACAGGTGGAACTCCAGCCGGGCCGGGGCTGGTGGAGCCCACTGCGAGCAGTGCCAGGCACAAGATTCTCCCCCTCTCATTTCACAGGGACAAAACCAGGCTGGGGCCCCCAATTTCCTTGCCGGTTGAACCATAGCTGGCCACCAGATCCACCAAGCCTGGGGCTTCTCTTGTCCTTTGAATGGCTGCTTCTCCCAGGTCTGAACGAAGACATAGGACAACTCTGGTGACAGCCACAGCTGGTGGCCGCTTCCTCGTGTCAGATGTGGACGGTCACCCCGCCCTCCCAGCGCTAAGCGCTGAGACTGCGTGTCCAGAGTCGGCTCCTGCACGTGAGGCCAATTGGTCACACTGGGCCAGTGTGGAGGAAGACGCCTCTCATCTCCCAAATGGGGATCTTTCATGGGTGTCACCTGAGCTTATAGAGCTTAGTTTAGTCTAGCCATTCCAAGACAGTGGTTTCTTAACCTTTTCTAGGTCACAAAACCTCCTGAGAACCTAATGAAAACTGGATCCCAGCCCCAGAAAAATGCACCTGTGTGCACACACCCAGCAGTTTCCAGGTCATTTCAAGTCCTGCCTTCGAGGTCCATTGTTATTATTTACAAAACACCAGCCTAAGGTATTGGACATTTTCTTAAAAGGCCAGGCAAGGTGGCTCATGCCTGTAATCCCAACACTTTGGGAGGCTGAGGTGGGTGGATTGCTTGAGGCCGGGAGTTCAAGACCAGCCTGGGCAACATAGACCCCATCTCACAAAAAATACAAAAATAAGCTGGGTATGGTGGCACCTGTAGTCCAGCTACTCAGGAAGCTGAGGTGGGAGGATTGCTTGAGCCCAGGAGGTGGAGGTTGCAGCAAGCTATGATCGTGCCACTGGATTCCAGCTCCAGAGTGAGACCCTGTCTCAAAAAAAATTTTTTTTTCTTTTTTCTTTTTGAGACAGAGTTTCGCTCTTGTCTCCCAGGCTGGAGTGCAATGGCACAATCTCCGCTCACTGCAACCTCTGCCTCCTGGGTTCAAGCGATTCTCCTGCCTCAGCCTCCCGAGTAGCTGGGACTAGAGGTGCGCACCACCAGACCCGGCTAATTTTTGTATTTTTAGTAGGGACGGAGTTTCACCATGTTGGTCAGGATGGTCTCGATCTCTTGACCTCATGATCCGCCCACCTTGGACTCCCAAAGTGCTTGGATTACAGGCATGAGCCAGTGCGCCCGGCCCACCACTTTTTTTTTTTTTTTTTTTTTAAGACGAGTCTCACACTGTCGCCCAGTCTGTAGTGCAGTGGTGCCATCTCGGCTCACTGCAAGCTCCGCCTCCCAGGTTCATACCATTCTCCTGCCTCAGCCTCCCAAGTAGCTGGGACTACAGGTGCCCGACACCACTCCCGGCTAATTTTTTGTATTTTTAGTAGAGACGGGGTTTCACCATATTAGCCAGGATGGTCTCTATCTCCTGACCTCGAGATCCACCCACCTCAGCCTCCCAAAGTGCTAGGATTACAGGCATGAGCCATCGCACCCGGCCAAGCCCACCACTTTTTTTAATGAGAGAGTTTTTGTTACTGTCCTCCTCTGACAGGTAAGGAAGCTGAGAGGCTCAGAGATGTCAAGCAGCTCGGCCAAGGTCACACAACATGTACCAGCTGGTGCCTACCACGGCAGTCTAATCAGTAGACAGTGCAGACAGCCCCAACAGGACCAGGAGAGAACTGTGCCCAGGGCCGGATTTCTCCCTCCACAGTGGAAGAGAAGCAGCCAAGTATTACAGCCAGCCCAGCTCCTTGGGCCGCAGAGATCATCTCAGGAGGCCTTTCTAAACGGAGTGCCCTGGGGAAGCAAACTCTAAACGTCCTCGTACGAGAAGACATTAGGTGAGACCAGGCTGACCACAGTGTCCCTGTCAGCACTGCCCTCGTCCCTGGGGGTCACCTAATGTCTTGCTCCCCTGCCCCCACACTCCAGTTGATATCACTGCTGTAATCAGGGAAATCTCTGAGCTCTTTTTCTGGGAGGGCATTTCCGAGGGGCCAAGGAGCTGCGGATTGGAGGAGCACCAGCAGCACAGGGCATGCCCCTGCTCCCTACCCAGAAGCTGGAAAGTACCATGTCAGGTTTGGGGTCTTCAGTGAAATCTGTCAAGCAGCGTCTTTGGCACTG
Source organism: Homo sapiens (assembly GCF_000001405.40). Taxonomy (NCBI): domain Eukaryota; kingdom Metazoa; phylum Chordata; class Mammalia; order Primates; family Hominidae; genus Homo; species Homo sapiens. The sequence goes on from NC_000009.12 coordinate 130,890,607, forward strand.
GGGCAAAGTTAGGATGAGGTGGCTTCCCTCTTGATTACTACAGCAGCTGTCTATGGCTGACTGTCCCCAGGAGCCTGTTTTGTTTGGGGTTTTTTCTTAAATATTTTTATTAGTATTTCAAACATACAGGAAAAGACAAATGTTTTCCATTCATCTTGATAGCTAAATACCTTTAGATCTACACACCAAGATGAAGACCGCCTTGTGTCTTGGATAAATGTAACGAGCAGATGCTGGCAGCTCGCAGGTGCTCTGGGCTGGAGTAGTTAGAACTGCCGGGCCAGGTGGAGTGAGCCAGCACTGCTCAGGGGAGCTTCATCTCTCTGATTCCAAAATAAATGTTTTCTGGAGTCTCAACTTCACCCTCCTGGAGAGGGGTAATCTTATCTGTGGAGGAGAGAGCAAGGGCTGAGGGGGCGCTGGGGTGGCATGAGAGGCCCAAAGACCTTGACAGACACGGTGGGCTTGGCCGCGGGGCACCGGGTTAAAGAGGAGGCTTAGCCAAGCCCAGCGGGAGTTGATTTGACAGCAGTGCCCTTAGCAGCTTGATTGTTCGGATTTTCAGGGCTACTGAGCTCAAGTGTACAAGCAAACTGGAAAGAATAGCTTTGTTGGGTTTTTTAAAGTGATAAAAGCATAATGACAGCATATCCACTGCTTTGAAGGCATCCCCCGCCCCCGTGTTCTTTATCTCAGGTTTTTCCATCAAGGTTAATCTAATCCTGCTAAATTAACAACCAGCCAGTGCATCCCCAAAGAGCCTGTGGAATGTGCAGGGTGGCTCAGCCTCGGTGTTCTCTAAAGTACTGGCTGTGGGTGGCTCCTTGCTCACTTGCAGAAGTTGGCAAGTGACGAGTGGCCAGGGGACCGTGCGTCAGGGCGTCCCTCTGCCCTCAGCCTGCTGTGTTTCACCCGGTCTCTGGTGAGCACATCTCTGGCTGCTTTGCGTGAATGAGCCAAGGGAGGGATAGATCTAGCTTACTGCCTCCCCCTCCCTTAAGCCAAGCAGAATGGGGTGTGTGTGCACACCTGTGGTGAACGAATCTGTCCGTTCACCCTGTGCCAGGGCCGTCCTTACAGCAAGGACCCCGGGGATGTGTCCGTCCCCATCAGTGTCATGTTAGCAAGCAGTGACAACATCCCTTTGCAGGAGGCATCCTGAACCACTCTGTCCTCAGACAGTGGCAGAGCCCAAGAGAACAATGTGCCCCACCCCTCCACCAGCCTCAGGAATCATTGTCTTGTCCCCATCACAGCAGCCCTAAGACTCAGGGCACATGCGCCAAGCCTGGGGGGCTAGTTTCTGTGTGGGAAGCGATGGGGAAGCGGTGAGGAGCTCCTGGAGAAGGTGGCAGCTTTCATACCGGGTGATGTTCTGACTCTGGTGTTCTCTCCCATCTCAGCACCCATTCTGCTCCCCAGTCAGGTTGGTTCTTTGTGGCTCAGATCTGTCACCCCTTAATGAAGTGGCTTTCTGGCTGCCAAGGATTGAGAGCTGCTACTGAGGAGTATAAGTCACTAATAGCATGGAAAACACTGTGAAATACTCCAAGGTGCCAAGCTGGGCCCAGCCCAGTGTGGTTCTAAAAGGCTAATAAAAATCCACCAATTAATTGTGACAGCTCAATGGGAAATTATTCAATTGTGAACAGGGGCAAGCTGCAGCTCGAAAGGAGGAGGGGAGGGGTTGCCATAGTAACATCAATGTAAGTTCTCATCTCAGCAGCGGAAGCCAGCCCGGGAGTGAGCAGCATCCGACCGCCGCCTCTGACACGGGATGGGATGCAGGAGACACCAAAGGCGCGTTTGAAACAGATGCTTTGCCTGGCCCCGGGCCTGCAGCCACTCCCGGCTGAGCGTGGGCTCTCCCCGGGGCAGAGAAGTTGTTTTCCGAATGTTCCTTGCTCTTAGGAAACCTGGGAAGGAGCAGCCGAGTGGAAGTGAAAAGCACATGTGCTGTGTTCCTCCGCCCCTTTGACCGACTGCCGGTTACAGGGATCTAGAGGAGGGGTGTTTGGGTCCAGTCAACAGGAGCTCCATCTCCCGAAAGGCAAGGCACCCAGAACTCAGACTGTGGGGGAGGCCAGCATTCCAGTATGGTTTTGCAGTTGTCACAACTTTTATTTGAAAAGATACACACGACATATTCTGATTTTGAACATGTGAAATGCAACCTTGCTATAGCAAAAACGGGATTCCTTCCCAACGCATCTCCCAGGAGACTCCTGGCCGGGCTAACACTGGGCCGCGGAGAAGGGCTGCGGTCAGAGGGGCAGGCAAACCACAGCAGGGGCTTCTTGCCAGGGGGATCTTGTGCTCATGGCATGGAGAAGGGGATCGGGTTCTTTTTTCCCATTTTTAACTTTCAGAACCATCCTCTGTACCCAGTGGAATGCACTCATTTGCACTCTGATGTCAGCCGCAGTCGTGCCTATAGAGACTGTCACAACTTTGATTACCCAACTGTAAGCACTCAGCCCGCTGCCTCGCTCTGCTATTCACACTCATGGCCCAGCCACAGCCTCAGCTCCGTGCCCCTGGGGCCAGGGGGCTGCTCGGAGTCAAAGCCCCAGGGGAAGAGAGAGGCTGGGACGACCGAGGCTCCAAGACAGCCTCCTTTTTGACACTGCCTAGTTTTTCGCTTCAGCAAAGTTGGAAATCAAAAGTAAGCACACACCTAACCTGTCCTACCATGGATCGTTCATCGTAACCAAGCCTACATCATCTGGGTGTCGTGGTCTTTGAGACTGGGGGAGAAGGCAGGAGTGAAGACAATGGGGGTGAGTCCAAGAAGCAAATCCTTCCAAGGCGTCCTGGCCCTTCACCGCCGACCGAAGCGGAAGCTGAAGCCGCCTTTCTTCCTGCTGTAGCCATTGAGCTCCTCAGCCAGGTTCCCTAACGGGCCGCTGGTCTTCTCCCCCGCAGCAGGGAGGAAGCCGGTGGCCTCACTGCCTTCGTCCTGCCTCCCGAAGCGGAATCTGCAGCCAGCATGCTCTCTGCCCGATGTCTGCAGCCCCCTGGCTATGACAAGCAGGGCCTGTGGCTGTGAAGCTCTCAGCCACCGAGAGGAACCCCACACGGAGTGGGGTCGGGGCCCCATGGCCAGGTCGGCCCAGCGTTCTCCAGCTCCGAGGCCACCCATGGCGTCTGTGGGCTCTCTTCTGTCCAGTAGAGGGAAGCAGGCGCCCAGCGGCAGGAAGAGGAAGTAGATCAGGGGGTAAGGCCTTACCATCTGACCCAGAGGAAAGAGAGGCAGAGTGACAGGCTGCACACGTGGCCAAGCGCAACTCACCAAAATGTTTCCCCGGGACAGGCTGGCAGCGTAGATGTGAGCAGGGGGCTCAGCTGAGCCCGGCTTCCGAGCAGTGCTGGGACTAGGCCACTGTTTTATTAGCAGGATCAGGAGGTGATTGTGCCAGTTAGGCCGGTTCTTCTCCTGCAGTCCCCACGATCTGCGTGCCTGGGCAGCTTAGCACCGTAAATCCACCGCTGCTGGCTGGCAGAGCAGTGCCCAGGCGGCCCCGGGAGAGTCAGCAAATGTATGCTCATTTTTCTCTTATTATAAAATGGCCATATCATTGCAGAGCCATGGGGTGGAAAGTTAAAAGCATCAATCTCCCTTAGTGTTCAACTGGATAATAAATGGGTCTAGCTATGCTGTTTAGCTGGGACATCCTGCTAATGTCTCTTTCACGTGGGAACGAGTTGCTCCTGAAAGCCAGAAACAGATTGGATGGTCCTGGCCTAATTCGGACACCCACCTGGGAAGGAGTGTGTGGACACCACTGGGGCCTGGGCACCGTAGGTCTGCCAGGCTCTGAGCCAAGAGCTCACACATGTGATTGTACTTCATCTTCATAGTACTCCTGCTTGGTAGGTCCGGCCAGTCCCACTTTTTCAGGCAACAAAACTGTCAGAAAAACTGAGATTGTGCCCAGGCCACACAGCCAGAAAGTGGAGGCTCTGGATTCATGATTCTAATGGCCAGACGGCTTCTTCAAGAAGCATACATATCTGCTAGGTACTCCCAACCCTCCTATTTCACAGGGGTGGTGTCGGTCTCAAACAGCTGAGGTGACTTGCCCCAGATCTCATGGCCTTATCAGTGCCAGAGCTAGAGTTCAATCCCAGGTCTAACTGGGCTTGACTCAGGAAGGCGTGCCCTAACTCCCTCCTCTGTACTCCACATGGCACTCGGGGGATCTGAAACCCAGCCTCCTGTAATGAACCTGCCTTGGTAACACTTGCTCCCTTGTCTGGCAAAGAAAACCTTTTTGACAATGACCGCGGGGGAGCTGGAGCTGGCTTGTCCTCCGCAGAGTCAAACTGAGGCTAGACTAGAGAGCACCGGCCCTGGAGAAGACAGTACAGGAGTCCCCAGAGCCCTTTCCAGAAATGGCTCCCTCGAACACATTTCAAAGAAGCGAGCTCAGCCAGGAAGCTTTTAAAAAAATAATACATGCAACCCCACTTTCTACCCAAATCCAGTTCTTCTAAGCTTTCGTCCCCCAGGGATGGAGTGACCTCCCTCATGCTGCCAGGAAAACCTTTCCATCAGGGCGCAGGCAGAGTGGGGGCTTCCACGAGGTGACTTTCTGCAGCGGCCCAGCCCATTCCCTCCTCCCCATAGGAAGCACTTTGCTGACTGCGATGTGGACCAGGGACCGTTGCATCCTGGTGGATAAATCCACCCGGGAGTGGCCTCTGGGTGTCTAGAAAGGAGACAGCCTGACAGAGCAGGCCCTGGAGTGGCCCTTCACCCCTTTTAGGGGTTCATGCACCCCTTCAAGAATCTGGTAGAAAGTGGGGATGCTCATCACGGGACAGGCGGCCCCAGCGCGAGTCAGGGCTTCAGGCCCCACAGCCAGGAAGGGACAGGAAAAGCACGGGTGAGGCTGGGTCCCAGCCCTGGCAGGGCAGCCGTGACCAATCTGTGCTGCTCTGGGCTGTTGGCAGGGGAGGCACTGGTGTCCCCTCTCCGGGCACTCCCTCCCTGTGCTTCTGTGTGCCCTCTGACTGCCCATGCCTGGCTCCTGCCTGGGCAGGGCCTGAGCTGGGGTTCCTGCTGGGGACAGGGCAGCTATGCTCACCGTGTGGCTGGGACTGCTCCCAGGAAGGCTGGCTGGTGGATCGCTGGGCTCCGGGGCTGGGCTGGGCAGAGCTGCTCTGGGTCCTCGTCCAGGAGGCATGGCCCCTGGGCTCTCCCTGCTTTATATGGCCCGCGGTGCGCTTGCTGCTCTGCCGACTGCCTGCTGCGCATTCCTGACCCTGGGATTCCATTGGGGACGCTGTTGTTGAAGAGGGGCAGTGCTGACCGCGTTGATAAAAACAACCTCACACAGGATGTAGTCTGATGAGAGGGCAGGCGGGCTGCCCTTTGGAGGAGAGCAGACAGCATCATTAACTGCAAATTGCGGGCACAGACCCTCGAGTCCCTTGGCGGGGGTTCCAAGCCCACCCTTCACCCTAAGGGTCCTGCCTTTGCTGGGTTGGCACCTCACGCTCCGGAGAGGACATGGGGTGGGTGGACATCTACCCGACACACCTACTGCCCAGCTTGCAGGATGGCTTTCATGGGCAGGAAAGCCACAGACACCCATGAGGCCCGTGTTTCACAGGCACCGGGCTGCGCGGCTAAGCCAGGTGCACCTCCCCGGCAGGTGGAGCCCTCAGCGGCCTGTTACCCAGGAACCAACCAAGGGGGCACGGCAGATGCCCAGGACAGCAGTGGAGCATTTGCCTGTGGCCCCCAGCCCCTCCCACCGCATACCCTGGGTGGCCCCCTACTGTCACCGAGGGTCACCTCTGGGAGGCCAGCAGGAGGACCCAGCCTCTGCTCCTTGCCCGGCAGAGATTCTCCCTCCACTGAGAGCAGGCAGGGGGGTGATGAGGCAGCCCCACCCCACCACTGTCAGGAACTGAGCACAGAGGGCCTCCCCCATTCCAGGGGCCCTCACCCAGCCGACCTACCCCTGCATCCCGGCTGCTGGGGGATCAGAAGTCATGGGAATAGAGAGCCTGTGGACACTTCCCCAGAGACCTGAGGAAGGCACTGGAATCTCGATCCTCCACTTCGGGGCTGAGCGCCCAGGTTCGGGCGGAGGGTCTGCGGATTGAAGCCGATGACTGAGCTTTGCTGGCCAGAACCAGCTTCCATCCCCCAGGCCAGGGCTGCCTCCGATGGCCTGAGGTGCCCCTGTCCTGTGTGTGCATGTGTGTGTATGCCCCCACATGAGTATGTGCACACGTGCGTACACGTGTGTGTGCTCGTGAGACGGGAGGTGTGGTGTCCTTCTGTCTCCCTGGTTAGTGCTGGTTGATTCTGACAGCGGGCACCAGTTATCCATGGGGTGCCGCCCAGGGTGGGTCTCTACCGTGCTATGAGCCTGGACCGGATGCCTGCCCTCTGGGTGCCTCAGTGCTCCCTTGGTGTAAAGCGAGGTTCAAGTTCCCAAGCTGTGCTTTGCAGAATTCCTCAGGAATGGCCATGGAAGTTGGGGAAGGCAACATGGGGTCCAATCCCGCAGGCACCCCTCTCCTACAGGCACCCCACTCCCCTACAGGCTACCCCTCTGCCCTACAGGCACCCCTTTGCCCCACACGCACCCCTCTGCCCCACAGACACTCCTCTGCCCTACAGGCACCTCTCTGCCCCGCAGGCACCCCTGTGACCCACATGCACCCCTGTGCCCCGCAGGCACCCCTGTGCCCCGCACGCACCCCTGTGCCCTGCATGCACCCCTGTGCCCCGCACACACCCCTGTGCCCTGCACGCGCCCCTGTGCCCCTCAGGCCAAGCCCCACTTTGCTGTGTTTGACATGTTGAGCTCCCAGAAAAGGTTCTGCTTTGAAACCACCAGGGCCCGGAGTCCTTTTGCGGGACTGAGGTCTGTGGCTCTGAGAGGTGGTCACAGAATGTCCTGCATGTGAGGGGCTGGTCTGGGGTGGGAGCAATATTGGGGTGAGGATGAGGGGTCCCCACGTGGCCCACATGTTCCCCAGCCTCAGGTCCCCGCCTGCCCCCTTCAGACCGGGGTGCCTGGAGCCCAGTCAGGCGTTGGATTTGGTGCCAAACCTTCTGACTCCAGGGACTTGCCTGGTCCCCTCCACCCCTGGAACTCCTGGACGGAAAAATTGCTTTCAGATGCCCTTCCTGGGCCCCTGGAAGCATCTGGGTTCCCCCACCTCTTGAGCAATTGGGGGTGACAACTGTGCCACTGTTTGCCACCAGCAGCCGAGATAGGCAGGGTCTGGGCTGCCTGGATGCACAGGGTGGCCGGGGCTAGATCAGTCCAAGAGTGGCAGTACCCATCGGGGCGGCTTCCAGCGCTGGAGGCTTTTTCTGCTGTCGGGTAAATGCAGGGAGGCGAGGCGTGAGGGTGGTGGGGCTGGTGGTGCAGGAAGCCGCTCTGGGGGTGGAGTCCGTGGACCACCTCGAAGCCTGTGGGGTTCCCTGGGAAGCTGTCCTGACATAGGTCCAGGCCAGGTGCCCGCATGGCCAAGCTGACCGGCAGCCCCTGCCTGGGATTCCCAAAGTGAGGAGGCTGGAACTGGAGTGGCAACGCCTGGATGAGCTAAGGCCAGGCCCCGGCCTCGCAGACCCCTTTAACCACATGTCACTCCCGGACTGGGTTCCACAGCCGGCTCAGCCACAGCCAGCCTCCACCTCACTGAGCTTCAGATCCTCCGCCTGGCTGGGCATGACAGCAGTGCCCGTGTGGTGGGGTGGGGTTGTCGGGGTGGCATGGTGCCCGCTTAGGCAGTGTTCACTGCTGCTGCTAGGGAGGGCGCAGGGTGGTGGCCCCCATCTAAGCCCGGGTCCCCTGGGCTGTTGGCAACTGCCGCTCCGGTTCTGCTGGCCGAACCCCTCCTGCCCTGGGAAGCCGCTTCCCATGCTGTTGGGCACCATTTCTCGCGGAATTGCATGAGCCCTTGTCTGAGGACCTCTGTGACTGAGTCCTTGAACCTTTCCAGGAGCTGCCTCAGGCTGGTCTGGTGGTTGCGGGAAAAGGGTTGAGTTGGGCACACCTGCACCTGGCATGGGTGTGGCACGTGGGGAGGCAGGTGGCCATGGCCTGTGACTTCCGTGGCCTGGCTCAGGAGTCCCATCCCCAGGCGTCTCCACCTCTGCCCCTCCCACCTCTGCCCTTCCCACCTCTGCCCCCAACCTGTGCCCCCTCCCTCTTCTACCCACCCACCTCTGTCCCCCCACCTCTGCCCCTCCCTCCTCTGCCCCCACCTCTGTCCCCCCACCTCTGCCCTTCCCTCCTCTGCCCCCCAAACCTCTGCCCCTTCCTCCTCTGCTCCTCCCTCCTCTGCCCCCACCTCTACCCCCAACTCTGGCCTCCCACCTCTGCCTCCCCACCTCTGCCCCTCCCTCCTCTGCCCCCACCTCTACCCGCAACTCTGGCCTCCCACCTCTGCCTCCCCACCTCTGCCCCTCCCTCCTCTGCCCCCACCTCTACCCCCCACCTCTGCCCCTCCCTCCTCTGCCCCCCTACCTCTGCCCTCCCTCCTCTGGCACCCCCACCTCTGCCCCCTCAAGCTGTCAGAGCAGTGGGCATTGTGCTGGCTGAGTGAAAGTCCATGGTGGAGGGAAGAGTGGGATTCGTCTTCTGTGAACCCGGACTTGAAAACCTCCGGCCGCACGGGGGGGTGTGAGACTCCCCGGCTGCCCGCCCCCGACAGGTGCCAGACAGAGGCCGAGCACAGGGCAAGGCCACTGCCGCTCTTTCTACTGGCCCCGTGCGGCACCTCCCACACAGGCACTCGATAAATACTGGATTTTATTAAATAAACTCCAGGGATTGTTTTATCCGTAAGCCTCAAATTGATGTTATGAATAAATAGCCATGGGGGACTGTTCATTCAATAACGTGTCTCAGTTCCTTGGAACTCTGTCCCCAGCCACAGGGACCCACAGGATAGTTTATCACCCCGGGGACCCGGGAGGGATGCACCGATGCCGCAGGACCCGGGTTCATCCTCCAGAGCCCAGACCCCAGGAGGACCGACCCCACTGGGCGCGGCTTGTGCAGGAGGCAGGCCCTGCGTCCGCCTGACCAGGTCCAGGCCATCTTTGCAAAGCCCAGAACTGGCCCAGTCAGAGGGTCTTGAGCAGCCCTAGTGGGTCCAGAGCTATCTGGGAAATGCCTTTTGGCTGCTCTAATGAAAATGGTGGCTGGGTGCAGTGGCTCATGCCTGCAATCCCAGCAATTTGGGAGGCAGAGGCGGGAGGGTGGCTTGAACCCAGGAGTTCAAAACCAGCTTGGGCAACATAGCTAAGACCCCGTCTCTACAAAAAGTAGAAAAAAAAAATTGCTGGGTGTGGTAGTGCGCACGTGTAGTCTCAGCTACTCAGGAGGCTGAGGTGGGAGGATCGCTTGAGCCCAGGAGTTCGCCACAGTGGGCAGTGATGGTGCCACTGCTCTCCAGCCTGGGTGACAGAACAAGACCGTCTCTAAAAATAAATGATGAGAGGAGTTCAGGGGAGACAGAGCGAGAGGCAGTCCTGGAACACGTGGGTATCTGATCCACTCAAGCTCTGACACGAGGCTTGGAGTCCGGCTGGAGGCAGAGACCAGAGCTGGGTCACCATGAGACTTTATTAAAGACAGAACGCACAGACACCAAGTGCTGACAGCCTCGCCTAGCGATGCTCCCATACCAGGCTTCCTCCACCAGTCGCTGTGCTGGCCCTCTGAGCTCCCTCTGCAGCCCTGGCCAGTGCTGTGTGGCCCGAGTCAGACACACCTGTCAGCGCATGAGGGGCCAACGTGGCCAGCCTTGAGCCAGAGCTCCCAACACTCCCTACAAATCCCACCGAGGCCCGACCTCAGCCCTCTGGGTTTGCCAAGTCCTGCCGGCTGCTTGGGCCACACAGTTTGGGGACATCCTTGTCTCTGAAAGCAGATGAAGAAATGGAGGCCCTGGGGAAGCCCGGTCCGCTGAGGCCAAAGCTTAGTGTCCTGTCTCCTTGTTCTGGGTTCTGTGTGTCCCCTGCTGGGTCCTCCTGCCGGTACATTGCTCCTGAAGTCACAGGACGGGTCTGCCGCTGGCCACAGGCGTTCTTTATGTCCCGTCCCCCCATCTCACACAAACGGTACCTCTCCTCTTCCTTCCCCTCCCTGGAGCCAGCGTCCTCATGGTTTGAGATGGTTCAACAATCCTCCAAATCTCTGCCTGCTCAGACACGCCCCTGGGTGACAGGGCCTCCAGAGACCCTGGCTCCCAGCTTCCAGGGCTCTGGCCCCAGCCAAGCCAGCCAGAGGCCTGTGTGGACGAGGACAGGTGGCAGGAAGGGTTAGGGGCACCAGAAGGAGGTAGGCACTGGCGATACAGCTTTTGTCCCAAAGACAAACATTATAAAACCAATTTACACGCAGCTGCAGGGGAAAGCTGTTTGAGAATGGCTCACAGCTCTGTTCCTTTGCTGTTCTCCAGCTGAATGTGCTGAGGCCACCAGCATGGAAACCAAGGTTCCTTCCATCCTCTGGACCTTGGTGCTCAGGCAGTCAGCTGCGTGGCCTTTGGTGTAACTCTCTGAGATATGTGTGAAGTTTAGGGGAAAGGAGGAAGGCCACTGGCTGAGCCACAAAACCTACCTGTGCACGTGGAGAAGCAACGGCGCAGGTGCGCTGCCTCCAGGTCCCAGTGTGGCGATGCAGAGACCCCTCCCACTCAGCTTACTCCCCTCAAGTGAAGCAGCAGGAGGAGGCTCAGTCAGGTGGCATTGTGGGATGGAGGGCTGCAGGCATCCACCCTCAAACTGGGTCCCAGGGGACGGTTTGGGGCCCGTGGGTCCCAGGCGACCCTGTGCACATGCTAGCCCTTGGCCTGGTCACTCAGCCCACAGGTCTCGAGCTGTCCCTCGCCCAGGGCTCTCCCAGCATCCCCATCCTCCTGTCTCAGATGAGAGCCATTTGCACTGGTATCAGACCGTAGGCTCTGCAGGGCTAGGGTGAGAGGGTGTGGCCCGGAGCAGGTGCGCAGGGACCGTTTTTCCCCAGTGCCAGCCTTTGAAGGTGCCCCTGGGGAGGGTGGGGCCGGTGCGCTGGCCTGGGCCCTCCCCACCATGTCAAGCTCCGTGCCCATTCAGCCGGTGCTTGGTAGGGCCATGTGCCCTCTCCTGGTCTGGGACAGGGGCCGGTGCTCTAGGGCAGTAACAGGGCTCTAGAAGGGACAGGCATCCCCAGTGCAGCCAGCCACTGAGGACAGATGCTGCCGGGACCTGGACCTGGACCACAGGCTCACAGGCCACCTGCACCTGCCCCCGGCCCCTCGCCAGGCCCCAGCCATGGTGCATCTGTTCCACAGCCAAGCCCTGGCACGAGGGCCCTGGTGCCTCCTGCTGCACCCACACATCTGTGAGTCCATTAACTTCACACTCACCAGGAGTTTGTTTGATGACACATCAGAAAGTGCTGGCACTTTCTAAGCAGTCGCTGGCGCAGTCACTGGCATGGGGAGGCTGGTAGCTCCTGCCTGGGGCCTGTCGGTGGGGGGCTCCTGGGATGAGAACTCGGGTCCCACCCAGCCCCTGCAATATGACAGGGTGCTCTGGGAACCCAGATGGTCTGGGTGGGCTCCCTTGGCTTCTAGATGGTGGGAAGAGGAGCCAAGAAGGGATTTCCCGTTGAATCTCATGTGGTCATTTTGCCCACATCTTGCCCCTTGTGGCCCCGCACCTGGCCTGCTCCAGCCACCACCCCGGCCACACTAGGCTGCCACTGCCTGATTCTTGGCTGTATCTGCGTCCAGCTGAGGACCGAGAGGGCAGGGACCAGGTCCTGTCCAGCCTGGGCCCACGGCAGAAGGAAGCGCTGCAGACATCTGCGCATGTGGATGACCTGGTGGCACTGGGACAGAGAGCCAGGTCACACGGCCTCTCCCACCAACCCCCAGTGGTGCCAAGTCAAATTTATTGTTTTTTAAGCACAAACTTCAGTGGGAGGGGAAGGGAGAACGGAACCCCACACCCCCTAGGCACCTGCCATCGGGTGTCCTTTGGAGGAAGCCACCTCCCCTCCTGCCCGAGGAGAGGCTGCTAGGCAGCTCCCCAAGGCTGACTCCAGCCCTTTCGGAGGCCCCCCATCAGGAGGCCTTGGAAAAGCCGCCCTGCATCTGGGCCTGACGTAACGCACGCGGGTCCAGGGCTGCTGAGCAGACAGCTGAGGACCCGGCTCCAGCCCTGCCCTTGTGGCTGCTGGTCCTGGGAGCCTGCGGGTCTCACCTCTGCATGTGTGCACACAAGGAGTGGGGATGACAGCGTGCTGGGTGTTGGGAGGATTCAACAAGAAAGTGTCCAGGTGGTGCCTGGTCTGGTGCCCCAGTCCCCCCGACCCCATTTGCCCGGTGAGGTGGTCCCTGTCCCTTGACCACTCGCCGGGCCGGGCCTGGCCTGGGTCCAGGTGGCCACGGTCAATGGCAAGGGTTGGCCTCCTCATGGAGACAGCCACCTCAGGGAAGGGGTCATCACCCCCAAGGCCCTCCTGGGAGGCCTCAGGACCCTGGAGTCCCTGGGAAATTGGTGGTGGGGGTTGTACAAGCCTCATCCCAGCCCTGCCTAGGCCCCAGCCCAGAAAACCAAGAGCTTCCCATTAGCGCAGTCCAGCCCCACGGTGCAGGGCCCCACCCACCTTCCAGAGGCAGGAGAAATGGGATGGCAGCCCCAGCTGCCCCAGGTAGGAGGACGGCCGGGAGCTGGGTGGGGGATGGGTTGGGCCTCATTTGAGACAGAGAGCAGGTGGGCACAGCAGGTAAGAGGACTGCAGACCCCAGGCCTGCCGGGGCACAGGGTGGGTGGCCTCCAGGGAACTGGTCTCAGCCTTGGAGCGTGGGTCCCCAAAGGCAGCAGCTCCCCATCCTGACCTCAGGGCCTGGTAGGATGGGGCCACCCAGCCCACAGCCAGGCTGAGGCCCTTGGGGGAGAGGTGGGTTCTCTGGGCACCAGGGAAACGGGGTGGGGGTTGGCATTGGGAGGGCTGGAGGATACTGGCCTCAGACCTGACCTCAGAGAGACCTGACGTTCCCCACGATCTGCTAGGAGGACTCCAGGGGTGCTGTCTGCCCCCTGCTCTCTGTCCCCATAATGCCGGGTATTTGGCCGGGCAGGGCAGAGGGTGCCTGGGGCAGACTCCACCATCCTGGCCAGGGGACGGCAAACAGCACCGGAGTCACAGTGGGGGCAGGCAGGAGTTGGGGTCGTCAAGTTTGCCAGCCCCCATCAGCAGAGGCAAGAGATCAGTGAGCTGCCAAATGGAGGGGGTGGGGACGGCGAGAAGGCGATGTGTGACTTCACCGGCCCAGGGAGCTTCGTGTCAGGGATGGCCCGGCCCCTCCCTACTGGAGAGTGGGTCCGCCAGGCACAGGTGGGTGGAGAACATTCACGAAAGAGTGAGGTGGGGTCGGGGATGGGGCGACAGGGACCAGCAGGGCCAAGGACAAGGTGCACCAGTCTAGCGGTCCTCCCGGACCGGCCGGATCTTCATCTCAGAGAACTTGAGTGAGTACTGCCAGCCGGTCCAGGAGGACCACTCCACGCCGTCGGCATAGGAGGCGTGCGCACCGCGCAGGTACTGCCCATTGAGGTTGGACGTGTGGCAGTTGCGGTACCACCAGGCACCGCGGTAGAAGGCGGCACAGTTGTTCTCTGAATGGTCGCTGTCACGGTCCTTGGTGGTGAACCTCATGCCGCTGTGCTTCAGGAGGGAGTCGCCTGCGCAGGGGTGCACACAGGTGTGGGCACGGGGGGCACGGGTACACCCACTGGTGTTGCATGTGTGAGCAGACACCGAGACACTGCACGTGCACCTGGACGTGAGTGCATACACGTACGCACGTGCTCTCACACATACTGCTGTGCACGCGTGCAAGCGCACCTGCCCCTCCACACCCGGGTGTGTCCATGCAGCTCACACGCACGCAGTCCCTTCTCGGGCGTGCCTGGGGCTGCCCCTGGGTCTAGGCGGTCTCTATCCCTCCCCCCAGCTTTTCCACATTCCCTCTCCTGCCTCCCCGCTCCTCGGCCTGAGAGGGGAAACCCAGCCCAGGGGGGTCCAGCCACCACACTTTAGAGACCCAGCGGACCCGAACCCCGGGTCTCCTGATTCCTGGCTCTGGGCTCAGTTTCTTTATCTGCAAAACGGGAAAACAGTCCAGGCTCTGCTGGCTTCGCCTTGCAGGGGTGAGGACCAAGCAGGACTTGGAGGAGGAGGCAAGCAGCCTTGACCCTGACCCCAGAGGGCCGAAGGGCATCATCAACACTATTATGAAAAAACGAACAGAAGATTCGCAGAAGCTCATCTTTTATGACATGCAACTGAATCAACTGATGAAGACAAGGACTGAGGGATCCTTGGTAAGGAAGAAAATTTTCCCTTTTCTGTCTTGTTTACTCTTCCAATTTGAAAAATTTATTACTTAAAAAAAATTTAGATTGGTTTCAGGCCTCTGATTGTGATGTGGGGTTGGTAGTTTATCAATATTTGTTATTTTTCAAAAACCTGATTACTTTCAAAGGGGGAAAAATACATTAGCCTTGATCATTTTGGAGGGCAGGACCTCCTCCGTCCTCCATCCTCCCAGGCCGCCCCCCTTCCCCATCCCTGCCACAGCTGGAGCCTCACCTGCAGTGCCGGAATAGTCAGCCACGGTGAGCGGGTACCCGTCTTCCTCAGGGTCCACGGAGAACAAGCCCACGCCGAAGCTCCCGTAGCGGGCATAGGCCGTGCCATTCTCAAAGTCCTCCAGGTCCACGTGCAGCTCGTAGGCAGCCTGTGTGGTCAGGGCGTGGATCCTCTTGAGCCCTGAAGTTGGGGGGAAAATGGTGGGAGAAGCTGAGGGGCGTAGGAAGCGACTCCCCAGGGAGAAATGATAAATGACAGCTGAGCTCATGCAGTTGGGGACAGAAAGGGACAACCACCAAGTGCGTGCAATCAGCCCTGGGCTACTTCCTTCTTCCTGCAGGCCTGTGTTGGGCAAGCCACTGAGGACCGACAGTTTTCATGTTTGGTTTTCTCTGTTCCCTTTAAGTGGAGCTGTGATGCTTTTCAAACGTTGGGGCTCTGAGCTGGTGGGAAGACTGCAGGAGGCGGGAGGAGGTGGGGGTGACAGCACCCTTACCCAGACTCCAGCCAGAGCCAGACAGACAGGATCTGTGTTCGCATTTTCCTATACCTGGCCTCTGGGCCTTTGCACATGCTGTTCCCTCTGCCAGGATGCTTGTCCCTACTCCTCCTCACTTGGTTACCTTCTATTCATTTCTGGAAGGCTGCCTGACCTCCTGTCGGCGTTGAGGACCTCCTCTGCCAACACATGTGCCCCTGTGGGTATTTATCTTTCAGGGTCCCGGCTGCCTATCTTGTCAGTTTCCCCACCAGTGCGGAATTCCCGTGACAGTGGCATGTCCGACCTAGCCACTGCTGACCCCAGTGCCTGGGGTGGGGCCTGGCACAATGGTGCTTACCCAGCGCTGGCTTAGTGGATGGGAGGGAGTTGGCGGCACCCTCACCCCTCTAGGCCGGCTCTGTGCCCCCATCCTACTCTCTCCCTCCTGCTGTCCCCGCCCCACCTCAACTCTGCCCTGCCCATCCCCGGGGTCTCATGCCAGGCCTCCCCTACCATACACATACGTGCTCAGACTCCCAAGATGCTTCACTGCTGGTGTGGTTACTCTTGATTAAGAGGGCATTTAATGAAATGTTTCACAAGTTAGTAGCAGCGAGTGGTATTCCATCCGCTTCTCCCTCCTGCCTGCCTCTCCCCGGCTCCGCACCTCCCGGGGTCAGTGTGTGCTGGCTGGAGGCTGTGCGGATCCTCCCCCATCCCGCCCGGACAAGAAGCCTTTGGTCCCAGTCACCAGGTCCAGGGACCAGGAGCAGCTACTGTGGGAGGAGTCACAGCAAAGCTGACCGCACGACCCACGTTCCTCCCCAAGGACCTGCCAGGGCATGGGCTTTGACAGCCTAGGGTCTCACCCAGGGTCCCCACCTCCCTGACTCTCCTGCTGCTGAGTCTCAGGGCAGCCGCTCTCCCTCTCTGGGCCCCAGCTCGGCTGGCGCAGGGCTGATGTGAGGGGCCAGGAGAGTGTCATACACAAAAGGGCAGGTGGGAGGTAATCATGACAACAGCCGCCACCTGGACGGCACTCGCAAGGGCCCAGCACCGTTCTCAGCCCTTCGTGCAGATGAGTGAATCCAGTGGAATTAGAGTGAGTCTAATTTAATTACAGAATCCCTGGGCGGCTCTTCTGGCAGGGCTGGCCCGCTGCACACATTATCCAGGTGCTGACTGCTGCTTCCCAAGGCCCCGGGGAAGGAGTGCCTATTACTACCTATTTTATAGGGGAGGAAAATGAGGCCCAGGGAGGTTAAGGAGCTGGCCCAGGTCACGCGGCTGCTGAGTGGCATTGCTGGGATTTGAACCCAGGCAGAAGGGCCCCAAATCCCTGCTGCTATTCAGACCTTACCCAGAACAAATCAGATGATGCAGGAATAGGGAGAGAGGGAGACCGGCCCCCCGGGGATGCTGGAAGATTCCTTTTCCCACCACTAATTGGCCATTGGCACCCAAAGGCCACCATTAGCCACTCCTCTGGGTTGAGTGACAATTCATGAGCGGTGTCCCGGGGGCTGCTAGGCAGGACGCCCGAGGGAGGGGTGGGTGGGGACCTGGGGCCTGGGTCCTCTCCGTCCTTCCTCCAGTCCACGCCACCTCCTCCCTCCCTCGCCTCCCTGCCCTTGCTCTTTGGCTTTCTCCAGCTCTCCCAGCTTTTCCCTGGCCTTCCAGGACCGCTCCCAGCCACGTTAGCTGTTCTTCCCAGATTCCCTGGGCCCCTGATCCAACTCCTTCACCAGCTCCCGGCTCAAATCGCCAAGAGCAAGAAACAGGGCTGATGGCTTGAAACAGACAGGAAACCACTAAGACCCTAAACTTCACATGTCCACCCCAGTGGACTTCCAGCTGGACTAAAGCTGTCAACCTAAAACAACACTAGAAAAACAGAAGAAAAGCCTGGGCGCGGTGGCTTACGCCTGTAATTCCAGCACTTTGGGAGGCCGAGACGGGCAGATCACGAGGTCAGGAGTTCGAGACCAGCCTAGCCAATATGGTGAAACCCCTGTCTGTACTGAAAATACAAAAATTAGCCGGGCGTGGTGGCGGGCGCCTGTAATCCCAGCTACTTGGGAGGCTGAGGCAGGAGAATCGCTTGAACCCGGGAGGTGGAGGTTGCAGTGAGCTGATATCATGCCACTGTACTCCAGCCTGAACTACAGAGTGAGACTCTGTCTCAAAAAAAAAAAAAAAAAGAAAGAAAAGAAAAACAGAAGAAAAAATAGAGGAGACTTAAAAAAAAAATAAAACTAGGAAGGGAAGGAAAGGAAAGCAGGGGCTAAAACCCAGAAAAGATACAAAGAAAAGGGTGGCAGAACTGAGTGCATAAACATCTTAAATTTCTAGGAAATAAATAATAACATGACCCCACAAAAGAAAAAGAAAAAGCTGAAAGACAAATGGCCAGAAGTTAATACCTATCATGTGTTGGACAAATGATCGGTAACCTTAATATATAGAGAGCTTCCATGACTCGATAGGAAAAGACAAAGCACTCATTGAGAGGGGATGGGGAGGGTGGTGCGGCAGAGGAGGGACTGGCGCTGTTGACATTCCTGTCAGGGCTCGTCTGCAGGATGCTGGAATGAGGACCTGCTTAAATGCTTCCTCCCGCATCATCTGCAGCTGCTGATAGATTTCAATTAAGATACCATGAGCACGGGCATCACCGCTGCTCCAGGGGGTGGGTGGTGGCGAGGGCATGCCTTGGCCCTGCCGCCTTGTCCTTATCTTTACCCCCAGCTTGGGGAGCCTGAGGCAGGGTCTCCCCATCTCCCCTCCTTCCACCCACCAGGTTCGGGGATGAGGCGAGCTGGGTTGGGCGCCAGTGTGTAGACCCTGCTGGGGCTCCCCCAACCCCAACACACGCAGGCTTGTGACAAGGGACCTCCCTTTCCTAAGCCTCAACTTCCTCATCTCTAAAAGGAGGGGACGACAGCAGGGCCCCCAACTAGGTGGGTGTGAGGCTTTGGGGACGATGCATGGGAAGCGTGTAGCTGGGTGCTCAGTGGGTTGGGGGTCAGCACGGGGTGTGGGCATGAAGTCCACACGGGGTGTGACCTTCCCTGTTGTCGGCACCCCCTGGGCACCAGGGCACGGCAGGTCAGAGAGGGCCCTGCTCTCATGGGCCCCGGTGAGGAGGGGGCATGGGTGGCAGATCTTGCCCAGGGGCCTCCATGCACACAGAGGGGCGGCCCCGCCTCACCACCCCAACCCTGCCTTTGGGGCCCCCGACCCCCCATCTTCCAGGGGTGTCACTGAACATCCTTACAGGCCTGGAGCCCTCCTGACCCCGGCTGGTGCCCAGACCTGCGCTCTCAGCCTCTCAGGTGGTGCTTCCCGCCAGGCACGCAGGCCCACCCTCTCCTTCCCGCCTAAGCCTCCCTACCAGCTCTGACCCCGCTCGCTCGCAGGGGAGTTCCTCAGATGTCCACACCCTTCTCACCCTCTCCCTCCACCACCAGCTCTGCCCCGCACTGGGGAACTCCCGGGATGTCCTCACCCTTCTTACCCTCTCCCTCCCTCCCACCCAAGGCGCCCCCTCCGCCGCCCCTCGCCCCCAACCCCCACAGCTTGTGGAACTCCCTGGATGTCCGCACACACCCGGGGGGCTTAAGTGCAGGAGGACACTGTGGGGCATTCGAGGCCGCCCAGATGACACTCGGGGCACACATTCCCCAGCACCTGTGCGTTTCATGTATATTCAAAACCTGCAAGGAGTGACTGCTCCCGGGGGTACAGGGTTTCCTTCTGGAGTGAGGAAAAGGTTCTGGACCCAGTGGCAATGGTTGTAATATTCTGAATATACTAAAAACCACAGGGTCATACACTTCCACACAGGGAATTTTGTTGTATGTAAATTATATCTCAAGAACAACCAGAAAAATCCACCTCATTTCAAGCCATAGCCACTTCCCAAATATATATAGGTAGATAGGACCTCAAAGTTGTGATTCTTTTAGGATGTTTTGTTAAGATAAATGTTTTGTTTAGATAAATGAAGTTTTGTTTAGAATATTTTGTTTAGATAGTGAAATGTTAAAAAAAAAAAAGAAATGTTAAGGACTT
Organism: Homo sapiens; assembly: GCF_000001405.40. Lineage (NCBI taxonomy): Eukaryota > Metazoa > Chordata > Mammalia > Primates > Hominidae > Homo > Homo sapiens. The sequence goes on from NC_000009.12 coordinate 130,909,789, forward strand.
TCAAAAATTCTAAAATACTGAGTGAATTTAAACATAGGTAATGATATTGACAGAACCTTCTGAGCTCCTACTTTGTGCCAGGCAGGGACTGTGTCCCAGTGGCAGGAAGGCGTGCGGTTGCCTCCAGGCCCAAACAGGAGCCCTGGCTGGTGAGAGGTGACAGCGTGCTGGCAGTCCTCACAGCCCTCCCTCGCTCTCGGCGCCTCCTCTGCGTGGGCTCCCACTTTGGCGGCACTTGAGGAGCCCTTCAGCCCACCGCTGCGCTGTGGGAGCCCCTTTCTGGGCTGGCCAAGGCCGGAGCCCACTCCCTCAGCTTGCAGGGAGGGGTGGAGGGAGAGGCGCGAGCGGGAACCGGGGCTGCGTGCGGCGCTTGCGGGCCAGCTGGAGTTCCAGGTGGGCATGGGCTTGGCGGGCCCCACACTCAGAGCAGCCGACCAGCCCCGCTGGCCCCGGGGCAATGAGGAACTTAGCACCTGGGCCAGCGGCTGTGGAGGGTGTACTGGGTCCCCCAGCAGTGCCAGCCCACCGGCGCTGCACTCGATTTCTCACCGGGCCTTAGCTGCCTTCCCGCGGGCCAGGGCTCGGGACCTGCAGCCCGCCATGCCTGAGCCTCCCACCCCCTCCGTGGGCTCCTGTGCGGCCCGAGCCTCCCTGACGAGCGCCACCCCCTGCTCCACAGCGCCCGGTCCCATCGAGCACCCAAGGGCTGAGGAGTGCAGGCACACGGCGCGGGACTGGCAGGCAGCTCCACCTGCAGTCCCGGTGCGGGATCCACTAGGTGAAGCTAGCTGGGCTCCTGAGTCTGGTGGGGAGGTGGAGAGTCTTTATGTCTAGCTCAGGGATTGTAAATACACCAATCGGCACTCTGTATCTAGCTCAAGGTTTGTAAACACACCAATCAGCACCCTGTGTCTAGCTCAGGGTTTGTGAGTGCACCAATCAACACTCTGTATCTAGCTGCTCTGGTGGGGCCTTGGAGAACCTTTATGTCTAGCTCAGGGATTGTAAACACACCAATCAGCACCCTGTGTCTAGCTCAGGGTTTGTGAGTGCACCAATCAACACACTGTATCTAGCTGCTCTGGTGGGGCCTTAGAGAACCTTTGTGTCCATACTCTGTATCTAACTAATCTGATGGGGAGGTGGAGAACCTTTGTGTCTAGCTCAGGGATTGTAAACGCACCAATCAGCCCCCTGTCAAAACAGACCACTGGGCTCTACCAAGCAGCAGGATGTGGGTGGGGCCACATAAGAGAATAAAAGCAGGCTGCCCCAGCCAGCCTCGGCAACCCGCTCAGGTTCCCTCCTGCGCTGTGGAAGCTTTGTTCTTTCACTCTTTGGGTCCACGCTGCTTTTATGAGCTGCAACACTCACCGTGAAGGTCTGCAGTTTCACTCCTGAGCCAGCTAGACCACGAACCCACCAGAAGGAAGAAACTCCGAACATATCCGAACATCAGAAGAAAAAAACTCCAGGCGCGCTACCTTAAGAGCTATAACACTCACCACGAGGGTCTGCAGCTTCATTCTTGAAATCAGTGAGACCAAGAACCCACCAATTCTGGACACACTCAGCACCACTGGCCACTCTTGGGAGTTCCATGCCTGGTGTCCCTGGCACCCTTGGGCAGGGTGGGGCCGGGTCCTCCTCTGTCCTCCTGCTGCCTGGGATGCTGCTGACCACCTGCCCAAGCTGGCTTGATTCAGGACAGCCAGCAGGTCCCAGGGTGACCCCGGCAGGAAGTGGCCTCCAAGGGCATGTGGGACCCTCAGCCTTTATGAGCACTGGGAGCCCACCCACGCTGACACTTCCGTTGGCAATGTCTGGCCTCATTCCTTCTGAATGCCTGTCACCTTCATGCATGACACCTGTGAGCTGGCTCAGGTGTGCCGAGGCCAGGGAAACCCAGCCCAAACCCATTCAGGGAGCAGCTGGGACCCAACTGTGTCCGGAAGGCAGGGGGAGGAGGCCCACCTGGGCCGGATGGTGGGTGGGGTGCTCACCTAGCCAGTGCTCCCCGGTGAGCCTGCCAAAGCCGTCTCGGTACGCATCCCAGCCCCGGAAGAAGTTCACGGAGCCGTCCTCCCGGCGCTGAAACACCTGCAAAGGGAAGATGGGGATGGGGCGTTGGCACCGACCATCCCAGGACTCGCAGCCCACCTGGGCCCACCCCGCCCAGAGACTCCCCTCACCCTGCTCCCAACCTGCCCTCTCGGGAGGGCAGGGGCCTGGTTGCCCACTTCCCGCAACGGCCCCTGGCCAGGGGCCTGGAAAACAGCAGAGGTTCCAGAGCCTCATGGTGGCTCGAGGTGGGATTAACCAAATGCCCACAGGCCCCCAAGACGGCTCCTCAGGGAGGAATTCCAGGCCGGGCATGGTGGCTCATGCCCGGAATCCCAGCAAGGAAGGCTGAGCCCAGGAGTTCGAGACAACATAGTGAGACCCCATCTTTACAAAAAATTTAAAAATTAGCCAGGTGTGATGGTGGATGCCTGTAATCCTAGCTACTTGAGAGGCTGAGGCAGAAGGATCCCTTGAGCCCGGGAGGTTAAAGCTGCAGTGAGCTATGATCGTGCCACTGTACTCCAGCCTGGGCTCTCTCTCAAAAAAAAAAAAAAAAAAAAAAAAGTGGGGTGGGCCGGGCACGGTGACTCCCGCCTGTAATCCCAGAACTTTGGGAGGCCGAGGTGGGTGGATCACCTGAGGTCAGGAGTTCGAGACCAGCCTGGTCAACGTGGGGAAACCCCGTCTCTACTGAAAATATAAAAATTAGCCAGGCTTGGTGGCATGCACCTGTAATCCCAGCTACTGGGGAGGCTGAGGCAGGAGAATCGCTTGATCCCGGGAGGCGCAGGTTGCAGTGAGCCGAGATCATGCCACTACACTCCAGCCTGGGTGATAGAGCAAAACTGTCTGAAAAAAAAAAAAGGGAATCTCGGTGGGGTGGAGGAAAGCCGGCTTTGGGGGCATCTCCAGCACTTTGCTCTGGGCTTCGGTTTCCCCAATGGTCAAAGAAAGGGGGGGCAGAGTCTTAATCTTTTTCCAGGTCAAAACAAAACTGACCAAGTCTATCCTCCAGTTTTTAAGAACCAAGAGCACCCCCCACACACCCCAGGCTTGGCCTCCAGAGCCCTGTCCCTCAATAAGCTCCCCTTCCCCAAAACAAGCCTGGGGCAGGGGTCGGGGTGCTGGGAAACCGGAGTCCAGGCGATGGCTCAGGGGAGGACGAGGAGCCCACAGTCAGCGGGGTGTGACTTGGGTACCAACGAGCGCCTGGGCTGCCTCTGTTGTTCATTTTAATAACATTCTTGATTTGGGAGTCAGGAATCCCATCGGTTAAATTGCTTTGAAATGAGTACCACGCTGGCCCGGGCCAGAGCTGCCTGGAGTATTTACAGGATCCGCTGACAATCCGTCCCAGCCGGCCTCCCCAGCCCTCCCAGCCCTCTTTCTGTTTAACAAGCTTTATTCTCCTTTATTCTCCCTGCTTTATTCTCCGAGGCAGCGCCCGCGGCCCGGCCGGCCTCCATCTGTGTCAGAGTCTGATGTGTTAGAGATCTGGCTGCGGCACCGGCGAGCTGCCAGTTTCATTACTAAGCAGCCTGATTTCAGTCGCTCGGAACTGCCCGGATGCCCGGTCTGACCCGAGGCGTCTGCCGCGTGAGCGTTTGCCAATGCTCTGAGCCCTGCTCTGAGCCCTCGGGGACGTGTCCGTCACGGCGTTTGGGCAGCTCTGACGTCAGGGAGCTGGAGGGAGATGACACCTCCTTTTTCGTGCTTTGCTACCTCAAACCTGGCCCAGCTCTGAAATCTGAAAGTCCTCAGGAGTGACCGGCTCGGGGTGGAAGGAAATTCGATCAGGCTCAGGGAGATCTGAGGAGCGGTGGAGAGCCGTATTGATGGCCGCATATTGGGACCCTGAGCACGCACCTTTTCAAAGGCCTAATCCTAGCAGAAGCTCAGGCACTCCCCTGAGAAGGCAGCGGGCAGTAGGAGCCTGTTTCCGCAGGAGGAGGGGAGCTAGAGGGACCGGCAGGCCCGAAGCCCCCTGGGATGCCTGGCTGGCATTGGCCGTCGGCTGGGCCTCTGCCCTGGGGACTGGGGACCTGGGCATGCTCAGTGGTGAAGGAGTTCCTGAAGGCAGGGGAGCCCAGTGGTTGTGGATCTGGGTTCCAGGGCCCCAGCTTTGCCTTAGAGAGCCCTGGCAAGTCCCCACACCTCTCCAGGCCCCAGCACCCACGTCTGTAAAGCAGAGATCACAGCCACGCCTTCCTCCCAGGCTATGACCATCCACCGAGAATAAGCTCAGGCCTGGCACATAGTAGGTGTTCAGCAAGTGCCAGCTGGGTGGCTAGCCACAGCACTGAGGCCCAGGCCTGGGCGAGGGCTCCTGCCTCCTCTGCTCCTCTCCCAGACTCTGGCCTCCACCCTCCCCCAGCCCTCCCGAGGGGTCTGTCCCAGCCTCTCATTCACACAGATGTTCCACCGAGCATCTCCTGCCAGGCACCAGCTGCAAAAGCCAAGTCAGTGGATACGAGGTCACGGTTCTGCCCTTGGGGACCTTAGGGCAAAGGAACAGAGGAGACACCCGTGCTCAGGGGACCCCAACCGTGCAAGAGGCAGGACAGACTTGGAGGTTGGGGAGAGAACAGGTCTGCCCAGCAGGGTGGCCCTGGAGGAGGGGCAGGGTCCTGGGCCCTGTGTCAGCCTGCTGGGCGGGGCAGAAAATGCAGGGAAGTAGGCCACAGTGCGGGTAGTGGGGAGACCCCAGCAGCCAGTGGGCGTGCCCAACCAGGGGCAGGTGAGCTGATGTACAGGTGCCCAGCTGTGCCTCTTCCTAAAGGCTCAGAGGAACCATCCAGAATGAGAGCAAGAAGCCCCGGTAGCCCAGACCACAGCCTCCGAGAGGATCCCCCAGGCTCTGCCTCCAGCGCTCACTCCCACCACTGGGACGCCTGGAACCAATGCTGCCATTTACGTAACTCGCCAGACCCCAGCCCTGCCCTGACTCTTCAGGATGTGGCAGGAGGGGCTGTTCCTGCCCCTGCGTCCCAGCTGATGGGATGATGGGCAGTCGAGACTCAGCTCGGGGGCTGCGTGCTCTCTGCGTGCCCATGTCCCTCCCCAAACCCTTTCCCCGAGCCCAGGCACCCCACCCTTACAGGGCCGAAGCTCGGACACTGGCCAGCGGCCAGGCGGCCGTGAGCAGCAAAAAGCGGGGGCCGACTACATCTTGTGCCCTCAGTCCCACGACAGTCTGGACCTACCCTTGCCACCAGCGCCTGAAGGCTAATGTCCTGACACCATGTCCACACTCGTGCTTGGTGGCAGGTCCACTGACCAGGATGGCTGTAGCCTTGAGTGTGCCCCTCTACCCAGGCTTCTGGTGCCAAGAGCTGGTCCCTGCACCCACAGTCCTCAGCCCCCTCTTTCCCACTGCCCTCTCAGTCTGGGTGCCAGTTACAGTGACCCCACCATCCCCCAGGGCTCCTCCTTGGTGCCGATCAATTGGGGTGAGCACACCTGGCCCCCTGCCTTTGCCTCTGCCCAAGGAAGGACACTGAAACCACATACGGCCGGCACTCCTGTCCAGGTAGCCCGAATCAACGCCCACTTAGAAACTGCAGCAATTGGCCAGGAGCGGTGGCTCACGCCTGTAACCCCAGCACTTTGGGAGGCCGAGGCAGGCAGATCTCCTGAGGTCAGGAGTTCGAGACCAGCCTGGCCAACACGGTGAAACCCCGTCTCTACTAAAAATACAAAAATTAGCCGGGCATAGTGGCAGGTGCCTGTAGTCCCAGCTACTTGGGAGGCTGAGGCAGGATAATCACTTGAACCCAGGAGGCGTGGTTGCAGTGAGCCGAGATCGCGCCACTGCACTCCAACCTGAGTGATAAGAGCGAGACTCTGTCTCAAAAAAATAAAAAAATAAACTGCAGCAACTGTCGGCCAACGTGGGCACTTTTAACGTGTGCAGTGACGGATTGCGGACCTGCTCTTAAGGCGCCAAGACACATCTGTGGTCTGGCCTTGAAGAAGTGACCTGCAGACTGACCATGTCCCAGAGAGATGCAGCCGACGTCACCACACAGGCACACGCATCCAGACTCCAGACTTAGCTTAATGCAGAAGGACGTGCATAGATATTTTCTTTTTTCTTTTGACACAGAGTGTTACTCTGTCACCCAGGCAGTGCGGTGGCACGATCTCAGCTCACTGCAACCTCTGCCTCCCAGGTTCAAGCAATTCTCTGCCTCAGCCTCCTGAGTAGCTGGGATTACAGGCACCTGCCACCATGCCCGGCTAAGTTTTTTGTATTTTTAGTAGAGACGGGCTTTCACGATCTTGGCCAGGATGGTCTTGAACACCTGACCTTGTGATCCACCCACCTTGGCCTCCCAAAGTGCTGGGATTATAGGCGTGAGCCACCGCGCCCAGCCTTAGTGCACTGATATTTTCTATCATGTTCTATTCCACTCTATTTGATTGAAAAAATAATGTTGATCAAACCCATTCAGTTGATTTTGCCAGTGACCCACGGAGTACGCCCGCAGTTTGGGAACCACTGACAGCCTTTGCCACGGGCTGTCCTGATTTCTTGGTTCACACCCCAAGTGACTGCCTGTGCCGGGCCCTGTGCTAGGATCTCGGGCTTGGAAACCCTGCCCCGACCTCGAGCCAATGACAGCCCAACGTGGCCTGACTAGTGCAAGTGCCGAGCACGGCCCAGATCGTCAGGTGGGTCCTCCCAGCTTCCCGTGTGGGGGAATGTTTAGTCTGACTCTGAGCCCAGGATAAACTGCAGCTGTGGCTTTGTATTTCTGGCAAACAGCTTCAGCGACACTGGACCTTGGTGACGCCAGATGCCTGGATGTGGCCAAGCACAGAGGGCTTTAATTACACAGCGAGGACCAGTGGGATGGGAGGACAGAGGGAGGAAGTAAGGAAAGGATCCAGGCGTCCACTTCCCCTTCTTTCTGCCCCACCCACCGAACGTGAATCCCCACTAGGCAAAAAGGGGTGGGGAGTCTGGGCGCGGTGGCCCACGCCTGTAATCCCAGCACTTTGGGAGGCTGAGGCAGGCACATCACTTGAGGTCAGGAGTTCGAGACCAGTCTGGCTAATATGGTGAAACCCCATCTCTACTAAAAATACAAAAATTAGCTGGGTGTGGTGGCAGGCGCCTTTAATCCCAGCTACTCGGGAGGCTGAGGCAGGAGAATCACTTGAACCTGGGAGGCAGAGGTTGCAGCGAGCCAAGATCACACCACTGCACTCCAGCCTGGGCAACAGAGTGAGACCTCGTCTTAAAACAAAACAAAACAAAATGGAGGCGGGGAGCAAAAGGTAGGGAAACAAAAATTACTGATTCATTTTCAGGCCAAAATATGAATTGGTCCAGCTCCGGGGGGGCGTCTCTCTTGGGTCCCGGCTGGAAAACGATTGAGTAGAAACACTCGCCGCAGCCGCAGCCTCTTGGGCAGATGCCACGAGTGGGAAGACAGACAGAGAGTGTTTTCTTGGTGCGGATTCTCAGAAGCCCGCCGCCCGGCGCACCTTGGAAGTGCCGCTTAGAGGGGCTCTGCCAAGGGAGAGCTGGGCCCACATGGTCCTGCAGATGGTGCTGGGCGGGTTCAAAGGAAGGAGTGACGGCTCTGGACATGGAGGAAGGAGTGACAGCTCTGGACGCGGAGGAAGGAAGACAGCAGCAGCCACCGACGGCCCTGTGTTGTCAGATGGGGCCTGGGGACCGAGGGAGGCGGAGATGCCTCTGGGCCGCTGCAGCCTTACACTCCGCAGGTTGCATCCCGCCCAGGGCTGCCTCTGCAGACAGACCCTGACCAACCAGCTGCTGCTTTGCCACTGTGCCCAGAACATGCAGCTAGCGTCCTGAGCACTGAGCTGGGCTCTGTGGTCACCCTAGCACCCGGCCAGTGCCGTAGAGGATGACCACGGCCTTCCCCGCCACAGCCCTGGAGGGACGACTGGTGCTCCCATTAGGCAGATGAGAAGACTGAGGCTTGGAGGAGTGGGCAACCCAGGTGCGCAGGGCTGAGATGGCCAGAGGAGTGGGGATGAGAGTGCACGCTCAGTCCCAGGGAGCTCCCTGGGCTGGCACCCAGGAGACCTGAGTTCTACCCAGACTCCAGCCAACAGGATACGTGGCTTCTCCCCTGCAAAACAAGGGCTCCTGCACAGCACCCCGTGTGTGCTCGGGGCTCACAGGGATGACCTTGGCCCTCAAAGCTCACAGCCCCATGAGAGACGACGCACAAGCCAGCAGCCATAGGGCAGAGCAGCTCCCACCCTGGCACATTCCTCCAAACCCCAGGCTTCAGTTTCCTCATCTGTAAAGCTAGGATTATAAAAGCCTCAACCCACAAAGTTTTGATGAGAATTAAATGTGCTGGTGCACAGCATTCAACAGAGCTTGCTGGGAACCCTGAGAAGGAGTGAGTCCCTCTGCTGGGGCAGTTGGAGGTGGTTATCTGGGAGGGCTCCCTGGAGGAGGACATGCCTGGCTGAATGGAACATTAAGCAGAGCCTTGCCAGCTGGGCAGAGGAGCTGAAACCCAAGGAATGGGGGGTGGGTGGGTCCAAACCCTATGAGACTGGGAGAGAGGGTCTCCGATGCCTTAGAACGGCCCCCTGGAAGCAGCAACTGCGGTTTTTCCTAGACTGTGATGAAACTGCTGCAGAAACCAGTTACAGACAGGACTGTCTTGGTTGTGGAGCTGTGGCCTCTCCCAGCCTCCCGGGCTTTCTGATCAGGTGATTCTGGGAGGGGGGCAGAGGGGTCCTGGCAGAGGAGGATGCATGTTTTTAAAGAACAAAGAACTTGGATGTGTGAGCTACGGCAGCCCTTCAAAGGCAGCCCTGGGGCGGCTCTGCGGCATTCCCAGGAGTCTGGCTTTCCCTTAACTCCTTTCTGGACACCTCTGGGCAGTGCCCCCAGGGAGGCCTCTGGGCTCAGTCAGGAACAAGGCAGAGCTGAGTTCAAATCCTGACTACCTCTCACAGGCCACGTGACCTCGGACAGGTTGCAGAACCTTTCTGAGTCTGTTTCTCTCTGCATAAGCCCGCGCAGGGCCGGTGGGGAAGAGGCAATCAAGTCAATGCGTAAACGGACGGCGCACAGTAGGCCTAACCAACATCACCACCCTCCCTGCAGAGCCAGCTGCTGAGCCCAGAAGGAAATCGGACCCACTCCTTGTTTTTGACTGAAAACGGTACCCCCAGGCTTGGCGCCCTGCCGTCATTCCCAGGCTTGGCAGTCGGCGCCTGCCGGCTCTTGGCACAGCACTGCCAAGCTGCCGTTTCTCGGGTGCTGAGCCACGGCGGGCGCGGGGCTGGGCCCTGCACGTGCATTGTCCTGTTTCTGTTCAAAGTTTGAAAAACCCAAACTGCTCCCCACGGAGGCACGCTTTCTTTGCACGATGAACGAAGGAAATGTGAGGGTGTTGTCCCCGGTCACCGGTCACCTCGCCATTATGAATGTGTGTGTGCTCTGAGGACCATTCCCCAGGCAGGGTGTGGGCCAGGCAGTAGCGTGGGGACACTGTGGCCCACCAATGTCACAGCAGATCCCCTGCCACCACTGCCTCTGGGACAAGGAGGGCCGGCCGCAGCTGCAGCCCAAGTAGGAAGGAGCTAACATCTCATCTGTTGGACCCCGAGGTCCTGCTGCTCAGCCTCCCCGGCACAGGGGTCCAGGCTGGCACCTGGGGAGGCCCCAGGAGCTCTTCATCCCTCCCTGAGCCTGAGCCTGCTGTTGGGCTCCTCTGACGTTCTCCATGTGAGGGCAGGATTTTCCTCCCGGCCTAAAGAGCTCAGGTGGGGGGATGTGGGGGCTCCTTTCCAGGGGAGCCAATTACAGGCAGATGTGAACTGGCTGACCTCGCACAAAGGAAGCACCTGGCGGAGAACAGGGCTGCAAAGAACAGGGTTTGGGCCACTTGGCACCGTGGTGTTGGGGGACGTTGGCTGTGCCTGGGAGCGGAGCAGGTAGGTATGGGGTCCTATCATGGCCACTCCAAGTCCCTGCTGAAGGACATGTTGATCTGGACCTCACGTGTGTGACCCCAGCCAGTGACTATGCAATGTTGAGGGCTTGGCAGTCAGGCCTGGGGGGCAGCACTGCCCCCGGCAGATTGCAGTGGGGACAAGACTGTGCGGCAGGGCAGGGAGGCTGGGTGGGGGCGGGGAGCCCAGGCACTGAGGCTGAGCAGGGGCCCTCCTTCCGCCCACCTGCAGGTTCTGGGCACAGCCAGCCCATTCCCCAGGCCCTGAAAGGCAGGCAAGAGGGCCGCCCCACTGGACAGATGAGCAAGGGGCCCTCCAAGAAGGGACGTGACCCTGGCATCTCACACAGCCAGGGGCGCTGGGGGTGGGGGCTGTGGGCTGGCAATGGCTGGCTTCATCCCACTCGGCACCTTCTGAATAAGGACATCTGGCCTTTCTTTTTACCACTCCGCCTCCCCTTGATTATAAGATGCTACAAGGCAGAGCCAGATCCTGTGTTCACAGGGAACCCCCAGGGCTCAGCACTGACTCCCTCCCAGCCCCGCTCCCCGCTCACTCCTCACAGATGAGCAGCCTGTGAAGGGTTCTGACTTGTCCCCATCTGCAGAGCGGCTCTATATGGTACCCATTTTACAGATGAGAAAAGCGAGACTTAACAGAGGTAAAGCTACACAGCCAAAGGGTGCCAACAGCCATCATCTGGCAAGCATTTAGAGAGTGCCGAGGGTGTGCAGGTGCGGTGCCCACCCTGAGCTAACATGGCCACAGGAGGGTGTGGTCCCTGCCCCTGGGACTCCTGACACGGAAGGGCAGGACCTGTGATGGGGGTGATGATGGGGCCTGAGGACCACCTGCCGCCTCCCCTGCCGCCAAACCTCCTTAAACCAGATAGGCCAGTAGCACCAAGCCACCGTGGCCCCCAAACAAGCCATACCGTCTCCCTGCCCCTCACTCCTCCCACCCCCTACACTGGAACAGGGGTCTGTCCTCTGGGCCCTGGGGCTCCCCATCCCTGGCACAAGTCGGCTTCCTTGTCCTTCTGTCCACCAGGCTGGGAGCCCGCTGAGCTGTCTCGTCGCTGCTGACCTCCCTGACCCCGGCTTGCTTTAGGCATTCAAGGTTTGAACACAAGAATGAGCGTGTGCCACTGTGGGAGGCCTGGAGGCTGCTGGGTGACCTCGGGCACATCCCTGGCCTTCTCTGAGGCTGCCCTGCCTGCCTCCAGGGATTGAAGGGCGCTGGCGTGATGCCGGGGGTGGGGGGCAGGGGTGTATGAACTGTAAAGTGGCCCTGGGGACAGGCTGCTGAGTTGCACCCTTGCCCACACAGGTCCCTCCGGGAAGCAGGCTCTGGTGAGACTGTCCAGCCCCAGGGTCTCGGGGCACAGTTCCAGGTGCCCTGTCCTCCAGGAAGGATCAGGTGGCATTGGCGCTGAAGGCCTAGCAGTTCGGACAGGGAGTCTAATGAGGATGGATGGTATCCAGGGCTGGAGAGGTGGCAGCCAGCTCCTTCCCAAACAAAAACTGAGTTTCTGACGGATTCCATGTGGCGGGGGGTGATCCTGACAGATGTCGAGAGGTTCCTGGGAAAAGATTGCTTCTGATGGAGGCCCAAATGGATATTAATGCTCACTGGCCAGGCAAGCACTTCTCAGATGAGAATGGCCTCTCTCCCAGGGCCCCCGGAACCGGGTGTCTGAGCGCCAGGGCTGGCGGGGATTTCCTCATCGACTCCCCTCTAATCGCCCCTGAAGCTGAGTCCGTCGGAATGACCGGCCTCCCAGCCCAAATCCTGATTGACTTCCCGGGAGATTGGCTTCATGTCCACCAGAGTGGAAGACGCATGGCCCGCTCCGGCGTCCTGATCTTTCATTAAGCCTGTCCTGACCCTGAACTCTGATTTCTGGGTTCGGCTGGTGCCTCCTCACTGTTCCGCCCGCCAAGGGGTTCCCAGAAGCAAATGCCATAACTCAGACGTTCTTGGCGTTAGGAAAACAAAAGAGCTTTTATCCCCCAGACGCAGCTCCAGTACATTTTTAAAAGCTCTCCTCTGGAGCTTGAAGACAGGTTTAGAGATGTGTCTGTCTTTGGGGTCTTGTGGGGATTCTCATCTGCGCACGCTGACTCCTAACATAGCAGGCTCTGCCTTGCTGGCGGACTCGTCCCTCCACCGGCCGCCTGTGCGGGCCTCCCCGCGTCCTGCCTCTGCTGGGGACCGCTGACCCCTTTCAAAACTGACCCAGGCTGCCTGCACCCCTGCCTCCCCCAAAAACTCCCCGCCAAGAGGCTTCCCTCTCTCCTGTTTCTCGGTCACTTGTTTTGTCTGATGTTAAGCCCTTCCCCCAGATGTTTGTGGGCCTGGACATCAATACACCAAAAATAGTCAGCACCAAGATCCCAGGCGAGATGCGTCCCGCACTCAGTGGCAGCAGCCCTGGGGCGGTGGGGTTCTCACCGGCCCACCCCCGGGCCTGGTCTGGGGTCTCTGTTCCTGGCTAAGCAGGCCTGACTGGCATCGCCGGCCTCCCAGTCTCTCTCCAGCACACTTCTTCTCAGCTGAGCCCCCCACTTTCTTGTGCTTGCAGTTAAGAGGTCTAAGGATGTAGGTGGGCATCCCCGTTTCACAGCTGAGGAAACGGGGGCTCAGAGAACCGAGGTAAGTTGCCCCAGGTCACACAGCAGGACTCAGAGCCATGCCTGGGGCAGCCTGTGGATGACAGGGCCAGAGCGTGGAACCTCCAGGCTCCCCGCCTCTCTGACATCTGCTGTCGGGGTCCCATCATAGACCTGTGGACTGAACGGTCGAAACACCTCCTCCCCGTCCCTCTCCCCACTGCCCAAGGATGCACACCGCCAAGTCACCTCTCCTGAAGCACAGTCCCCATCCCGTCTTCCTCTCTTCAACACCCCCAGTAGCTCCCGACTGTGTGTCCCAACCCTGCAGCCTGGGGCTGGAACACTCCAGCCTCATCTCATCACGCACCACAAATCCCTCGGGCCCTGCTCCTCAGATGTTCCCTGGTAGCCGCGTTAGGTTGCCCCCTCCTCCTGGAATACCTTCTCCTTCCTGCCCGCACTCAGAAATCCTCCCTGCTTTAATGGCTCATGAGAAATGCCCCCTTCTCCAGGAAGCTTTACCCTCCCCTCTGCTACAGTGACTTCTTCCGCCCCCAATGCCCCCTGGCGTGTAAATTCCTCGGGAGGACTGGGACAGGGGCTTCTCCATCTCTGTGCTTCCCCGGAACCCAGTATACAGTAGGTGCTCAAAAATGTCTGTCCAACTGAAATGAAATGTGAAGCTGAGAAGCCTTAAAGAGCCAGTCCTCCTGGTCTTCAAAGCAGGGCGTCTGCCCCATTCTCCCAGCACCTTCTGTGGTCCCGCCCCTGCCCTGTGACTGGCAGTTGGGGCATCTCGCTCCTGTTTCCCACCCAGGCAGGAACCAGGAGGTGCAGGAATCAGACAGCACTTGTCAGCCCATAGCTGTGGGGGGTCTCTGCTCCTCCAGCCACACTCCTCCTTTTTCTTCTGCACACGCGCCGTGTATTGGGTAGTTCAAAAAGCCGGGCGCCCACACACATCAGCCCTGGAACCCACGTTAGCAACAGGTTCCTGCTGCCATGTGTCGTCCTAGGCCCAAACCCCGCCCCACCCCCTGCTGGAAGAGCCACAGCTGGGGATCTCAGGGAGCCCAAGGTGGCTCCTGCCTAATGTCCGCTCCAGAGTGGGTACCCCAGGGTCAGCTCACAGAGTCCCCTGTTCCCCTCTTCTGTAGGGGTGGGGTCAGGCCAGGCAGAAGGGCACCAGGGCAGGGCCAGTCCACAGATCCATGGTGGAGGGCTGGGTAGGAAGCTGCTCGGAATGCCCGGGTTCAGGTACACAGCCTCACGGTCCCCGGTGCCTGCCCTGCCGCCCGCCCAGCCTGGGACACTCACCGTCCAGCCGCCGCCGTCCGTGCGCATGTCACAGTACACCTGGAAGCCGGCCGGGTAGTGGGTGGGAAAGACAGAGTAGACGCCATCGTCCTGCTGTCCGCTTAGGAGGACGTCCAGACAGTCTCGGGGCCGGGAGCCTGAGGGAGGCAAGGCTGTCAGGGTGGCTGCGGCCCCAGCACGTTCCTGCCCAGCCCCCTGGCCAAACTGTCTGTCCATCGATAATGCATGTGGGGTCCCATGGGGTTGAGAGAGCACTGGCCTTGGAGTCCGACCTTGGCTCTGCCACTCCCTGCTGTGGCTGGGTGAGAGAATCACCCTCTCTGGGACTTACTCTCCTCATCTGGAGAATGGACCGAGAGGGCTTCAGCGCAGGCCACATGGAAGTAGGGTCGGGCCCTGGAGTCTCATGGCTGGGGAACCCTCACCCCAACTTCCCCGCTCCCCAGAGCTGGGACCCGAGGCACCGGAGGAAGGCAGGCCCTGCCCCACTCACCAGTGGCACAGCCCCGGGGCCGGGTTCCCCGGGCAGGCGCTCTCTGAAGGTCGGCCTTGTTGCGGGGCCGGCCCAGCCCCCGGTCCCTCTGCAGGGCATCCAGGATGTCGCTGACGGAGTTCACCAGGTGAGCCATGTGGCCCTGGCTCTCAGAGAGAAGCTGCGGAGCACAGGGGGTGAGCCGAGGGGGCAGGGGCTCTGTTGGGGGTGGGGTGGCGCACATAGCAGGTCACTGGCCAGAGTGGGCCCTCTCCTGAGGCAGAGGTGGGCTTCTGGCTCAAGGCCCCGCCCTGCCCTGCCCCTTGGGTCCCTGTCCAAGGTGGTCTGAGGGGCCAGCCAGGCTATGATGGAGCCTGTGCTCTGGGGCCTCGAGGGCTGGGAGGGCCGGGGAGCAGGCGGGAGGGGAAGGAGGCTCCAGCAGGCACCTGCCACCCCTGCTGCCCCAGGCTGCGTTCTTCGGCCATCTCTTCGGCCCAGGGAAGAGTAAACTGGAGGAGGCCGTGCCAGGTGGGGAGAGAGTGCCCCGTGTTGGGCAAATCCAGCTGGAGCCCAACACGTCCACTTGCCGGTTATATGACTAGGGGCGAATGTCCTCACCACGCCTCGTCTCCCCTGGCCTGGCCAAACTGCTATGGGGACCAGTGACAACACATGGGAGGTGCCCAGCACAGCGGCAAGGACCGGCCGGGTACTCAGCACACCAAGTTCCCACAGCACCTTCCAGGCTACCAGACATCCCCACCGCTGCCTCTTCCGATCCCGAGCAAGGCTGCTGAGGTAGGAGTGATTGATCTGCACTTGACAGAGGGGTGCCCTGAGGCTGGGGAGGCCACAGGAGCCTTTGCGCAGCCCCTCAGGCTTCTGGACCAACAAGGCTCCCCCGTCCCACCCCCACTCCCCATGCAAACATCACTCTGAGTTTCTGGGGCTCTCCGATGTCCATGACCTCACTGGGTCCCCCACCACGCTGCAAAGAGGGAGGACTTCAGGTTGTCATCTCTTGTGACAAATGGAGAAACTGAGGCCCCGAAAGAGCAATCCCTGAGAGCGAAGGATGGCACTGGGGGCAGGGACCAGGACTCAGGCCACTTCCCTAGGGCGGGCTGGCAGGAAAGGGGCCCGGGGCTGTGTTCTTGTGTAGGAGACCAGGGTCAGGGTGGGGACGGGGCGGTGGTTTGGACCCAGGTTCTGGTGTTGACTGTCTGTGTTTTGACTCCAGTCCCTCCCCCGTTCACTAGCTGCGTGACCCCGGAACAGTGTCCGAATCTCTCCACGTCTCCATTTCCTTGTAACCCAGGATAATGAGCCCTGTTTCTCTGAGCGGGGGGATTCAGGAGAGCCTGGGCTGGGGAGCTCAGCCGTTGTTCTCCATCCTTCACCCCCGCCCCTCCCTCCAACACAGCCCTGGGGTTGGAGCTTGGCAAGCGCAATGCTGTCCCCCAGCGCCTCTGCCTGTGTTGAGTGCCTGAAGGGTCTGAGGTCTCTTGCCCCCACCCTGGGCTTCAGGAGGCTGCAGGACCACGTGGAGGGTGAGGGGGTAGTGGGCAAGCTATAGCTGGCCAGCCAGTGAGCATGGAGCCGGCCGGGTCTTTATACACCTAACATGTCACTTGCCAGATAATAGCCCATTCGTGGAAGGAAAATAGAAATATACAGTGCCGGCAGTTTACAAAATATGATTCCCGGCTCGTCCAGAGGCAGGGGCCCTGCAAAGCTTTTAGTTTCCCTGTCAGTTTCCCCTCTGCTGAGCAGGTGATTCAGTGAGGGCTGAGGCCAGGGGAGAGAGGAGCAGAGATGGGCAGGCAGGGCGTTTGGGTTTCACGGCAGCATCCTGTAGACGAGCTCCACTGGGCACGCCCCACAGAGGGACACAGGCAGCACACCCCAACCGGGGCAGGAGGGAAGACGGTAGGTGGGGGCCGCCGTGCGATGTGTGTGCGGCAAACATCACTTGGTTAAGTCACACTGGTACTGCCCATTTATCTGAGTCAACACGGCCACAACGCACTAAAAAAAACTCAGGCACGGCCTCCTCCCTCTTGCTAACGGGCAGGGAAGACCTCTGTTTAAACCAGCAGATGATTAAAGTTGAAAATGTACATATAAACATGCCCCGAATTAATGGGGAAGTGAGTCCCTGCTTGCCGAGCTGCAGAGGCGCATCAGGGGAGGGCTGGACAGCGCTTAGCGGTAGTGGTGTCAGAGCTGCTGTCCCCGGCACTGCTTAGCTGTGTGAGTGAGCTTGCACACGCACCTGTCACTCAGAGCCTCAGTCTGCCTCTCCATAAAATGGGATAACAAGGCCGGGTGTGGTGGCTCACGCCTGTAATCCCAGCACTTTGGGAGGCCAAGTTGGGTGGATCACCTAAGGTCAGGAGTTTGAGACCAGCCTGGCCAACATGGTGAAACTCTGTGTCTACTAAAAATACAAAAAAATTAGCCGGGCGTGGTGGCGGGCGCCTGTAGTCCCAGCTACTCAGGAGGCTGAGGCAGGAGAATCGCTTGAACCTGGGAGGCGGAGGTTGCAGTGAGCCGAGATTGAACCACTGCACTCCAGCTGGGTGACAGAGCGAGACAACCGTGTCTCAAAAAATAAATAAATGAATTAAAATAAAATAAAATGGGATAACAAATGTACTAACCTCCTGGCGTTATGGGGCTGCAAAGTGCCTATTAACGCGGAGCCCAGCACATGGTATAGGCCTATCACTCCTACCAGAAAAGGGATTTTCGGCCCAACACAGTAATCTTAGCACGTGGGGAGGCCGAGGTGGGTGGATTGCTTGAGGCCAGGAGTTTGAGACCAGCCTGAGCACCATAGCAAGACCTCTCTACAAAAAAATTTTAATCAAAAAAATTAGCTAGACATGGTGGTGCACACTTGTAGTGACTGCTACTTAGAAGGCTGAGGTGGGAGGATTGTCTGAGCCCAGGAGGTGGAGGTTGCAGTAAGCCCTGATTGTGCCACTGCTCTCTAGCATGGGTGACGGAGTAAGACTGTCTCGAAAAAAAAAAAAGAAAAAAGAAAAGGGAGTTTTCAATAGTGGCATGGTGGCTCCCTATAGGTTTAAATTTCAGCTCACAAACAATTTCTACTATAATAATAAGGAGACGTTGATGGTGCAGACCATGAGTATCCCCCACGTGACAGAGCCAGCCAAGCCCTGTAGCCAGGCGCTCCAATATCCCCTCAGCATAGACTGTGTTATGCACATCTCACGGGTGACAAGACCCAGCCCAGAGAGGGGAAGCAACCTGCCCGGCATCCCACAGCTGGCACAGATGGGGCCTGGACTGGATCCCAGCTCTGCGGACTCACACCCTCAGGGCAGAATGGCTCAGCTCAGCCGTGACCAGCAGGCCTCAGGGACTACACATGAGAATCAACCCCGGCTGGGGGGCTGCAGGGGGTTGGGGATGAGGCCCAGGAACTTGCCTTTTCCTTTTTTTGAGACAGAGTCTCGCTCTGTTGCTCAGGCTGGAGTGCAGTGGCGTGATCTCGGCTCACTGCAACCTCTGCCTTCCGGGTTCGAGCAATTTCCCTGCCTCAGCCTCCTGAGTAGCTGGGATTACAGGCGCCCGCCTGGCTAATTTTTGTATTTTTAGTCGAGACGGGGTTTCACCATGTTGGCCAGGCTGGTTTTGAACTCCTGACCTCAAGTGATCTGCCCGCCTCGGCTTCCCAAAGTGCTGGGATTACAGCATGAGCCACTGCACCTGGCCGGGAAGCTGCCTTTTAACAAGCACCTCTGGCGATTCCAACCCAGGCTGCCTGTAGGCACAGCTTTGAGAAACCCACATCTGTGCTGATCAGCTGAGGGTCTGGGAAGCTTGGAAGGGAGGAGTTAGGAGCACGGCTCGCTGCCTCTGAATGAAACATAAAGACCCACTGTCTCTTGAATCATCCAGTCTGTGGGGAATGAGTCAAATCAAACATTTTTGGGGAAGTAAATATGTCAGGTGAGCTGGCACTCCTGGGCCCAGAAAGGCTGTTAGTCTTGTGGGAATACTCTGTACCTCTGCGCAGGCTATTGGGAGGGCAGGACTCTGGGGTCCCTCCTTCTAAATACCCCACCCCAGCTCTAAGGGTGGGCCTTCATGAACTGGGCCTGAGCTGACCAGGGGCTGAGCAATTTGGAGTGAGGTGGGGGTCCCAGGTCAGCCAGAAAGTCAGGAGGTACCCCCAGCCCCCAGCCCTGCTGATGAGGCCTGGGGAAGTTGCACATGGAGGGGCAGCTGGAAGGCGGTCTAAACATCCCTCTACCCCGGGAGGGGGAAGCCACCTTCCCATCAGTCACCCAGACAGGGTGATGAGGACTGTAATTTCTCCAGCTGCTGCCTTCAAAGGGAGGGAAAGGGCCCATTGCTCATGAGCAGCTGAGTGACCAAATGCCTGGATCTCTCAGTGGCTGCTGGGGGCGGTGGGGCGGAAGGGGCTTGGGCGCCCGTGGGGGCAGGGGCTTGGCTCCTAGCCTCCAGGGATCTGAGTCACCGGGAGAACGTGGCACAGGGCCAGGGGCCGGGCAGGGCTCCAGCAGGGGCTGGATTCCAGGTCTGACCTGGCCACGGCACCCAGGAAAAATCACCACCCATTTCTAGGCCACCATTTTCTGTCTTGGAAAATGGTGGAGGCAGATGAGACGATCCCAAATCCCTCATCCTATGAAGGAGGAACTTCTTGTGGGTGGTGCTTCCAGCATGGTCTCAGAGCCGAAGCTGGAAAGCCTTCACCCAGACCCACCTGGAGCTGGCTGGAGCCTGGCTTGGCTGGGGGCAGGGGTGGGGAGGGTGGAGGTGGTTTGGGACAGGCTAGGGGTCTGGCTGGGCTGCCTGGACTGGTCTCTCTGTCCCTGGGAAGCTGTGGGTATTGCATGGTGTGAACTGGGAGGGGGTATGGAGAGATGGGGTGCGGCTCTGAGGGGGTAGCACTGATCAGCCACATGCCCTTCAGCAAGTCGCATCCCCTCTCTGAGCCTCGATTTGCTCCTGATGGGGGAATGCCCTGCCTCACCTGTACCCTGGAGCACTGGGGAAGCCCCAAGCCCTGGATTTACTGAGTGCCAAGTGCCGTGGGGTGCTGTACAGTTTACCGGGTCACCGGGAAAGAAACAGGATTTGAATCCTGGCTCCCAGTAGCTGTGCGGCCCTGGATGAGTGACTGCGCCTCCCTGAGCTTCATGGGCTTGTCTGTAGATGGGAACAGCAGTAGCCCCTTGTCTGGGGCCTTGGGGATTAAGTGAGGCCATGGACATCAGGCGCCTGGCACATGGCAGCAGCAGCACCAACCCCTCGCCTCCAGCAAGACCCCAAGATGCAGACCCCAGCCCTACCTGGATGAGGCGGCCCTGCTCACTCTGCAGGGCGCTGAGGCCCTGGCCCAGCGTGCCATGCCCCTTCCGCAGCCCCATGCACTCCGTCTGCAGCTCTGAGGCTCGGGCCAGCAGCCGGGGCAGCTGGTCGGCCAGCGTGTCCAGCAGCTCCTGCTCCTGGTCGCCCACCAGCCGTGGCTGGGCCTGGTGCTCTGTCAGCGCCTGCAGCACCGAGGCCTGGGCGCTCTCCAGGCGTGCGAAGCTGTCGGTGAGGTCGGGGCAGCGCGGGTCAATGAGGATGCTGAGGTGCGAGCTGTCCGCCCTTTCCACAGTGACCAGGGCGCTGTTGGCGCTGGCAGCCCCAGTGCTGACGACAGGTGGGGGCGCCGTGCCCGGCGCGTGGGCGTGGTTCAGGAAGAGCACGGCACCGGTGACAGCTACAGCCAGCAGCACAGCCAGGGCCAGCAGCACGGTGCACAGCACGTAGCCGCAGCTCGGCCGCTGCAGGCCCGCCCGGGACGCACAGACACAGACAGACAGACGGGAGAGAGAAGGGGCCAGCATTAGAGGCATACCTGGGGTCAGAGGACCCCCTTCTTGGGGGGCTGGGCAAGGGCGTGGCACAGAGACTGAGATGAGACAGGCACTGAGAGACAGTCCAAGGGGAGACAGAGAGACAGGGACAGCCACAGATGCAGTGAGAGGGACACAGTGAGCGCCTCAGGGAGAAAGTGGAGAGAGACAGAGCCCCAGAGGGGAGGTGGAGACATAGGGAGAGACGGGGAGACGCGGGGAGACGCAGGGAGATGCAGGGAGACACAGGGAGACGCAGGGAGATGCGGGGAGACATGGGGAGATGCGGGGAGACGCGGGGAGACACGGGGAGACATGGGGAGATGCGGGGAGACGCAGGGAGACGCGGGGAGATGCAGGGAGATGGAGACGGACAGGATGGGAAATAGAAACTGAGGCAGAAAGACACAAAGACACAAGCAGAATGCCAAGCCTTCCCTCTCGCTGCCCCTGCCACCCACCTCCCCCCATGCCCTGCACAGTGACAGCCCAGGGACCCACGGTCACCTGTGTGTGTGGCCGTGTGGCCCCCGTGGAGCCCACACCACCCAGTAAGGGCTGGAGGTGGAGATCCCACCTCTGCAGCCAGACGGGACAGGGCTCAGGCCTCTAAGCTGCATTTCCCACAGTGTGACCTTGGGCCAGGGGCCTCACCTCTCTGAGCCTCAGTTTCCTCGCCTGTAAAACAGAGCAATATAGAGACACCCACCTCTCTATACACTGGTCAGAGAGAGCTGTGATGCAACAGCAGCGATGCTATAGATGGTCTCGTGCTGTCTCTGGGAACGAGTGCCCTGGGGTAGCGGGCACCCATCACGGAAGGTCCCTTCCAACTGCAGCAGCCACATCCCGTGTTCTGTCCTGCTGTTCTCCAGTCCCCAGGGCACATGGGGGCTCCTAGGCACCTCCTCCCCGCACCCCACCCCATCCTCTCTCCTTCCTCTATCTCTTCACAGAGCAGGCCCCTGGCAGAGCAAATGCCAACCCGCTGGGCCAGGTAGCCCTAAGGCCACCCTGGAGAAGAGGCCTGCTGCCCTCCAAGGAGGAGGGGGGCTGAGGCAACAGGTGGCTGTCACTCCAGAACAAGCCATATCTCAAAACCAGGAACGGGACCCGGCGAGGTAGCTCACGCCTGTAAGCCCAGCACTTGGGAGGCCGAGGCGGGCAGATCACAAGGTCAGGAGATCGAGACCATCCTGGCCAACAAGGTGAAACCCCATCTCTACTAAAAATACAAAAATTAGCTGGGCATGGTGGCACATGCCTGTAAATCCCAGCTACTCGGGAGGCTGAGGCACGAGAATTCCTTGAACTTGGGAGGTGGAGGTTACAGTGAGCCAAGACCATGACACTGAACTCTAGCCTGGAGACAGAGCTAGACTCCGTCTCAAAAAAACAAAAAACAAAAAACAAAAAACAAAAACGGAAACGAAGGGCAGGCGCGATAAAAAACTGTGTTGGCCAGAAGCCAGGACCAAGGAACAGCTTGTGGTGAGCGGAGGTGCCAGAGCGTGGCCGCACACGCTCTCGGAGGCCCAGATTCACTGGGCAGACTCGCTCATGGCCCCTGAGCATTACACACAAGGGAAAACTGAGGCCCAGAGAGGGCAAGGGGCTCTCCCAGAATCACACTGCAAATAAAAGCAGAACTGGGATTAGGCCCCGAGCCTCCTGCCTTCCTCTCTGGGCCAGGCCCCTCCTATGATTGAATTTCCTCAACTCTCAGACACATTTTCCCCACCTTTTCAACTTTCCGAATTTGAGACTTGTCTTGAAATGACTTCGTATATTAAAGCACTTGGAGCCGTGCCTGGCACGTTGTGCTGGCACAGTAAATATTAGTGGCTTTCATTATCCCATGATCAATGTGCACACAGCATCTGGAGGACATTTTTTTCCACCCAAAGTGTTATTTCTGTGTGTCGTCAATGCTGGGACGCATGTTCTCTTTTTTTCACGTTTTAGCATCTCCAACATGGGGGGACATCTTACAATCGTAATTGACAGCTTGCTTGCTTTCTTAGTGATACATTGAACAGAGACAGATGCCTCTTACATCATTGTGTCTTACTACCTAGAAGATGAGGCAGAGGAAAGAATCATTTTTGTAAATTCAAATTCCACAAGGACCTGCCGGATGACCTACTTGGCACCCGAAGAGGACGGGGTGGAGGGGACATGCGCCTGGACATGCAGACCCCCGGGAAAGAGATCTGCTTTGTTGTCAGGATGCGGAAGAGAGTTTCTTGGCCTGTCCCTATTGTCATGCGGCTGCCAGGACTCAGTGCTCCACGCCTGCCCAGTTCTCTTGGGGGCCGCGTCCATTCCGGGCTCCACGCATCAAGACAATTTACTCCAGCCAGACCCAAATGCACAGTTCCCCTCCACCAGCTCTGCACAAACTGCTCCCTTGGCCAGCCAGAAGCATCTGCTTCCCCTCCTCCTTTTCCACTGGCCTAATGTATTCTCTTCTTTCAGGGCTCAGCTAGCTGTCACTTCCTCCAGGAAGCCTTCCTTGACTGTTTCTACTCCACTCCCCCCAGCTTGGAGGGGCTCCTCCTCTGTGCTCCCCCCGTTAGGGTGCTTACAAGACAGATTGTTGTGGCCTTTGACTTCTTTTACTCACTCATTCATTCAACTGCCTCTGTGCCAGGGCCGCTAACTGGGCCGTTCTATGATTTCCTTCCCTGCCTAAAGTATGGCTGGGTTTGATATACAAAGCTCTGTGTCAGCAGCCAAGTCCCTGTCATGCACTCTTCTGGAGCCCGTCGGGAGACACCTTGCCCCGAGCAGCTCAGGGCTGCATCATCAGACTGTGTAGCATTAAGGTCCCCTGGCGGGCGAGGCTGGGGCTGGCGTGGCAGAGAGGTCATCCGTCTCCCCTCTGCAACTCCCACACCCCTGCCCTATCTTGCACCCTCCTCCCACCCAAGCCCCTCCCTGGTGGGAAGGCAGAGGGCACCGAAATGGGGAGGGGCTCGAGGAAGCCGCAGGGGGTCCCCTAGAGGCAGGGGGACAGCGGAGCTTGGAGATGAAACAGGGCACTCAGCAGAGGAGAATTAGTCTTCAGAGATCACCTTAAAGATGAAGTACTGTTCGCTTTTATGGGCTGCCGTTTACGTGCCTTGCGAAGAAATCTGCCCGAGATAACAAGGGGGGCTCTGGGCGCTGAGCAGCCCAACTGGTATGCCTGAGGCTGGAGCTGATTCATCCGTCCTGGTGTGGCTGAGCTGGGTGCACTCCCTGGGGGCTGCGGAATGGGGAGGATGCACACAGAGCCCCCAGCTCCCAAGACAGGGCATCTCGGGCAAGTGAGCAGGAGAGAGACCGGGGCCTGAGCCGGGAGCCCTGGGTTCAAAGCCCACTTCTGCCACTGACCACTCGCATGAGCTTCCAGCTGGAGGGACCCAGCTTGGTTCCTCGAGTGACCCCCAGTGCCCACCCAGGGTTCACGGCTGCCTACGAAGCCTTGGCCAAAAGGAGGATAAAGCTCATGCCAGCAGGGCGGCAGGCAGCCCCCGGTGGTGTCTCAGTTACAGGGTGACCTCTGTCCAGGCTACCTTCTCTGAGACCCCAGCCTTGGGGGTTCTGGGGAAGCGGCGGGCGGGTGGGGGGGGGGCGGCTCAGGAGGAAGGGATTTGATGCCAAGGCGCTCTGCTAAGCTGGCACACCTCCCTTCCTCCTCACTTCCTAAGAGAGCTGGCTGGCAGGAGTCCCCTGGGGAGACTGGGACCACACTCCACAGATGAAAGGAGGAAGAAGAAAGTTTCCCTCCGGGGGAGGCCAGGCCAGGTTAGACCCAGGTGAGTGCCCCTCCTGCCGCCCACCCCCATCTCCTAAGAGCACCCAGCCCAACGCAGGCAGCTGTTCTGCATGACAAAAACACATCCTGGGGCTTTGCACTGGGAAATGGAAAGCTGAAGGTGGCGGGGTCCTGTGGGCTCTGGATCCAGCAGAGGCTTGCACAGAGCCTGGGCAGGGGGCTTATGGGCTCTGTGGGTTGAGGGGACTGGGCCCTGCCTCAGGCCAGAGCCTCAGGGGAATTCCTCCTGTCTCCCCAGGAGCCCACTCTGCTCCCGGCTGGCACATGGCTGGGCACATGGCTCCCAGTAAGGGCTGAACTCTGAGCCCTGGCCCTGGCAGAGGGAGGGTCCCAGAGACTCCCCTGGGGGTGAAGGGTTGGTGGCTCTGCTCACCATTCTGGGGTCCCAAAGACTTAGGAAGGGGGTCTGCAGGCTTGTTCTGTGAGATCTGAGCGGGAACCGCCATACCGCTGGGGACCCTTCAGCAGAACCCTGCCGAGGGCCATCTGGCGTCTCAGGCCACAGGGAGGGGCGCAGGAGGGGCTGAAGGTGTCCAAGGGGACAAGAGCGCCCCACAGAGCTCCCAGCCTCTGCCCCTCCGGGAGGTTCCAAGCCCCCCAGCTGTCTCACTTCCTGGGAGCATTTGCTCTGAACCACGGAGGGGGCTTCTCCAGATGTTTCCTATAAGGGTCTTGCCCACCCTCCCCGCGACATACAGCTCTGGCCTCCCAGAGGGCCCACTGGGGCCTCAAGCCCACTGAGGCCCAAACCAGCGTCTCTCCACCCCAAACCTGAGCCCTCCTATTTTTCACTCGGGGATGGCACCAACCCTACCTGTTGCCCCCACAAAGCTGGCACCTCCTCAGGTCTCCCTCCCTCACCCAACATCTGGATAGTCACCTGCTCCTGTCCATTCTACCTCCTCAGCCACACCACTCCCCAGCTAAACAGTGAGCTCAGAAGGAGGGGCTTGGGAAACCCCAAGCCTAGCACAGTGACCTCAACCCAAACCCCAGGGAACAAGAAGAAAGAGGCATGGATCTTCCAGAACCCATGATGGTTTGCAATCGCCCCGACCTGTGAGTTTGTTCCCCCCGTGAGACTCTAAGCTCCCTGAGGCACAGACTGTATCCACCAGACTATACCTCCTAGCATTAGGTAGGGCCTCCCTAAATAGTCACTGAGTAAATTTAATGCAGCAGGGATTTAGGTTAGACATCAGGAAGAACTTCCCAAAGAGATTTTCTTTCTTCCTTTCTGAAATGTTCTTAGAAATTTTGAAAGCGTCAAGAGATCTTGCCTGGGATGGGTTGGAAGTTGACCTCCCTGTAGGGTGGCTTGGAGACAGCTCAGAAACAAGCCCCTCTGACCAGAGGAAACGGTTGCAGAGTGACTTCCTGCCCCAAGCTCCAAGACCAGAAGAATCATGTCTATTTCTAGATCCTTTCATCTGACAAACTCCAAACTCCTGGCAAATACCGTTTCACCCTGCCCCAAGGGCGTGAGAGGCTCCTCCTTCTGTAGGGAGAGGGAGGACGCATTAACAAAGTCCAAATCGGCAACTTGTCCAAGGTCGCCCGACAAAGAGTAGCTGAGGCTGGATAGGGCTGGGACAGATGGGGCCCAAGGCGTTTCCCAGAAATGGCTGCACTTGGACAAAGGTCCTTCAGGACCTCCGGACCTGGGCTATACCCACTCACAGCGGGTGATTTCGGTACCCTGAGAACCACACAGCCTGGACACTGCAGTCCCAACTGGGGCTGAGTGGGCTGAACCAAGAAAGGGCGGCCAGCCACCCCTTAGGCACTTGTCTGCTGTCCAAGAAGACCCAGGTTTGAGTCCCAGCTCCAGCTCTTAGTCTCAGTTTCCTCATCTGTCAAATGGGTTCATCACTCCTGCCACCAAGCTCCTAGGGTGGCTGTGACTAAGAAATGAATCTTAGTCGTGGCCTGTGACCTACTGGTGCTTGGAGTGCGGCGTCAGCGTTATGCTCCCAGAGGAAAATCCCCGTTAAAGAACCTCGGCCAGGCCCCGTTTGTAGGAACCAGATGTTCAGATGGCGTTTCCTGGGGGGCAGAGAGGAGACCGGGACACAGCCAGCCTGTGGAAGGGACAGGCTGCTGCGAGAGGCATCCTCCTCATGAGTACACAGTGCTTTGCAGTTTGCAAAACACACCAGTATGTCACGTGGCCCCCATAACAGCCCTTGTGAAATGAGGAGGAAGCGAAGATTGCTGTTCCCACTTTACAGATGGTGAAGCCCAGGCCCAGAGAGGAGGAGTAACTTACCCAGGGCCACACAGCATGTCAGTGGGTGAGACAAACCTGGCCACAAGGGAGGAGAGAAGGCTGGCCCAGGAGAGGGCAGGCCCAAGGGAACCAGGGCAAGCAGTGTTCTCTCTTTCTTCTGACAGTGGCCACAGGAAAGGCCTTGCCTCTTGTCTGAAGCTTCAAACAAGCCCAGAGCTGGCACAGGGAACAGCCTGTCTACATGCTGGGTCACCAAACGGGCGGGGAGGGGAAGCGGGTGCTTGCTATTGGCCCAGGCTCTTGGAGCAACAGCCCTCGAGCTTCCTCCAATGCCAAGGGGCAGACAGCTGGGCTGTGTGGGGGCTGAAAGCTGTGCCCCCAGGGAGCAGCAGAGGAAGGCGGGGCCCGGCCTGGAGGCCTTGAAGCCACATTTCAAACACATTCCCCAGAAGGCACCTCCCCTTGAGACAGACCAGTGCCTGCTGGCCGTCTCCTGAGGCTCTTCCTGGCCGAAGCGTCATGCAGTGCCATTCAGCAAACGCTCTCAATGCCTGACCTGAGCTGCCTGGAAAGAATGGAGCTTGGGCCCAGGGAGAGATGCAGAGATGGGCTCCAGAGGAGGGTGTGTCCAAAGGGATCTCCTGATGCAGGAGGGGCCCAGGACAAGGCAGCTGAGTGGCACAGGCTAAACACTACTAGAACTTAGAGACATAGCCACAGGGCATCAGGAAGTCTTCCTGGAGGAGGTGGCAGCATTTGAGCTTGATTTTGAGTATATGTAGGGTGTCCCTGAGTGAAGGGGTGTGTGTGTGTGTGTGTGTGTTTGTGTAAGGCTGGGGAAGCAAACAAGATGACACAGAAAAGATCTGGAAATGGAGCGGCGTGGTGTGGGGCCCAGGGTTGGCAAATAACAAACAGTCACTGCCTGTAAGGGACCAATGGGAAGGCACAGTATGCCAGGTTAGGGATGGCCTTGGAGGACAGGTCTAGAAGTTAAGACAGTTCTTGCTAAGGGGGAGAAGTCAGATCTCAGCAGGAGGGGACTTGTTATTTTGGGGTGGCTTAGGTGCAGACCTGACCTAAAAGAGGGGCGCGACCACCCCGGAGAAGCAGTGGGATAGGTGTGTGGTTAGACCAGAGTTTGAATCCCCACTCTCTTGCCAACGTGCTGTGTGACTTGGGCATGTTCCGAACCTCTCTGATCCCTGGTCTGTGATGTGGGAACGCACTGGCCCCCAGCCTGTTTGGAGAAGTGAGGTAGTGCCGATGAATGGGAAGGGGCTTTGCAAACCGCAGAGGGCTGGGCCCTTGTGCCACGGCAGTGTCACACCAGGAAGAATGAGCAGGTTGCAGCTCCTGAGAGGAAGGGACCACCAAGGGCTGCCCGTGCCGCCCCCTCCTGCAGCTGCAAGCACGAACTGTTCCTTCCCCAATGACATCTGTCTGGAAGAAATTTAAAATTTAAAATGGGCAGCCCTATTCTCTCCTCTCCTTGGTGAGCGAGCGGCCTCCTCGTTTTCGCCTGCCTGCCCCAGTCCCTTGGCAGCCCAGCCTGGGGCAGCCCTGGGGCTCCCCTCCGCCTTGGCTTCGGGACTCCAGCCCCCTTGCTGGCCAGCCCAGGTGTTCTGCCCTCACCCGCTTCCACCGCACAGCCCTGGGCACCCTCCAAGCCCCACCTCCACTGCCCCTGAAGAGGCAGCAGGAAGGGAGGAATGAGTCAGCCCTGGAGCACACAGACAAGGGTTCAAATCCCGACAGAGCTGCGTGGCCTCAGGCAGGAGCCAACCATCTCTGAGCCCTGCTTTCCTTGTCTTAAAGTCAGAAAATCACAATACCCAGCGTTCCTGCAGGAGATGAATCTTTATTGATCCCCTACTGTATGCAGGGCCCTGGCTAAAGGGAAGGATGCAGAGGAGATTCAGGGGGTCAGGTTCAGGACCAGGTGCCTGGCACAGGGTAGCGCCCAGAGTGGAGATTCTGTGGGTAGTTAAGATGCCCATTGTAGAGGTGAGGAAACGGAGACTCAGCAACGGGGCTGATTTGTCTGTGGACACACAGCGAACTGTAAGTCCCCGCCTCCCTCTGCACCCGCGTGCACCAGGGGGCTGCTGGGGGTGCGGGGACGCGGGAGACCTGGCCCGCAGCGCGCGTGGCTCCTGCAGGGGTGCCGCCCCCACCGAACCTCGAGTTCAAGCCTCGGCTCGGGGAGGAGGAGAGGAGGGTCCCCATCCCGGCCCGGGCCTCCGGAGCCTCGAAGGGGTGCGCCCCAAACTCCAGCCCCCGCAATGGGTGCTCGCCCCGCCGGCCCGAGCGGCCACCGCCTGGCCAGCCGCCCAGGCCCCGTGTCCCAGCGCCCGAGCGTACCTGCGGCTTGTCGCGCGGCCGGTCCTCAAGTTGGGCAGCGCCGCCCATGGTCTTCCACCGGTCGTTGACCATCTTCCGGCAGGACTGGCGGGGGCGCCGGGCGAGGCGCGCCGCTGCGGAGCGCAAAGGAGACGGGGTGGGCGCGGGCGCGGGCGCGGGGCGCGCTCTGTCCGCCGGGTCCCCGCCTCTGTGCCCCGCGCCGGGGCGGCCCGGGAGCGGGCGGGCGTGTGAGGATGAGCGCGCCGCTGTGTGCGGGCGGGAGCAGGAGCGGGAGCGCGAAAGCCGCCAGCCCAACGCCCGCCGCTCGCGCTGCGCGCCGTCCCCGCTCCCGGCTCCGGCGCCTCCCCGGCGCGCTCCTCTCTCTCCTCCCTCGTCCCTCCTCCCTCCTTCTCAATCTCCGCATCTTTTCTGGTCTCGGACTCTCTTTGCTTTTTATTGCTCCCCTCGGCCTCCCCCGACACACTCACACACACGCGCGCGCTCACACCCGCGGACTTGGATACTAAACTCCGCCTCCGAAAAGACCTAGGGAAAGGAGGCCGAACTGGCCCCCAGATAACGCGGCCGGCCGGAGGGCAGCAAACAGCCGCGGGCGGCCCGGCTCCTGCTGGCTCCCGGAGGGGCCTGAGAGCCCCCCGGCGGCGCCTCTGCACAAACTTCCTCCCGGACCGGACTCACACAAGTCACCATGCGCGGGGCGGGCCCCGAGGGCGCCCCCGCCGGCCGGTTCGGCGTCTCCGGGGAGTGGCGCGGCGCTCCTTCCGGCTCCCTCCCGGCTCAGGACGCAGGGCTCGCCCCAAGACCCAGGCTGCGCCGGGGGCAGTTTCGGTGGGGTGCGCCCCCTGCGGGCCCCCGAGGTCTGGGTCCAGGTCCCGGGGCAAGTGCGCCCAGCTGTGGGGTCTCCAGCCCCCGGGGACCTCCCTGCGCCGGACCCCGACGCGTGAGCCTGGCCGGTGGGCGTCCCAGTCCGCGTCCGCAGACCCGTGCCCTCGCGCCCGCGGTCGGAAAGCCCACACGACGCCCCCTTGCCCGGGCGGCCCGTGGGCGAAATGGGGGTCCCCACCACTGCCACAGCCGCCGGCGCTGTGGTCGCGAGTACCAGCCGCTCCGCGCTCGGCCGCGCTCCCGGCCGATCGCCCGCGCTCCCCGGCGCGCCCCGCGTGGTCCCAGCCCCCGCCTTCTCCTCCGCCGGGAGGGGATTTGTGCCAGGAGGGGGCTTCTTAGTTGCCCCTTCCCACCAGCAGCACTTTTAAAAGCATTTAATCCGCCCGGAGCGGCCTTCGGAGGTAATTGACAAAGTCCTTAATCTGCGCGGCGAACGAGCTGCTATTGTGGCTTCTGACCGGGAGGCGCCCACACTGCCCGACGCCGCGCTCCCCTCCCGCCGCCCCGCCGAGCCCGCCGGCCGCCCCTCCTCCGCCCCTTTCTGCGTCCCCATCTTTTTCTGCTCCCCCAGCTCCAGACAGACCCCCGTTCCCCGCCCCCGCTTCTCCCCAAAGCTGTTTTCCGGCTCCCGGGGCGCCTTGGCCGCCGCGCTGTTCCCTGGCACCGTCTCCGTCTCTCCCCCACTGGCTGCCAGTCTGTCGCCCCATCTTCGTCCCTCTCCCGATCCCTCTACGCGTCCGGCACTGGCGGGGCAGACTGGTTGGGGGTGGGGGCCGCGTCCAGCCTGGGCTGGGGCACTCCCTGGACCCCGGAGCGGGGGACCCTGTGGCCCGGTGCCATCCGAGGAGACTGCCACCCGCCAGGCGCTGGGTTCACAAACCACCGGCTGTTTGTCCCCAGCCGCCTTTTCCTTCCAGGACAACCGCTGGCCTCACCTACGGCCCGATCCCGGCTTCCCGGACTGAGGCTGCCCGGGAGTTGGAGAGGATCCCACAGCAATGGCTGGGAGTCAGGAGACCCAGGTTCCAATTCTGGCCTCTGGCCCTTTCTGGCCCCTCGGCCTTTCCTATGAATTAAGAGGGTCAGCAGGTGATCTAGAGGGCCCTCAGACTTGGGAAGAAGGATGTGGTGGAGGGCACAGGGCCCTGGCTGTGTGGCTGAGGGCAAGCAACATACCTCTCCGAGCCTCAGTTTCCCCATGTAAGCCAAAGGGTTGACTGCACACGCTTCAGAAGGGCTCTGCCACAGTGCATCACAGCACCTGAGCAGGGCAAGGCTCAGATGTTCCTGCTGTGACCTTGGGCAGATTCCACGTCATCCCCAAGCCTCAGTTTCCTCGTAAACAAGGACTTGCCTATTGGTGGGGAGTGGCGAGGTTTGCAGGCCCTTGTGCAGTTACAGGCACAAAGCGGGCAGGTGGCGGAAATGCAAGGCTCTGACTCCACAGTTTGGCGAGAGGATGTAAACTCCAGACGCATTTGTGCACAGATGAAAGATCACCCTGGGGGGTGGAGCGGGGGTGGGGGGCTGAACTGAGAACCCACGGGAGGGGTGCTAAGGACCAACGGAGGAGGTCTTGGAGATGTGCTCAGAGTAGTCAGGGAGGCATCCTGGGATGGAGGGGTGTGAGCCCGCCCCCAAGGCCCATGAAGGCAGCATCCAGAAGTCTGGGTGCTGAAGGAAAGGCATTTCCAATGGCGGGGCCGCAGAAGGGAAGGCGGAGCTAGGGGAGTGACCCGGGCGTACCTGGGCAGGTGCAAACCGGAGGACCGGAGGACGCTCTGGAGGATCGCCTCCCGGGCCTGCAGAAGCGCGGTTGGACAGGTGAGCGGGGGCCACCTAGCGGCTCCTGCTGGGAGTGTTGGAGGAGGTTGGAGGTTGAATCATCTCACCTGCTCAGCCACAGGTTCAGCCTGCGGGAGTGCCTTACGTGTGTGTCTTCGGGAGCGGGCCTCACTCTGTCACCCCCTCTGTGCTGACGCCTCTGCTCAACACCCCAGGAGAAGGGTCAGCCGTGATGCAGGACTGGCATGAGCCTGCAGGCGTCTGCTCAGCGCTTTACACACTGCACTCAGCAGACACACTTAGGACATCGTTCTGGAAGAAGGGAGGGCCGCCCCCATTCACTGGAGCCTCCGAATTGGTGGAGAGGAATAAAATGGAAGTGGATCCCAGAAGCCAGTGCTGACCCACAGCCAAGATCTGTGCGAGAGAAAGGGCAGCCGACCCCACAGAGCAGACAGGCCCTCCACCCTCGGATTTCCCTTTGACAAGGCTGATGACCACAGAGCACTGGGGGCGAGCTGGGCTGTGCTCAGCAGGTGGGACAGGACAGAATCAGGGCTTTCCAGCCAGCCCAAGACTGAGCATTCCTTGTCAGGGACGAGCCAGCACCTCAGGGTGCCAGAACACAGGACCGGGAGGCTGCATGGTATTAGACTCGAGGTTGCCTGGTAACTTGTTCACTCTCTGCGCATCCCCTCACCTTCCTCTTTCTGGCTCACCAATTCTGCCTGTTCCTACTTTGCCTTTCCAAGGCCACCTGGATATGATGGCCCCACCAATGGGCAACTCCTATCTAGGACTGAACCAGGCATATCAATCATAAGTGGCAGATGGCCAAAGACAGCTGTCCTTGGTCAGGTACCAACCCATCAGACCTTGGTCAGGTCCAATGTGGGGGCATGGCTGCTGGGGCCCTAATGCAGGACCCCTCCCTTAGCAGGGAGTGGGTGCAGGGCAGGCAGTACGGCGACATGGGAGGGGTGGAAAAATAGTCCATGGGGAGACAAGGAAGAGCAGCAAGGGACATAGGGGGACAACATTCAGGGTGCCAGCCGTGACCAACAGCCACCTGTTGGAAGCACCCTCACGCTCAGCGCTGTGCTGGGCACCTCATATCCTCCCAGCCCCCTAATAAGTGAATACTATTGTCCCCACTTTGTGGATGAGGAAACTGATTCAGAAAGGTAAATTACATGACCTGGGTAATTGTGTAATTAATAAGATGATACGATCAATATGGGGCCAGGCACAGTGGCTCACACCTGTAACTCCAGCACTTTGGGAGACCGAGGCAGGTAGATCATCTGAGATCAGGAGTTCGAGACCAGCTTGGCCAACATGGTGATACCCCATCCCTACTAAAAATACAAAATTAGCAGGTGTGGTGGTGCACTCCTGTAATCCCAGCTACTCCGGAGGCTGAGGCAGGAGAATCACTTAGAACCTGGGAGGCAGATGTTGCAGTGAGCCGAGATCGTGCCACTGCACTCCAGCCTTGGCGACAGAGTGAGACTGTCTCAAAAAAAAAAAATCAATATGGAATTACCATTTACCAAACATTTCCATGTGCTGGATACAGCAATACCATTAACAATACCATCTTATTTCAAGTAATCCTCACCCAAGACCTGTAAGTGTTATTAATAGCCTCATTTTCTAGATGAGGCAACAGAAGCTCAGAGAGGTTAAGTAACTCAATCAAGACCACACAGCCATTGGTGGGGCAGAATTTTTTTTTTTTTTTAACACGGAGTCTCGATCTGTCGCCAGGCTGGAGTGCAGTGACGCAATCTCGGCTCACTGGCTCTCTGCAACCTCTCGGGTTCAAGCGATTCTCCTGCCTCAGCCGCCCAAGTAGCTAGGACTACAGGCACACGCCACTACGCCCAGCTAATTTTTGTATTTTTAGTAGAGACAGGGTTTCACCATGTTGGCCAGGATGGTCTCGATCTCTTGACCTCATGAATTGCCCACCTCAGCCTCCCAAAGTGCTGGGATTATAGGCATGAGCCACTGCGCCTGGCCGGTGGGGCAGAATTTGAACCCTAGTGTGTGCACTTCCAGAGACTATCTCTCTTTCTTCAATACCTCGGTGCCTCTTCGTCTGCCAGAGCTGGGCCTGAGCCACCCGGTGAGCGTGCTGAGCCAGCATGCAGCAGGGCTTAGCGGACGTGGGCAGAATAGCCAATGTGCCAGTCTCTCGGGGCCTGGGGGACTGGCTGGCCAGAAGGTCGGGACCTCTGGTCCCCATCCACTCAGCCTCTGCCCCGCACTGCCAAGGGTACTCAGCTCTCGCCATAAAGCTGTTTCAACTTGACTCTGACAGTCACATTTATCATTAAAAATAAATGTATCTTGGCTTCTGTGGCGTGGAAAACTACTGTGCAGTGATTCAATGGGCTTGTCACCCCTCACGGTTAGGCACGGGGAGCTGAATGACTGGATGGTCTCCAACGCCAGCTCCTCATTTTCTGCGGCTGGAGCCAGAAATGTACAGTGGGCTGACATTTAATTTAGAATCCAACATACCTTGACATAAACCCATAATACAAAGGCGGGGGTGGGGGTGGGGGCTGCCAAGCCTGGTCGGGGTCGGGGGGGAGTCCAAGTGACAGGGCGAATTTCTTTCTTTCTTTCTTTTTATTTTGCTTTGTCAACATTGAGTGGTGATGACAGACGAGAGGCCGTGATCAAAGGCGAGAATTAGCACGGAGAGAATGTGTGTGAGTGTGTGTGTGTGTGTGTGTGCAGCCTGTGTGTCAATTCATGGGTGCATGGGTGGTGCGTCTGTGCCCTGAGCCCACTGGGATGCTGTGTGTGGCATCTTGCGATGTGTCCGAGGCTGGGCTGTCAAGACTGAGGCTAGAACCCCGGAGCAGGACAACGTGGTCACTCCGGGTGAGGACAGCACCTGCCAGTTCTGTCTTTGTGTCCCTAGCACTTACCGAAGGTCTTCTAACACAGTCAGTGCTCAATAAATGCAGAGCAGGAAGGGGAAACGTGATTTTAAAAGCTGGATGCAGAGTTCCTCTTAGGGAGAAAACTGGCTTTTTTTTTTTTTCTTTTTTCAGCAGAACATCCTGATGGACTATTTAGGTGTGAAAAGCAGAGGCTCAGGGGCTGACCTGGGAGGAGAAGCTGCAGGAAACCCAGCAAGAAATGCCCAGGTGGAGGGGTGGAGGGGTGGAGGGGTGGAAGGGTAGAGGGCTGGAGGGGTGGAGGGCTGGAGGGGTGGAAGAGTGGAGGGGTGGAGGGGTGGAGGGGTGGAAGGGTGGAAGGGTGGAGGGGTGGAAGGGTGGAGGGGTGGAAGGGTGGAGGGGTGGAAGGGTGGAGGGGTGGAGGGGTGGAGGGGTGGAGGGGTGGAAGGGTGGAGGGGTGGAAGGGTGGAGGGGTGGAGGGGAGAGAGCATGAGGTGGGGGGCAGAGTCCCCAGGCAGTTGGGATTCCGGGGAGGGACCACAGTGCTGGGAACCACAGCACTGACGCCATACACACCAGGGGATGTTTGCTCTTGCATGGAAAGTGATTTTCAGTGTCATGCTGCAGAATCCCATACGTTATCCTTCAGTCCTTGGTATAAAGTCCTCCCTGCTCAGTAGTCTTGTGTTGGTGATGGTTTGGGGAAATGAAAAGAGTGGGCCCTGCCCCACACCAAAGTCCAGGAAGGGAAGAAGGAGCTGTCCAGCACAGGTGGGGAGGGGAGAAGAGGGGTCCTATTGGGACCCAGAATTCAGACTGAGCAGGAAATCCAACCAGGGGTTGAGGAGGGATTACCTGAGCTTGTATCACTTCAACCTGCATTTTAGAGACACATTCTAATCTCACAGATGCAGAATTTGGGGATCCCTGGACAGCTAACACTTGGGGTGCAAATGTTTCTTGTTGAATGAGAGGAACTGGGTGTAGTAAATGAAATTCTTGCATGGAAGTCTGAATACAACTGGTGGCCGCATCCCGACCAACAGACAAGAGGACAAACTTTCAAAAATGCTGTGTCTTCTTCTCATCCTTCTTTTAGAGTCTGTCTACCAGAATTCCACCATCTGAAGTCCCCGGGGTGCAAATCCTGTTTGCTGTTAATTCTTCCAGCTCTCACGTATGGTGGCTTGTTGTGTCACGTGTTTTGCAATTTTGCATTGCGCGTTCCATCTTTGTCAGAGCTTTATCCGTGGGAATCGGTGTGTCTAGGCTGGGAGTCCGTCTCTCCCTGGGGGGTGAGCTTATACTTCCACGAGGCACCAGAAGACACTCCAAACCCAAGACTGCTTGAAGTTTAGTTCCCATCTTGCATGTAGAATAAATTCAGATCCAAAATATTCATGAGAACAGGCCTGTGGTTATTAATTTATGGGGGAAGTTTTTTCCTTGTCATCTTCCTAGTTTCCTTGTCATCTTCCTTTTTCTCCTGCAGAGAGAATTTTCCTACTCTGTCAGTTCACTGAGGGTGTGGCCCTGGCTTTATGTTGGGTCTGACTCCCTGCCTCCTTGGGGCCTAAGGCCTGTGTCCTGGGCCATGACACGCAAGGACATGGTGCCCATAACTGGTGATGCCCTGGGCCTCCATGGCTTCAGCCCCAGCTGCTCTGGGTTTCACGCTGCTCTTTGTTTCCTATTTGGCTGTACCTTGAAAAGGATCCAAGTTATTGTATCCAAGTTTTTGTTTGGGTGTCTGGTCTGCCATATTGTTGGAAGCAAAAGTCTCTTCTTCTCGAATGCCTACTTTTATTTTCTTTCTTAAAGTTTAAAGTCAAATTTACATATATTAAAATGGACACATCTTAAGGGTAACACTGGGGAGTTTTGACTACCATGCCATTCAAGACACAAAATGTGGCCAGGCGTGGTGACTAACACCTGGAATCCCAGCACTTTGGGAAGCCCAGACGAGAGGATTGCTTGAGCTCAGGAGTTTGAGACCAGCCTGGGCAACATGGTGAGAATCCGTCTGTACAAGAAACAGAAAAAATTAGCTGGGAGTGGTGGCGTGTGCCTGTGGTTCCAGCTACTGGGAAGACTGGTCCCTTGAGTCCAGGAGCTCGAGGCTGCAGCGAGCCATGATCATGCCACTGCCCTGCCCTCCAGCCTGGATGACAGAGAAAGAGCCTGCCTAAAAAAAAAAAAAAAAAAAAATGGCCGGATGCGGTGGCTCACGCCTGTAATCCCAGCACTTTGGGAGGCCGAGGCGAGTGGATCACGAGGTCAAGAGTTCAAGACCAGCTTGACCAATATGGTGAAACCCCGTCTCTACTTCTACTAAAAATTAGCCAGGCGCTGTGGCAGGTGCCTGTAATCCCAGCTACTCAGGAGGCTGAGGCATGGAGAATTAATTGCTTGAACCTGGGCGGCAGAGGTTGCAGTGAGCCGAGATCACGCCATTGCACTCCAGCCTGGATGACAGAGTGAGACTCTGTCTCAAAAAAAAAAGAGAATATTTCTGTCACCCTAGAAAGTTCCCATGCCCCTTTCCAGTAGCTTCCCCTGCAATCACTGTTCTGATTTCTATCTGCTTATTTTTGCCTTTTCTTACTTTATGTAAATGGAGCCCTGTGGGGCATATTCTTTTGGGTCTGGCTTCCTTCGCTCCTTCGCTCCCCAGGTGAGCAGTGGGTGCACCCATGTTGTGTGCATGTTGGCAGCTCACTCCTTTTTATTGCCCGTGTATTTCATCATATGGTTCTGCCACAATCTGCTTAACCATTTTCCTGTTGGTGGGCATTTGGCCTGCTTCCAGTTGGAGCTGTTGAGAACAGTGTTGCTGTGGACATTTGTACACATGTCCCTGCTGCACATACGTACACACTCTTTGGGTACATACCTAGGAATGGAATTGCTGAGTCATAGGGTGGGACTGTGTTTAACATTATCAGAAACTACAAAATTGCTTTACGATGTGGCTGTCCTATTTGACACCCCCGCTGGCAGCACTTGGGGTTCCAGGTGCCCGGTTTATCTTCCAGCATCCCTTTGAGTGTCACAGTGAGAGATGGTGGCTGTGGTGTGTTTGCCGGGTCCCCTTGTCACTCATTCGCTCAGTTCATTCATTCATTCATTCAGTCAGTCAGTCAGTCATTCCACAAACATCCACCCAGCACCTCCCCTGCAGCCCCACTCACCCTGTCTTGTCCTAATTCAGTCTGGGCTCTTGGGATGGGGGGCCGCCTCTCCCTGGGTGCAGCTCCTCCCTGGTAGGTATCCCCGCTTGGCACCACTCCTGCCAGAGGGTGCGTCTTAAAGCCGTGGTGGGGAGGGAAGGGCAGCTCAGCTGTCATCTGTGCCTCCGAGGATGTTGGCGTCTGAGTCAAACCTCAGAAACCTGCCAGTGGTATGCAAGGGCTGCCAATCACAGTTCTGTTTCCCAGTCACCCCTCCCACCTGCACAGCTGCAAGTACCCAGCACCCTCTAACATCAGCGACCAAACAGCCATGCCCTTATAAAAAAAATGGCCAAATTGCTTTCCGACATGGTCGTACTGCTTGACGCTCCTACTGGCAGAATACATTCAAACCCCAAAATCTTCATGGGAACTCGCCACTGGTTATTAATTTGCAGGAGAAATCTTCCCCTGTCATCTTCCTTTCCCCCAGGTAGAATTTCTCCCCATCTGCCCATTCCCTGAAGGCATGGCCCTGGCTTTATGTTGGCTTCCTAGAGCCCAAGGCTTTGGCTTTGGGGTTGGGGTTCTGGGTGCCTCACATCTCATACTCTGGGTCCCGCTTCGACGCCCCTGCCTGGAGAAGGAGGTGAAGCTGCATAGAGAGAACCTCGGTTAGAGCCCCACCTGTATTGCTCCTTGGTGGGAAGACCCCCGCCTGAGCCTCGGGGGGATTCACAGGGCCTGGTGTTCCTGAGCGGTGCCCCCAACGGAACCCAGGTTTCCTTGTAGACCTACCAGAAAGCTCCCCCGACCACCCATGTGCCCAGGGAGACTCTCATTCTCTCGCCTCTTCCCCCACCTCCCACATCCCATCCACCAGCATGTTCTTTCAACAAATATTTATTGAGCGCTACCATGTGTAGTTTAATTCTAATGAACAAATAAGACACATTCAATGGTGATAAGAAAACAAACAGGGTGCTGTCATACACAATGGCTGGGGAAGAGGCTGTGAGGAGGTGGCATTTGAAGGACCACATGGGAGGTGCTGGAGGTGCTGAGGGAGTGGCAGGTGCAAAAGCCCTGCTCAGGAACAAGGCTGGTGTGTGTTAAGATGTGAAAAGAGGCCTTGTGTTTGGAGCAGTGAAAGGTGGGAGGAGCAATGAGACTGGAGAGAGAATGAGCGATGGAAGGTGCACACCGGTGATGAGTTTGGATATCACATGGTTACAATAGAAAACCACCGGAAGGGCTGGTCGCGGTGTAATCCCAGCACTGTGGGAAGCCGACGGGGGTGGATCACCTGAGGTCAGGAATTTGAGATCAGCCTGATCAGAATGGTGAAACCCCGTCTCTACTAAAAATACAAAAATTAGCCAGGCGTAGTAGCAGGCACCTGTAATCCCAGCTACTTGGGAGGCTGAGACAGGAGAATTGCTTGAACCAGGGAGGTGGAGGTTGCAGTGAGCTGAGATGGCACCATTGCACTCCAGCCTGGGCAATGGAGCGAGACTCCATCTAAAAAAAAAAAGAAAAAAACCACTGGAAGATTGCAGGTGGGGAGAAAGGGGCATGCCATGAGCTGGTGGACATTTTTGCAAGCTCATTCTAGCTGCTGTGTCGAGGATGGGCTCTGAGGGGCTCTGGGGTGGTGGGGACGAGTGAGGGAGTCAGGCCAGCTGTCCTGGCAGGAGATGAAGGCAGTTCAGACTGGGGCATTGGCAGTGGATTCAGTGAGACGTGGACAGACGTGGGACAAGTTTTGGAGATGGCGCCGGGAGGCCTGACTGATGGAGTAGATGAGGAGTAAGGTAGCAGGACGGAGCCGAGAGCCGGGGCCCACGACGCAAGTGGGTGGTGGTGCCACTCACTGAGATAGGGAGACCTGGAGGAGAAACGGGCTGTGATCAGGAGTTTTGTTCTGGCTGTGTTAAGTTTGAGCTGCCTATTAGACCTCCAGGAAGGGCATGGAGTGGGCGTCAAATATACAAGTCCAGAGTCCAGAGAGATCCAGGCTGGAGTCATCAACTCTGAGTCATCAACACCTGCAATTGCTTGAGGTGGGTGATGGCTCTGGAGAGACATTGACTCTTGAAGGGGCTGCAGGTGGGCGATGGGCTGCAGGTGGGTGATGGGCTGCAGGTGGGTGATGGGCTGCAGGTAGGCGATGGGTTCTAGGGAGTCATTGACTCTAGAAGGGGCTGCAGGTGGGCAATGAGCTGCAGGTGGGCGATGGGCTACAGGTGGGTGATGGGCTCTGGGGAGTCATTGACTCTAGAAGAGACTGCAGGTGTGCTATGGGTTCTAGGGAGTCATTGACTCTAGAAGGGGCTGCAGGTGAGTGATGGCTCTCTGGGTGATGGAAACCTTGCTCCTAAGTCCTCCCTCACTGTTAGAGAATTACACGGCCACACCCTTTGCCTGGTGCCTCCACTGTGTCTCCTACCCCATCGACCTTGGACTTGGCTGTGTGACTTACCTTGGCCTTAAGAGGCACACTCTGTAGTTCCCTCATGGCCATGAGAACATTTCCTGGGAAGCCACTGGTCCCAGAATGCTGATAGACGTTTGACACAGGCCTGAACCTGGCAGAGCTATAAGCCAGGAAAATAAATGCTGTTTCTGTAAGCCACTGAATATTGGGAGTGGTTGTTACACAGCATAGCACAGACAAAGCTGACTGATACACAAGCAAAGGCAAGGTCCTGTCTTCCCTCCCAGGGCAGTGACAGGAGGAAATAAGATTGTGCACCCCAGGGCTTGGCCAGCACACAGCAGGTGTTGAGCAAACATTCGTTTTACTACCATGCAGTTCACTGTGGACCTAAAGCAGAGACACTCCCTAAGTGTTTTCCTCATGGTAGCCCCTGCCACATGCCATCTGTATTTCTTTTAAATTTCACATTTGTATTCCAGTTATAAAAATCACCTATTATCACTCTGCCCAGAGATAAGCCTGGTTACAATTTTGGGGTGCTTCCTTCTAGTCTGTTTTCTTTTCTTCTTCTTCTTTCTTTTCTTTCTTTTTTTTTTTCTTTTTGAGACAGGGTCTTGCTCTGTTGCCCAGGCTGTAGTGCAGTGCATGGCTCACTGCAGCCTCTACCTCCTGGGCTCAAGTGATCCTCTGATCCTCCTGCCTCAGCCTCCTAAGTAGCAAGGACTACAGGTGCACACCAGCTAATTTATTTCATTTTTTGTAGAGACAGGGTTTTGCTATGTTGCCAGGCTGGTCTGGGCAACTCCTGGGCTCAAGATATCCTTGCACCTCGGCCTCCCAAAGTGCTGGGATTATAGGTGTGAGCCACTTCACCCAGCTTCTGTTTTCTTAGTAATTGCCAGAGACTCATAAATATTGGGCCAGCAGCAGCAACTTCTTGGGAATCTATTTGTCTATACTGATGTGCAACATGGACAGGGAGAAGGATCTTCATGATGTTTCTGTGGCAGGCACTTAGGGTTGGGATGGGAAAACAACAGCAGCGTTTATTCAACATTCACCATGTACCAGTGCAGCTCGCAGCATTGGATCTCCATCCACGTGGCCATTCAGTGCTCAACCTTCCAGAAGGTGCCAAGACCTGCAATTGCACCTTCTCCCCACAAGGGTAGCCCTCAGCCAATGGCAGATGGAGGTTGGAAGAGTCAGAGGATAAATACCCCAGCTCCCTCGCCCTTTGGGAGGGCATGTTCTACATGTTTCCCAGAGTTCCCTTGGGGTCTCCAGCCCCAGTGCCCAGTGCTGCAACTAACACACAGCACACACAGTTACAGATGCCTTCCTCTCCCTGTCTCCCCCTCCACTCCCCTTCCAGCGCTTCCTGGGTCACCTCCAAAGAAGCCACTGCTATTTACATCTCTGCTTTGGCAAAAGCCACCATAAGGCAACTGGGTGCTGTGTGTGTGGGCTTGATGTGTCCCTCCCATTTTCTCTCACAACCGTTCAGCAAATCCTCCTTTAACCTCTGTTCTTGCAGCACCTACTGCTGCTATGTGACAATGACTGAGGTAGGGGTGAGTGTCTGTGCCCCACTGACCCTGTCTTGCCCAGACTGAGGTTATATGATAGATCCCACATGATTGTGAGAATTTCCCTCACGTTCTTCAAAATCCAAAAACTCAAGCCAGGCATGGTGGCTTACACCTGTAATCCCAACACTTTGGGAGGCCGAGGCAGGAGGATTGCTTGAGCCCAAGAGTTCAAGACCAGCCTGGGCAACATAATGAGATCCTGTCTCTAAAAAAAAATTAAAAAATAAGCCAGGCATGCTGGTGCATGG
Organism: Homo sapiens; assembly: GCF_000001405.40. Taxonomy (NCBI): domain Eukaryota; kingdom Metazoa; phylum Chordata; class Mammalia; order Primates; family Hominidae; genus Homo; species Homo sapiens. The sequence continues at coordinate 130,951,577 of NC_000009.12, forward strand.
CTGTAGTCTCAGCTACTTGGGAGGCTGAGGTAGGAGGATCCCTTGAGTCCAGGAATTCAAGGTGGTAGTGAGCTATGATTGTACCACTGCACCCCAAAACAAAACAGAACAAAACAAATTTAAAAATTCAAGCTGGGCAAGGTGGCTCACACCTGTAATCTAACACTTTGGGAAGCCGAGGTAGGAGCATCGCTTGAGTCCAGGAGCTTGAGACCAACCTGGGCAACATAACAAGATCCCATTTCTACAAAAAATTAAAAAAAAAAATTAGCCAGGTGTAGTTGTGCGTGCCTGTGGCCCCAGCTACTCAGGAGGCTGAGGTGGGAGGATCACTTGAGCCCAGAAGGTCAAGGCTGCAGTAAGCCATGATCACGCCACTGCACTGTCTCAAAAAATAAAAATTAAAAAATCATAAATAAATAAATAAATGAAACTCCCAAACTCACTTTTAAACATAAGCCTATTTGACAGTGATATTAGCTCATATGTAGAGAGGATGTTCTTTGTACCAGCAGCTGAGCTGGGTATGCAACATGTGCCAACTCATCCAATCCTGACAGTGACTCTTTATCTCCATACACAGGTGAGGAAACTGAGCACGGAGTGGCCACAAGGCTGAAGACAAAGATCTATACCCGGGTCATCTAACTCCAGAGGGGGTGGGGGAGGCACATGGTGTTTGTAAACCTCCCTTATTTCTGAACACTTATTTCTATTTTCTAGTTGTTGTAAACAGTGCATAGTGAACAGCCTTGCCCTCAGTTGCAGTTTGCCTGGCTAATTACTTCCTTAGGGTGGATTCCCAGGAAAAGAATTACAGGGTCAAAGAGCGGGACTGTCTTTAAGACTCCAACCCTGTTGCCCAGCTCTGGCCTTGCTTTCCAGTCTCCCATCTTCTTTCCCACACTGTCTTAAGTCAATAGGAAGCGTACAGCCTTGGCCTCCCTCCACCCTGCCCACATCTGCCTGTCTGTACCCCTGAGGACGTGGGGGTGACCTCCATCCAAGCACCCTGGGTCCTGTTCTGTGTCCCAGCAGGGAGAGTCTTCATGTGGGGGCTGCAGGTGCCCCTGGCACACTGTAGGGGCTTGGTTGTGATTGAAGGAATGAATCAATGAATGAATGAGATTCCTGGCCTGCTTGGCTCCACTTTCCATTGCAAAGCGACCACCTGTGAAGCAGCCTTCTCAGTCTAGAGTCCAGAGGGCAGCCCTGAAGCTGAGAGGGTGGCTCCTCACTGCAGGTGTCAGAAGCGGGGAAGGGATGCAGACCCCAACCGCTCAGTCTGTACCCAAAGCCTATTTGATCCTGATGAAAGCTTCTCTTGCTGAAACAAGTGCTCCAGCCAGGATACCTTTGCTTAAGCCAGGCTCCCTGCCTGGAAGCCTCCCAGCTTGGATTTTCTAGTCTGAACAAGAAGGAGAACAAAAATACTGTGTTGGATATCCATTGCTGCATAACAAATTACCCCAAAATGGAGCAGCTCAAAACATGCAAGGCTTGGGAATTCAGGAGCAGCTTAGTTGGGTGGGTCCTGTTTAGGGCCCCTCAATAAGTTGCAGTCATTATGTCGGCTGGGGCTGCATCATCTGATGCCTTGACTGGGGCTGGAGGATCTACTTCCAAGATGGCACCGTCACATGGCTGTTTGGCTGGTGGCCTCGATTTCCTGCCCCCTGGACTTCACCATAGGGTGGCTTGAGTGTCCTCACAACATGGCAACTTTGTTTTTTTTTTTTTTTGAGATGGAGTCTTGCTCTGTCACCCAGGCTGGAGTGCAGTGGCGCAATCTCGGCTCACTGTGAGCTCTGCCTCGTGGGTTCACACCATTCTCCTGCCTCAGCTTCCCGAGTAGCTGGGACTACAGGCGCCCGTCACCATGCCCAGCTAATTTTTTGTATTTTTAGTAGAGACGGGGTTTCACTGCGTTAGCCAGGATGGTCTTGATCTCCTGACCTCGTGATCCACCTCAGCCTGCCAAAGTGCTGGGATTACAGGTATGAGCCACCGCGCCTTGCCAGCAACTTGGTTTTAAGGACACTTAGCTTCACAGATTGCCAACCAGAGCAGGCGATCCAAGAGAGAGAGCAAGGTGGAAGCCACAATCTTTATAACCTACTCTCAAAAGTCACACTCCATCATTTCCACCACATTCTGTTGATTAGAAGTGAGTCCCTACATACCATCCACACTCAAGAGCAGGGGAACGAGGCTTGTCCTAAGAGAGGAGTGGGTAGTTTTTTGTTTGTTTGTTTGTTTGTTTGTTTGTTTGAAACTGAGTCTGACTCCGTCATCCAGGTTGGAGTGCAGTGGTGCTATCTCAGCTCACTGCAGCCTCCACCCCTGGATTGAATCGATTCTCCTGCCTCAGCCTCCTGAGTAGCTGGGATTACAGGAGTGCACCACCACGCCCGGCTCATGTTTGTGTTTTTAGTAGAGACAGGGTTTCACCACATTGGCCAGGCTGGTCTCAAACTCCTGACCTCAAGTGATCTGGCTGCCTTGGCCTCCCAAAGTGCTGGGATTATAGGTGTGAGCCACCACACCCAGCCAGAGTGGGTAGTTTTTAAAACCACCACAATTGCCCGCCAGGGGCACAAAGAGGACTCATGGGGATGGGTCTGATAAGTGCTGAGCCCAGTGCTGGGCACCTGCAGGCACTCAGTAGGTGGTGGACACTTGTTTTATTATGATTATCCAGCACCTAGCACCCAGTCTACCCCAAATAGCACCATCAACATATCTTCCTGAATCCTGCCTCCCTCATTTCAGCCTTTGCTCTCAGGCAGCCAGGGGTTCCCCATTTTCAACAAGAAAAAGCCCAAACCCTTTTGCTTGGCAGTCAACCCCACCCCATCCAAACCAATCCCTCCTTTCTCTGCTGAATGTTTCCCCTGTGCCAGCCACTTCCTTCCCACCACCACACCCTTAGCCAGGCTATCACCCACCAAGAATCCTGCCCCATCTTGAGCCTCTGCCTTCATTTGAAGCCTATCATCCCCTGTGCCTCAGTATTTTCCTTCAGCTCTAGATTCTTGCAGTGCTCTAGCCATTTACACAGCCATCAAATTCCAGGCCTCTTCTGTCACTCACCGGTTCACCTCTGTCATCTTGTCTCCTGCCCAAGACTGCATCTCCTCTTGTCCCTTCTCTGAGAGGCCTGTGGTTGAGCACAGGGATGAATGAGAAAGAAACCCAGCCTGTCCTCAAGAAGTTGACAATGTGTCCCTCAAAGACTGGGCTCATTGCTGCTACCTCTGGGAGTCCCAATGTGGAGGAGAGCTCTCAGTGGGTGTGCAGAAAATCTTGTCAGAAGTTACTGTCCCTGGGCAGGGCTAATACCACCAGTATCACCATTATCATCATCACCACTATCGTCATCATCACCACCATCACCATCATTACCACCATCATCACCATCAATATCGACACCATCCTCATCATCATCATCACCACCATCATCAGCATCATCAGCAGCAGCAGCACCACCATTACCATCATTATCCCTACCATCTTCATCACCACCATCACCATCACCATCACCATCATCATCACCATCATCACCATCACCATCACCATCATCATCATCACCACCATCACCATCATCATCAGCAGCAGCACCACCACCACTATTACCATCATTATCCCTACCATCTTCATCACCACCATCACCATCACCATCACCATCATCATCACCATCATCACCACCATCATCACCATCATCATCATCAGCACCATCACCATGATCATCGTCACCATCTTTATCCCCACCATCCTCATCACCATCATCACTACCATCAGCACCATCACCATCATCACCATTACCACCATTATCACCACCATCATCATCACCAACACCATCCTCAGCACTACCACCACCATCACATTCTCATTCATCCCTGTGCTCAACCACAGGCCTCTCAGAGAAGGGACAAGAGGAGATGCAGTCTTGGGCAGGAGACCACTTTTGGGGGCAAAAGCAGCTCCTGAAACCACACCCCAAAGCAGGCTCCACTCCATTCCATCAGACCCTGCAGTCAGGAAGGGCCGTGGGGTGTCCTGGCCTTCATCTGTGAGAACTGCCTTACCCATGCTGATTTCCACCCACATGGCATCAGAGGACTCCGTGCCCTGACACTACAATCCTTGTCCCCTTGTGTAGCCACCTCAGGGTCCAGCACCAACTGTCCTGTCTACCTGGAGCATAACACCATGAGGTCCCCAGCTCCTGGCTCTCCCCTGGGGGCTTGCCATGACCCGTTGGCCTGAGCTTTGGGGTGTCAGAAGCCCCCATGGAATGCACTGCTAAGACAAGCCCATCCTGCCAGCCTTCCTACCTCTCATAGCTGACCCTGCTGGGTTCTATGTTACAAATTCCCCTGCCCCAGCACCACTCTGTGACCTGCAGTGAGCGCAGCTGTCACTCCCCTCAAGGGTGCCCAGGCAATAGGGAGATGTGAGGACTGTGGGGGCATAAGAGTTGTCTCAGGGCTGTGCAGAGGAAGCCAGGGCCCCCCTAAATATCTCCAGCTCATCGCACCAGCTCCATTCTGCCCGGAGCCCCATGTCTGAGCCCTCAGCTCAGAGCAGACAACCGTGCTAATCCTGTCCCAGGCTGGTGGCCGCCCCCACTGAGGAGGGGGAGCAAGCTGCCCAGAAAGCTGGTGTGGAGTGCCCGTTAGCTGTGGATGGCATCGTGGTGCCACCGGGAGATTATCCACACGCAGCTAGTTCCCAGCAGCCGACCCCAGTGCCCCAAAAGAAGGCAGCTAGCTATTAAGGAGATTCATGGGCAGGGGTGAGGCGAGGAGGAAGGCTAATCAAGCTGTCCTGATTGTAATTGTCCGAAGGTGCTGGCCTCTCTCGTAAACATGCCAACTGCAGGCCCTGCTTCTGCGTCTCAGCAGGACTTCTCCCTGCTGGGACCGTGCTGGGGAATGTTCTTTCAACATAACTCTATTTAAATTCACATTTCCATCATCCCCCAGAGGAGCCGAGAGAGCTGAGCTGCGTGGTATAAGCCGGGAAAGGATTAGATGGGGTGGGTGTTATTTTTTTTCCTTTTATTTTCCCTTAGTGATGGAGATGGGGTTGTGGGGGGTGGGCCATTCTAGAATTCTGCAGTATTGGAACTGGAAGAGCTGTTACAAACCATCCAGCTCAACCCTCTGGATGTCCAGACGGGAAACTGAGGCCCCCGGGGGCCATCGGGATGCCCAGCAGAGCCCCCTTCCCGGATTCCTTCCCCCAACGAGACCCTGGGGCGGATGTCAAGGAAAGGCCTGGAGGTTGGGGGGACACTCTGGGGCCCTTGGAGGCCTGGAAACCGGACTGTATTCCTGCGTTAGTTGGCAGGTGGCGCAACTTTCCTCCAAGTCAAAGTGCCAGGCCAGCTGAGGCCCCCCAGAGCCTCAGCCCCCTTCCCTGCTGCTCTGCCGAGCCCCTGCCATGAGTCTGAGTCACCTTTCTCCAGAGCCACATGTTCTCTGTAGGAAGCCCCCAGGGACTGGCAAAGGCCCTGGCCTCTCAGGAGAGGAGGGGGCAGGTGAGCTGGGCAGTGGGATCGCATGGCCAGGAGTATGGCTTCCGGCCCCCCCGAGCCTAGGTGGAGGGTGGGGTGAGGGGCTGCGGCATAGACTGCGGCTGAGACCCAGGGAAGCAGGACCCTTGTCACCTGGGACTGGGCCCGGAGGGTGGGGAAGCCTAAGGCAGCAGACGGGAGGCAGCAGATGCGAGGAAGCAGCTGCTCTGGGGATGGAACTCCTAGCCTTTTGAGTGCCAGAAATGTTCAAATAAGCATCTGGTTTTGTTTTTTGAAATTTCTCGCATTATCAGCCGTTTGGGTGCTGTGGAGGGAGCTGAAGCCCGGCCCAGATTTTCCACCCCCACCGGAAGGCCTTGCCACCATGGTGACAGCAGGTGGGAGTGGGGTCACCTCTTCTTCTGAGCAGCCAGGCAAAGCCCTATGGGGCCAGGTCCCGGTGGAATAGCCATGGCTCAGTCCCTCGCCAGCATGAGCTCAGGAACGCTGCATCCCCTCCTGTCACCTAGACTGGTAGGAGGGGGGTTTGGTGTGGTCTCCAACTAGACCCTAACTGGATCCAACTGGATCTCCAACTGGAGCCTCTCCTCCAGGGTGACAGGCATTCCATCCTGGGCAGGGGTAGCCTCCTCCATGGATGCGAAGGCTCTGGGCTGTCACACCACGTCCAGCATGAGTCTTTCCTGCACTCCATGGACCCAAATTTTCCCATGTGCAGGCCCTGTAGTGAGCCCTGATCACAGTTCAGAGAGGTTGAGATATTCAACTAAGCTTGCACAGCCTGGAGATGTCCTTATTACCGTCTTGTGGTGCCCACTGGGTCCAGTCTGCCGCTCTGATGGCCCCCATGGAGGTGAGTGGGCAGCACCTCGGCTGAGTGTCAGGTGTCCTGGGTTCTTAGCTAGTCACCCCCTCAACCGCTCTCAGTGACCTCCATCAAGTCACGTCCCCTCTCCAGCCTTAGTTTCCCTGTCTTCTAATAAAGCCTGCCCCTCAGAGCCCTTGCAGAGGTCAAAGAAGACAACAGCTTGAAGTTATTTTGCAAAAGGCTTAGTGAGGAGTCACAGACTCATGATGCTGACAGGGCAGGCGGGTGCAAGGCAGCCCAGGGGATTGGGAAGGACAGAGGCGGGAGGCACTGAGTTTCTTTGGCCGGCCTGCCACTTTGTGTCCCTGCAGAAAGGGCCAGATATGAGAGGTTAGAATGGTGCAGTGTAGGCAGGCAGACGTGGATTCTTGTCCCAGTCTTGCCATTTATTCACTGACCTTGGGCAAGTGACTTTAACTCTCTAAATCTCGGTTTCTTCATTTGTAAATGAGGATGATAATAGTAACGCAATAAGGCAAATCTCCTTAGGTGGCCACAAAGGTGCAATGAGATTAGGCACATCAACTCCACAATACAGGTATGGCACCTGCAGTGGCTCAATAAATGTTCACTGCTGTTGTTATTATCATCACCGCTATCATCACCACCACTACCATCACCACCAGCACCACCACCATCACCATCACCACCTCCAACACCACCACCACCACCACCACCATCACCACCATCACCACCACTGTCATCACCATCACCACCACCACCGCCATCACCACCACCACCACCACCGCCATCACCACCACCACCGCCATCACCATCACCACCACCACCACCACCACCACCATCACCATCACCATCACCAGAACCACCACCATCACCATCACCACAACCACCACCATCACCATCACCACCTCCAACACCACCACCACCACCACCACCATCACCACCATCACCACCACTGTCACCACCACCACCACCACCATCACTGCCATCACCATCACTTCCACCACTTCCATCACTGTCACCACCTCGACCATCATCACCACCACCATCACCATTATACCATCACTACCACCATCACTATCACCACCACTCCTCACATCAGCACTGTGACTACCATCCCAGCACTACCAGCGTGACCACCATCACCTTCACTAGCACACCTCCCACTACTTTTACTCAAGGGCCCTCCTTCCCCCTCTTGCACCCTGACCCCATTCTCCCCTAGACCCTCAGGGACTCCTCGGGGCCTGGGCTGAATCTGAATGGGGCCTTGAGCCATGCAAGGAGTGGAAACTCCCCACCTGCCCACAGGGCCCAGTGTCTGTCAGTTTCTTGATGACCAGGTTCCAAAGCCATCTAGCTCGGGCCCACCCTTTGGGGCCTGCTCACAAAGCACCTGCCTAATTTAGTCCCAGATTTGCCTCTGGTACCCCCTACCTATCACTCTGCCAGCCCCCCTGCATCCCGATATCCCCATAAATTATTGATGTCAGAAGTGCAAGGCTTATAAGGAGCTGGACGGGATAAACTGGTCAGCTCCAGCCCCAAAGGTGCCCATGGGTCTCAGGCAAGCAGGGGCCACCTGGGAGGACCCAAGGGAGAGGGGGTGGGACTGGGCACTGTTGGATATGGTTTGGCCAGGAACCCAGGAATCCTGCCCTAGAGCCTGGACACCCCATCCTTTGAGGTCCCAGAGGGAGATTGGTTCTAGGGATGATGATGGTGAATGGAAGGTGAAGTAGAATTTGACTCTGTCCAACTCTGGAAGTTTTCATGTAGAGTTTCATCTAGCCTGGAACAACTCAGGTCTAAACTGCCCAGACCAAGATGGCGTGTGAGGGAGCTCGTCCGACCCCCTAGGTGCCCACCAGGAAAAAGAAGTCAGTTCTCACCAGAGGCCCCAAGAGAACCAGGACAATGTAGGGTCGGCTTTGCCCTCCTACCTGAGGCCGGTATCTGGACAACCCACCCAGGTTTTCATGGGAGGAGGGGGGGCTCTCAAACCTGGAGAAGGAAGACTGGGAGAGCTGTGGTCATCTGCTCCGGCAGGTCCATGCACAGTGACCGCCCTCCATCAAGGCAGCCCCATCCAGAACCTGGGATCAGTTCACACCTGCTGAGCAGCTTCCTTCGTGCCCCTGATGAGGACAGTGGAGGTGAGGGTCTTTCAACTCCTCCCTCCAGAAGCCAGCAACTGGGACCTTGCCCTGGAACTTTCTTTCAGCTCACATGATTGCTGGGAAGGACTCATGCCGAGCTGAGGAGCAGGTGGCTGAGGCCAGGATGGGCTCTGCCGCCCGCATGTATGGGTGCCGTCAGACCTGTCCTATTGCCTGTCCCCCCAGACACTGAATGGGAATCTCCTACCCCTAGAATCATTAAATCACCAAGGTTCAGCACCAGAGAATCTTGAATCGTGAAATCACAACCCCCCGCAAGATGTTTGGGAGAATGTTTTTGTCAAAAAAGAGAGATAACAAATGGCAAACGAAGTAGAAAATGTTTCCCAAACGTGAGGACGGCTGATTTCTTTGTGCCGCCTTGGATGATGGGTGCGGGGTGCCTGGTAGGGGTGGAAACTGAAGGGGGTTGGAGAGACATTGCAAAGCTGCCAGGACACCTGCTTCTTCTCGAGCAAGAACCCAGAGACATGACTAGCTACTCCAGATGTCACCAACCCCCTCCGCCTTCTCATACTAACTTCCATCCCTGCTGATAGGTCCCCACAAGCCTGGGGCTCGGCTGTGACCAAGAAGAGCACCCTTAGCCCCCACACCCAGCCCAGCTACACTTTCCCCATCTGTGAAATGAGGTGTCTGGATTCGACTGTGGTTGGAATACTCTGTTCAAATGTGACTTCATACAGAACCACCCCCGTCCCAAGGGTTGGGAGGTGGTTATTGAAGGGCCCAGGGCACCCTGCTGGCCTCCCATTCCCCCTCCAGCAGCCCCTGCCTTCAGCCCCCGCAGAACCTGAGACTGCAGAACACATCTTCAAATCCCTGACCCAGATGGATGCTCTGTGGATTAACATCCCAAACTTCTGCACATCGGGGAGGCCTCCCTTCTCACACAACAGATTGACATTGGCCCATTCCAACTGGGCCCAGGCTCCTGGCCAGCCTCGCCGGCGATTCTGACTGGGCCCAGGACAGCTGAGCCAGGGTCCCCAGACATCAAGGGGGGTGGGGGGATGCAACTAGAGTAAGGGGATGTGTCTCTTGAAGGAAGGGGCTCTTCCGAGGATGGACCCTGGGACACTTGGGGCTCCATAGTGCTGCTTTGGGGTCCAGGGACCAGGCCTTGACCCAATGCAGGTCCTCAATCAAGGGCAATTGGACAAATGGCACCAAGTGGGGGTGGCCAATCTCATGCGTCCCTGCTGACGCTGGTGGTGCAGGGAGTCCTGAGGCAGAAGGGGGCCGGCATCCCTGGGCACTGGGAGTGTCAGTGGGGCTTATATCTGGGTTGGGACAGGGGTGAGTGGGAGGGATTTGGTCTCGTTTCAGAGAGAACCAGGAACCCACTGACAGATTTTAAATGGGAGCCCCACGTGATCAGATGGTACTTGGAAGTTCACTCTGATCCTGAAGGGAAATGGATCGAGGGGTTGGCTGGGGCTGCACAGAGGCCAGGAGAGGTGATGTGGCTTGGACCAGGGTTGGGAGGAGGATGACAAAGTCAGCAGGGCCTAAGGGCTAGAAACATGTTTAGGAGAGACAGGCTTCAAGGAGAGCCCCTCGGCGAGTGTCTGGTCCGGGCCTTTTGACAATGGGATGCTATTCACCTCAGCAGGGAAGCTTGGGTGAGGACCAGGCGTTTGGGGTAGATCTGAAGCTCCATATTGGATGTATTGAGCTGTGGGGGAGCCCTGGAACACCCCATGGGGGAAGTTGAGGAGGAAGTAAGACACCCAGAAGTGAAATACAGTATGGCTGGGCTACAGGCAAAGGCTGGGCTGCAGGGACAGGTTGTGCTGCAGGTACAAGCTATGGGGACAAGTTGTGCAGCAGGTACAGGCTACAGGGACAGGCTGTGCTGCAAGTAGAGGCTACAGGTACAGGGTGTGCTGTAGGGACAGGTTGTGCTGTAGGGACAGGTTGTGCTGTAGGGTCAGATTGTGTTGTAGGGACAGCCTACAGGGATGCACTGTGCATAGTCTATACATCACAGGTAACTGAGGATGAATGGGTCAGTGCTGAGACCAGGACAAGGCATGGGGCTGAGTCTTGGGGACCTGCCACTTGAGAATTCTAGGTCACCGCCATCCTTCACCAGGCCAAGATGAAGCATGAGAGGAAAAGCTTCCTCTGCTTCACGGCCTGTGAAGACATCAATAAGGACTGGCGGGCTCCTTATGAGAAACACTTGGAGACCCCAGAAATATCAGGGGTGAGCTGAGAGTAGGCTGTGGTCCCAAGGTCATGTCAATGGGGGTGGGGGAGCAGTGAAACAACGGCCATGCAGTTCCTGTTGCTGTGTCAGAGCTCACAGCCAGCAGGCCTGGACCTCTGGACTCAGGTGTGTCCACGGCAGCCCTTCCAAGATGCCCTGATTCAAAGAATGCGGGATCTCCGAGTCTCAGGCAGTTATTTTGGAGTCAATGACAGGGACCCATCTTATCCCATCTCTGTGCACCCCCACTCCCAGGATGTCCCCATCTGACCTTCCACTCCAGCTGTGGCTCCTGACATAGGTTGGGGAACAGAGGGACTGAGGGAGGAGGGGGCAGGCCTCCCATTCTGTCCAACAGAGGCTTCCTGGAATGGGGCAGGCAGACTGAGTCACATCCCTGTGACTCACGTGGCCCGTCAGACATTCTCATAATATTAATAATGAAAGGGCAGCTCCCTCGGAGACCGCAGGCCCACACTTGGCTCTGGCAAGAGCTTGGAATGCCAAGTTTTCCTAGGGACGCCACCAGACAGATGAGGGAGCACCGGCTGCAGTGGGCAGGGCAGCTTTCGCGGCAGCATGCCCCCGCCCCGGGGGGCTGTCTGGGATGTCTTTAAGGATGCTTTGTTAAGCCCCATTAAATATGCATCAGCCCCCATTAAACTTTAATGTCCCACTTATAGGTGTCACATTTTTCACCTCCTCCTGGGATGGGAGCCACGGAGAACTGACGTCTGGCACTTGGGGACCCAGGCAGGGGCTGGGCTGTGAGCAGCCTGGCAGTGCGTCCCTCGGCCAGCACCCAGGCCTAGGGCAAGGGCCGTGGGAGATTGTGCCCCTGCGGCGTGCGGTGTCTCATGCCCCAAACCTCACCACTCCCCTCCCCAAGGCTGGAGAGCTCCACCATGATAGTCGGAAAACTGTCAAGAACCAGACAGTAAATGTTTTAGACTCTGCATATGCATCTTTGATTTCCTTTTTACAACCCTTTAAAAATGCGAACACCATTCTTAGCTCACTCTATTAAAGAAAAAAAAATGATTCAATGGCACTTGTTAGGAGACATGGTTAGGAAAACTTTATTCAGAATCATCAAGGACCATGGCAAGGGAGCCTGAGGCTTGGGGGATTGGGCTCAACTCCAAACACAGCCTGGACAAGTGGAGATTAATAGCCGAGGAGCAGGGTGCGGGGCGGGGGGGCGGGGGGTCAGCGAGTGAAAAATCCCCACGAGGAAACATTAGAGGAAAGGAGGATTCTGCCTAAACCAGCCCAGCAGGATTCTTGCTGATGGGCCAGGGGATCAGATCACCTCGGGGATGGTGGAGGATGAGGAGCCTGATCGGATATCCAGTTTAGGGGTTCTGACCACACTGATTTAGCAGGGTTCTTTGCTAAAACTGGATTTTACAAGGAAGTGCACAGATGGGCCTAGGCCGGGCACGGTGGCTCACACCTGTAATCCCAGCACTTTGGGAAGTCGAAGCAGGCGGATCACCTGACGTCAGGAGTTCATAGACCAGCCTGACCAACATGGTGAAGCCCCGTCTCTACTAAAAATACAAAAAATAGCTGGGCATGGTGGTGAGCGCCTGTAATCCCAGCTACTCAGGAGGCTGAGGCAGGAGAATCGCTCAAGCCTAGGAGGTGGAGGTTGCAGTGAGCCGAGATCGCATCACTGCACTCCAGCCTGGGCAATGGAGCAAGACTCCATAACTCTTTCAGAGTTACCATTTGACCCAGCAATTCCGCTCCCAAGTATATGCCCAAGAGAATGAAACCTGACATTCACACATGGTCCAGTACACACACATCTCATTTTATTGTGTGATTTTTACAAGTTGAAGGTTTGTGGCAACTCTGTGTCAAGCATGTCTATCGGTGCCATTTTTCCAACAGCGTGTGCTCACTTCATGTCTCTATGTCGCATTTTGGTAATTCTTGCAACATTTCAACCTTTTTAAAGTTTTTATTTATTTTTTATTTTATTTTATTTTATTACAGACCATCTTGTTTTGTTACCAATGATGGAGTGTGGTCATGCAGTCATAGCTCATTGTAGCCTTGAGTTCCTCGGATCGTGGAATCCTCCCTTCTCAACCCTTTGAGTAGCCAGGAAGACAGGTATGCACCACCATGACCTGTTCATTTTTTTATCTTTATTTTTGTAGAGATTGGGGTGGGGTCCCACTATGTTTCCCAGGCTGGTCTTGAACTCCTGACCCTGAGTGATCTTCCTGCCTCAGCCTTCCAAAGTGCTGGGGTTACAGGTGTCACCTGGCCCATCAGACTTTTTCATTCTTATTATATCTGCTATGGCGACCTGTGATCAGTGGTCTTTGATGTTACTACTGTAACATCAGTAGTAACAATTACAGTAAACAATTGTTTAGTGGCACCACTAACTGCACCCGTATATGTCAGCATATTTAAATGATAAATGCTGTTTGTGTTGGTACTGCTCTACCGACCAGCCCTCCTGATCTTTCTCTCTCTCCTCGGGCCTCCCTATTCCCTAAGATACAATAATATTGAAAGTAGGCTAATTAACAACCCTATAATGGCCTCTAAGAGTTCAAATGACGGCCAGGCGCAGTGGCTCACGCCTGTAATCCCAGCACTTTGGGAGGCCGAGGTGGGCAGATCACCTGAGGTCGGGAGTTCAAGACCAGCCTGACCAACATGGAGAAACCCTGTCTCTACTAAAAATACAAAATTAGCCAGGCGTGGTGGTGCATCCCCGTAATCCCAGCTACTTGGGAGGCTGAGGCAGGAGAATCTCTTGAACCAGGGAGGCGGAGGTTGTGGTGAGCTGAGATCTTGCCATTGCACTCCAGCCTGGGCAACAAGAACAAAACTCTATCTCAAAAAAAAAAAAAAGAGTTCAAGTGAAAGGAAGGGTCCCAGGTCTCTCCCTTTACATCAAAAGCTAGGCTTGATTAAGCTTAATGAGGAAGGCGTGTCAAAAGTCAAGACAGGCCCGAAGCAAGGCCTCTTGTGCTAAACAGCCAAGCTGTGAATGCAAAGGAAAAATTCTTGAAGGAAATTGAAAGTGCTACTCCAGGGAACACACAAATGAAAAGAAAAGTGAAACAGCCTTATTGCTGATACGGAGAAAGTTTCAGTGGTCTGGATAGCAGATCAAATCAGCCATAACATCTTAAGCCAAAACCTAATCTAAAGCAAGACCCTAACTCTCTTCAATTCTGTGAAGGCCGAGACAGGTGAAGAAGCTGCAGAAGAAAAGTTGGAAGCTAGCACAGGTTGGGTGATGAGGTTTAAGGAAAGAAGCCCTCTCCATAATACAAAAATGCAAGGAGAAGCTGCAGCAAGTCGTTTAGAAGATCTAGCTAAGATCATTGATGAAGGTGGCTGCACTAAACGCTAGGTTTTCCATGTAAGTGAAACAGCCCTCTGTTGGAAGATGTCATCTAGGACTTTCATAGCTAGAGGGAAGTCAATGCCTGGCAAAGCTTCAAAGGACAGGCTGACCCTTGTTAGGGGATAATGTAGCTGGTGACTCTAAGTTGAAGCCAATGGTCATTGACCATTGCAAAAATCCTGGGGCCCTTAAGACTTATGCCAAGTCAACTCGGTCTGTGCTCTATAAATAGAAAACAAAGGCCGGGCACAGTGGCTCACGCCAGTAATCCCAGCACTTTGGGAGGCCGAGGAGGGTGGATCACAAGGTCAGGAGGGGATAGATACCATCCTGGCTGACACGGTGAAACCCCGTCTCTACTAAAAATACAAAAAAAAAATCAGCCGGGCGTGGTGGCGGGCGCCTGTAGTCCCAGCTACTCGGGAGGCTGAGGCAGGAGAATGGCGTGAACCCGGGAGGGGGAGCTTGTAGTGAGCCGAGATCGGGCCACTGCACTCCAGCCTGGTGACAGAGCGAGACTTTGTCTCAAAAATAATAATAATAAAATAATAAAATAATTTTAAAAAAGAAAAAGCCTGAATGATAGCAAATCTGTTTATAGCATAGCTTACTGAATATTCTAACCCCACTGTTGAGATCCAACACTCAGAAAAAAAGATTCCTTTTTAAAATCTTACTGCTCATTGACCATGCACCTGGTCACCCAAGAGCTCTGATGGAGATGTACAAGGAGGTTGATGTTGTTTTCATGCCTGCGAACCTGGCATCCATTCTGCAGCCCGTGGATCAACGGGTAATTTCTACTTTCGAGTCAGCTTATTTAAGAATATATTTCATAAGGCTACAGCTGCCACAGACAGTGATTCCTCTGATGGATCTGGTCAGAGTAAATTGAAAACCTGGGAAGATTCACCACTATAGACACCATTAAGAACATTCGTGATTCATGGGAGGACGCCAAAATATCAACATTCACAGGAGTTTGTAAGAAGTTGATTCCAACTCTCATGGAAGACTTTGAGAAGTTCAAGACTTCAGTGGAGCAGCCGGGTGCGATGGCTCACACCTGTAATCCCAGCACTTTCGGAGGCTGAGGCAGGTATATCACTTGAGGCCAGGAGTTCAAGACCAGCCTGGCCAACATGGTAAAACCCTGTCTCTACTCAAAATACAAAAAATTAGCCAGGGGTAGCAGCACATGCCTGTAATCCCACCTACTTGGGAGGCTGAGGCACGAGAACTGCTTGAACCTTCAGAGGCAGAGGTTGCAGTGAGCCAAGATGGCGCCACTGCACTCCAGCCTGAGCAACAGAGTGAGACTATCTCAAAAAAACAAAAAAACAAACAACAACAACAAAAACAAAGAAAAACCCAAAAACCAACCAAACAACAAACCTCCTCTGGGCGCGGTGGCTCACACCTGTAATCCCAGCACTTTGGGAGGCTGAGTCGAGCAGATCACCTGAGGGCGGGAGTTCGAGACCAGCCTGACTAACACGTAAAAACCCCGTCTCTACTAAAAATACAAAATTAGCCGGGCGTGGTGGTGCATGCCTGTAATCCCAACTACTCGGGAGGCTGAAGCAGGAGAATTGCTTGAACCTGGGAGGTGGGGGTTGTGGTGAGCCGAGACGGTGCCATTGCACTCCAGCCTGGGCAAAAAGAGTGAAACTCCATCTCAAAAACAAAACAAAACAAAAAACCCAAAGATTTCAGTGGAGGAAGTCACTGCACATGTAGCGGAAATAGCAAGAGAACTAGAATTAGATGTGGAGCCTGAAGATAGGGCTGAATTGCTTCAATCTCATGATCAAACTTGAATGTGAGGAGTTGCTTTTTATGGATGAGCAAAGACAGTTGTTTTTTGAGATGGAATCTAGGCCTGGTGAAGATGCTGTGAACATCGTTGAAATGACAACAAAGGATTTCGAATATTTCATAAATTTAGTTGATAAAGCAGCAGCGGGAAAAGGATCGACTCCAATTTTGAAAGACGTTCTACTGTGGATAAAATGCTATCAAACAGCATCATATGCTACAGAGAAGTCTTTTGTGAAAGGAAGCCTCAATCGATGCGGCAAACTTCACTGTTGTCTGATTTTAAGACATTGCCACAGCTACCCCAACCTTCAGTAACCACCACCCTGATCAGTCAGCAGTCACCAACATCAGGGCCAGACTTTCCACCGGAAAACCGATGGCGACTTGGTGAAAGTTCAGATGATCATTAGCACTTTTTAGCAATAAAATATTTTTAATTAGGGTATGTACATTTTTTAGACATAATGCTATTGCATACTTAGTAGATTACAGTGTCATGTAAGCTTGACTTTTTTTTTTTGTTTTTAGAGAGAGTCTTGCTCTGTCACACAGGCTGGAGTGTGGTGGTGCAATCTCAGCTCACTGCAACCTCCGCCTCCTGGGTTCAAGTGATTCTCCTGCCTCAGCTTCCTGAGTAGCTGGGATTACAGGCGTGCACCACCACGCCCAGCTAATTTTTGTATTTTTAGTAGAGACAGGGTTTCACCATGTTGGCCAGGCTTATCTCCAACTCCTGACCTCGTGATCCACCCATCTCGGCCTCCCAGAGTGCTGGAATTACAGGTGTGAGCCACTGCGCCTGGCCAAGCTTAACTTTTATATGCACTGAGAAACCAAAAATATTGTGTAACTCCCTTTATTGTGATATTTGCTTCATTGTAGTGGTCTGGAATGAAACCTGTAATATATCCAAGCTATGCCTGTATACGAATGATAATAGCTGCATTGTTCTCAATCACCAAAACATGGGAACAGCTCAGATGTCCATCAGTGGATGAACGAATAAAGAACATGTGGGTCTATCCATGCAATAGAATATTATTCAGCAATAAAAAGGAGTGAAGTATTGGCACCTACTACAACATGGAAGAACCTCAAAATCATGTTCAATGAAAGAAGCCAGACACAGGCCAGGCACGGTGGCTCACGCCTATAATCCCAGCACTTTGGGAGGCCGAGGCAGGCGAATCACGAGGTCAGGAGATCGAAACCATCCTGGCTAACACGGTGAAACCCCGTCTCTACTAAAAATACAAAAAATTAGCCGGGTGTGGTGGCGGGTGCCTGTAGTCCCAGCTACTCAGGAGGCTGAGGCAGGAGAATGGCGTGAACATGCGAGGTGGAGCTTGCCGTGAGCCGAGATCGCGCCACTGCACTCCAGCCTGGGGGACAGAGCGAGACTCCATCTCAAAACAAAACAAAAAAAAAGAGGTCAGAAGTTTGAGACCAGCCTGGCCAACATAATGAAACCCCATCTCTACTAAAAATACAAAAAATTAGCCAGGCATGGTAGCTAATGGTGGTGGCAGGTGCCTGTAATTCCAGCTACTCTGGAGGCTGAGGCAGGAGAATCGCTTGAACCTGGGAGGTGGAGGTTGCGGTGAGCCAAGATCGCACCGCTGCACTCCAGACTGGGCCACAAGAGTAAAACTCCATCTCAAAAAAAAAAAAAAAAAAAGAAGCCAGACACAAAAGGCCACATATGTATGGTCCCATTTCTATAAAATGTCAGGAATAGGCAAATCCACAGATGGAAAACAGATTAATAGTTTCCAGGGGCTGGAGGGAAAGGAGGGATGAAGCGTGACTGCTTAATTGGTTTGTGTTTGGGGTGATGAAAAAGTTCACACAGCACAACATGGTGAATGGTCTAAATGCTGCTGAACTGTGTACTTTAACATGATTAAAATGGGCCAGGCGCGGTGGCTCAGGCCTGTAATCCCAGCATTTTGGGAGGCTGAGGCGGGCGGACCACTTGAAGCCACAAGTTTGACACCAGCCTGGCCACATGGCAAAAACCTGTCTCTACTAAAAACACAAAAAAATTAGCCAGGCCTGGTGGCGCATTCCTGTAGCTCCAGCTACTCGGGAGACTGAGGCCTGAGAATCGTTTGAACCCGGGAGGCAGAGGTTGCAGTGAGCGGAGATTGTGCCACTGCACTCCAGCCTGGGTGACAGAGCAAGACTCCCTCTCAAAAAAATAAAATAGGCTGGGCGAGGTGGCTCACGCCTATAATCCCAGCACTTTCGGAGGCCGAGGTGGGTGGATCATCTGAGGCCAGGAGTTCAAGACCAGCCCGGCCAACATGGTGAAACCCCGTCTATACTAATAATACAAAAAAAAATTAGCTGGGCATGGTGGCACATGCCTGTAATCCCAGCTACTCAGGAGGCTGAGGCAGGAGAATCGCTTGAACCCAGAAGGCAGAGGTTGCAGTGAGCCAAGATCGTGACATTGCACTCCAGTCTGGGTGACAAGAGTGAAACTCTGTCTCAAAAAAAAGGCTCTTCCTCCTGGTGGGGAGGTGAGGATGGAAAGGGATCTCGTGCGTGCCTGGCCACAGTGAGCACCTAGTAACTGCTGCCTGGTGGTGGTGGGAAGAACCACCAGCCAGGTTACCGTCCAGACAGGGTCCGATCTGCCTGGGCATGGCGGGGTGGGGTGGGGCACCTCGAGGCTCCGGGCCCAGCCCTGGCCACTCGAGTTGAGGTGCCTCAGCTCAGGAAGCTCATGCATCGCAGAGGCTGTGCGTGGTTTTTGAGCTTGGAGAAGGAGGCGAGAGACCTGGCAATCTGTGCGTGGGAGAACTCAGGACAGGCCTGTGAAGAACTGTGGAGGGAACAAGAGACACCTACATTTTAACATGGTGTTCATTTTGTTTCTTTTTCTTTTTTATTTTTTTGAGACAGGCTCTTGCTCTGTTAGCCAGGCTGGAGTGCAGTGGCTCACTGTAGCCTCAGCCTCCCAGGCTCAAACAATTCTCCAACCTCAACCTGCTGAGTAACTGGGACTACAGGCATGCACTACCACGCTCAGCTAATTTTTCTATTTTTGTAGAGATAGGGTTTCTTCATGTTGCCCAGACTTGTCTTGAACTCCTGGCCTCAACTGATCCACCTGCTTTGGCCTCCCAAAGCATAATTCCCTCATGCTGGGATTACAGGCATGAACCATTGCGCTTAGCTAAAAATTTTTTATTAATAATCTACTATAGCCAGACTCCATACTGGAGACAAAGAGAATCAGAGTTCTGCCCTACAGAGAAACAGAGACACACACAGAGACAGAGACACACGGGGAGACACACACCACAGGGAGAAAGAGAGCCCGGGCCCTGCCTCCCGACTGCAGAAACAGAGACATGCAGAGACACACACTGAGACAGAGAGAGGTGGAGACACATGTTCCAAAAGGAAGGGCAAAGAGAGAGAGAGGAAGGAAGGAAGGGAGGAAGGGCAGGAAAGAGGAAGAAAGGAAGGAGGGAAGGAGGGAGGGAGGAAGAAAGGAGGAAGGGAGGGAGGAGGCAGGAGGGAGGAGGGAGGAAGGGAGGGAGGAGAGAGGAAGGAATGGAGAAGGGAAGAAGGGAGGAGGGAGGGAGTGAAAGCCTTTCTGCCACTAGTGATGGGCATTGTCCATTCTTAAGAAAGCACCTGCCTGCTTTTGACTTTAAGAGGCATAGACTTGGGTGATAGAAATGCGTGTTCAAAGCTGAAAAAGCTGAAAAGGCCTGCACCCAAATCCCATCTTTGTGAGGGGCCGTTATATGAGCCCAGCCTGTTTTCTCATCTGGAAGTGGGAATTCTCGGAGCTTAACTCACTGATGGTCATTGGGTCACAGGATGGACCTGGCGTACGGGAAGTTTCCGGAAAGGACAGCTGCAGCCTGTGTGCCCCTCATGCTCCTAAGGGGCAAGAGGACCAAGCCGAGACCCCAGTGAGCTAGGGGAGGGGCCGGCCCCACAGCAGCTTCTCCAGCTTCCTGAGGAGGCTCAGACCCTCGGGCCCTCCCAGGCCCCTCTGCCCCCGCCCCACTGGTTCACAAGCAGAGACTTCCCCTCCTCCCCTGGTTCACTGACTTTCTCATTGTCTGGGAGGCCCCAGTGTCTCCACCTCTCTCTGTCTCAGTGTGTGTCTCTGCATGTCTCTGTTTCTGTAGTCGGGAGGCAGGGCCCGGCCTCTCTTTCTCCCTGTGGTGTGTGTCTCCCTGTGTCTCTGTCTGTGTGTGTGTCTGTGTTTCTGTGTAGGGCAGGGCTCTGATTCTCTTTGTCTCCATGGTGTGTGTGTCTCTGTGTCTCTCCGTATGTCTCTGTGGTCTGTATCTCTCCATGTGTCTCTGTCTCTGTGGTCCGTGTCTGTCTGTCTGTGTGTCTCTCTCTCTATGGTCTGTGGTCTGTGTCTCTCTGTCTCTGTGGTCTGTATCTCTCCATGTCTCCCTGTCTCTGTGGTCTGTATCTGTCCATGTGTCTCTGTCTCTGTGGTCTGTGTCTCTCTGTGTGTCTCTGTCTCTGTGGTCTGTGTCTCTTTATGTGTCTCTCTCTGTGGTCTGTGTCTGTCCGTGTGTCTCTGTCTCTGTGGTCTGTGTCTCTCTGTGTGTCTCTGTCTCTGTGGTCTTTATGTGTCTCTCTCTGTGGTCTGTGTCTCTCCATGTGTCTCTGTCTCTGTGGTCTGTGTCTCTCTGTGTGTCTCTGTTGTGAAGCTCTGTATTTATCTGTCTCTGTGTCTGCTTCTGTTTCTCTCCTTCCCTCTTTCTCTGTGTGTCTGCCTGTGTCTCTCTGCGCCCTCTGTCTCTGTGCTGTGACTCTGTGTCTCTGTCCCCTCTGTCTCTGTGCTGTGACTCTGTGTCTCTGTCCCCTCTGTCTCTGTGCTGTGTCTCTGTGTCTTTCTGCTCCCACTGTCTCTGTGTCTCTCTGCCCCCTCTGTCTCTGTGTCTCTGTCCCCTCTGTCTCTGTGCTGTGTCTCTGTGTCTCTCTGCCCCCTCTGTCTCTGTGCTCTGTCTGTGTCTCTGTCCCTCTGTCTCTGTGTCTCTCTGCTCCCTCTGTCTCTGTGCTCTGTCTCTGTCCCTCTGTCTCTGTGTCTCTGTCCCTCTGTCTCTGTGTCTCTGTCCCTCTGTCTGTCTCTGCTGTTATCTCTGTATTGCTCCAGGTCTCTCTGATCTCTCCCTCTCTCCTTCCCTTCAGTGGAATCGATCTCCGAGCTTATTAAGCCCCATTCTTTCTCAGAACATTTGCCTTTGAAATCTCAGCAGATGGGCTGGGGCCTTGGCTGGTACCTCAGGCTGCCCCAGCCACACAGCCCACTGAGGGCCCAACCAGAGGAGGCTACCCAGTTATGCCCACTTCCCATTCGTGAGATGCCAGCCCTGCCTTCTCTGACGTCTCTGCCAGCCTCTGGGACAGCGACCAGCAGTAAGTGGGTCCTGCCTTTGCAGTAGGAGGAGATGGTGTGAGGGAACAGTCACCAAGGGTCACTGAGCCCACCCCCAGCAGCCAGGGCCCTGTGTGCTATTTGCCCAGGCCTAAACTCCCTTGTGGCTGTGCTGTGTGGAAGGGATTAACCTGGTTCTGTGGGCACCCAGAGGGTAAACTAAGGCAATCGAGCACCAGGTCCATGGAGGCGAACACAGGGTGACCTTTCTCTGCAGGTGCAGCCGTCCACCTGCAGGTGAGCTCTGCTCCCTGCCTCCCGCAGCCTGGCCCCAGACTCCCAAATACCCTCCGGCTGTTTAAATGACCCTCCAGCAGACCTCGGAGGCTGGGGCGTAACGGTCGCCATCATTGTCTGTTTGGGTGGCCCCTGAGCAACTCAAAGTCTCCGGCTCCACCTTCTAGAGCCAAGGACAGGTGGTGGGCTGAGCAGGGCTGGGTATGGACCCTGCCACCTCCCGGGTGGGACAGGAGGGCCAGAGCAGAATGCTTCCCTTCCCTGATCCACGTCCGCCTCTAGCTGTAAGACAAAGCCCAGACTCCATCCTAGGGGCTGCCGGTGCCCACCCCTCCAGCCGGTGCCACACTCCCCTGTCCCCCTGGGTACCAGCCACCCTGGTCTTCTTCAGCTCACTGAACACAAACGCCCTGCCTCTGTCTTTCGTCCCGGGCTTTGCGCAAGCTGCTCCCTCTGCCTGGAACACCCCCCTCTGCCTTGTATCGCAGCTCACCCCGGTTCAATCCTCAGGGCCAGTCTTCTCTGACCGCCGGCCTCCTGCCCCAGCTGTCATGGGTGCCTCTCAGTGCACAGCCTGTACCTCCCATCACAGCTCATGGCACGAAACGGTCCTCTTGCTAGTCTGCCCCTGTGGGCGGTGGTGGCTGGAGTTGCGTCTGCATGCTGCCTGGTAGTGTTCCCCTCCCCCTGCCTCCGGCTGGCCCCGAGTGGGTACCCGTTGATGAAGAGGTGAAAATGTTCCCAAAGCTCATCACAGGGGGTTCTGGGGGATCCGCCAAGGGAGCTGCAATTCTTTTCTGAGCCGTGCAGTCACCTGCAGCCTCACAGTTGATCTCATGGTCATCCCTGCGCAGCTCTGTCCCCGGAGGAGGCAGTAAGTGGGGCCACAGAGGACAGACCTGATTCCCAGTGTCTCTAGGAGCCTCTGCCAGGCGGGAGGCACACAGAACTCCCCGGGGGCCGTGGGAATGAGGCCGATGCGACGCCTACCCAGGTGCAATCCCCACCCAGGCCATGGACCCTGCAATTCTGGCTGCTCCCCACACCTTCCCAATCCCTCTCATTCCTCTCCAACCTCAGGGACTTCTGCTCATCCATAGCTAATGACGGCAAGAGGATCACAGGCTTGGAAACACGGCAAGGAGTTCAATAGAAAAATGAGCACCAGGCTGGGTGCAGTGGCTCACGCCTGTAATCCCAACACTTTGGGAGGCTGAGGTGGGTGGATCACTTGAGGTCAGGAGTTCGAGACCAGTCTGGCCAACACGGTGAAACCCTGTCTCTACTAAAAATACAAAAAATTAGCTGGGCTTGGTGGTGGGTGCCTGTAATCCCAGCTACTCGGGAGCTGAGGCAGGAGAATCGCTTGAACCCGGGATGCAGAGGTTGCAGTGAGCCGAGATTGTGCCACTGCACTCCAGCCTGGGCAACAGAGGGAGACTCTGTCCACCTCAGGTGAGCTCTGCTCAAAAAAAAAAAAAAGAAAGAAAGAAAGAAAAACAAGCAACAGGGGTCTGGAAGCACCAAGCCCCTCCCTGAGCTCAGGGAGAAGACAGAATGGTCACCAAATGGCCCATCAATTTATCTCCCCCCAGATACCACTGTTCAGCGCCCCTGCCCAGCTCCAGACAGCCTGGTAGGACACCTGGGACTTTTCCCTAGGTGAGGTCACCATCTGCGGTGGGGACAACCTTTAATGACGTCACACCTGCAGCAGGTACCTCCACCCTGAGAGTGCATACAGGTGAGTGGCTTTTACAGATGTGAAAGTCTCCATCGTCAATGCCCCTCAGGTCCTTCTGACTGTGTGAGAGAAAGTCTCCACTGAGAGCTAACCTGTATTTCAGAACACTTGCCCACTGCTGGAGGGGGCGTAAATTAGTTCAGCTATTATGGAAAGCAGTGTAGGAAGACCTCAAAGAACCTAAAACAGAATTACAGTTCGACTCAGCAATCCCATTATTGGGTATATACCCAAAGGAATATAAATCATTCTACCATAAAGATGCATGCATGTACATGTTCATTACATCACTATTCACACAAGCAAAGACATAGATTTAACCACGATGCCCATCAATAGTGGACCGGATAAAGAAAACGTGGTACATATACACCACAGAATACTATGCAGCCATGAAAAAGAACAAGGTCATGTCCTTTGCAGCAACATGGATTGAGCTGGTGGCCATTATCCTAAGCAAACTAAGTGCAGGGACAGAAAACCAAATACCGTGTATTCTCACTTGTAAGTGGGAGCTAAACAACAAGAATACATGGACATAAGGAGGGGAACAACACACACGGGGGCCTACTCAAGGGTGGGGATTGGGAGGAGGGAAAGGATTAAAAAATACCTACTGGGTACTATGCTTATTACTGGGGTGATCAAACTGTCGGTACACCAAACCCCCGTGACACGCAGTTTATCCATATAACAAACCTGCACATGTACCCTTGAATCTAAAATAAGTTTTTTTAAAAAAAGCTAACTCGTTTTTAATTAATTAATTAATTATTTGAGATGGGGTCTCATTCTGTTGCCTAGGCTGGAGTGCTGTGACACGATCTCGGCTCACTGCAACCTCCGCCTCCCAGGTTCAAGTGATTCTCCTGCCTCAGCCTCTTGAGTAGCTGGGACTATAGGCACGTGCCACCATGCCCTGCTAAATTTCTATTTTTAGTAGAGACGGGGTTTAGCCATGTTGGCCAGGCTGGTCTCGAACTCCTGACCTCAGGTGATCTGCCCACCTTGGCCTCTCTAAATGCTGGGATTACAGGCGTAAGCCACCGCACCTGGCCTAATTTAATTTTATAGTGACCAATGGCCCGTGACACAGCCCTCAGGAGATCCTGAGAACATGTGCCCTCCAACTCATGTTTTAACACCTTGAATCTCAGGGTCAGCAGTCCCTGCCTGGGTGTGCAGGTCCACAGGGCAGGGCTGGGAGGCCAAGGTCATGACCGTAACAGCTGAAGACTCTGGACATGGACTCTGAATCCTCATGGCAGCTCTTGGAGGTGGGCATCATTTTATGCCCATTCTGCAGAGGAGAAAACAGAGGCTTCCACCAAGATGTTCAGTGACTCTCCAAGGTCACACAGCTAGCAGGAGGGACTGGAACGGGGTCTCTCTGGCTCCAAAGCTCACGGTCTTTCTGACGGGTGACACTGCACCATTGTGGGGTCCACGCTCCAGGGCTTGAGGCCTGACTCTTAGGAATGAGTGACTCTGTGTATGAACCTCAGAGAGCACAGACCCTAAGCACAGGGATCTCAGGTGCAGCCAGGCCTGTGAGCAGGACGGACAGTGAATTCACACACGGTGCCGCCCTCTGAAGGGCAGTGGCTTATCCATGAGAGGTCATCACCTGGGTGCAGTTCCCTGAGGGGTGGCTGGGTCTGTGTCCTGGACAGAGAAATTCAAATACATTTTCCCTGACTCATGGCCACTCATGGTATCAAGCAATGTAAAGCCTTCATTTACTCACTCACTCATTCATTCTGTGAATACAGTTGTCCCTGGATATCGATGTGGGATTGGTTCCAGGACCCCTGTGGATACCAAAATCCACGGATACTCTAGGCTCTTCTACAAAATGGCATAGCATTTGCACATAACCTACACACATCCTCCCGTGTACTTTAAATCATCTGTAGATTACTTATAATACCTAATGCAATGTAAGTGCTATGTAAATAGTTGTTACATTGTATTGTTTAGGGGAATAATGACAAGAAAAAAGTCTCTACATATTCAGTACAGGTACAAACCTTTTTAAAAAATATTTTCAATCCGAGGTTGGTTGAATCCACAGATGCAGAACCCATGGATATGAAGGGCCGACTGTATTCACTGAAGACCTCCTTTGGGCCAGGTGCTGGGCGAGGCCCCTGGGATACAAAATAATAAGGCAAATCCCCCGGCATGAGGCTGCTGTCCTAGTGGGAGAGATGAGCCTTGAACAGGGAAATAACAGCAAGCTTAACACACGAGGGCTGGGGCTGGTCAGGGGCTGCAGCATCTGGGGCAGGTGTGAGGGGAGGCGGGGTTCACACGCACACACAGGCATGCATGCATGCGCACATACATGCACACGCGCGCGCACACACACACACACACACACACACACACACACACAGAGTTCGTGGCTGGACCCCCGCGGCAGTAGCCTCTTAGGTGTCTGAGATGAGGTCCGAAGCTGAGGTGTGAATGAGCTGGGCTAAAATTGCAGGGAAGAGTGTTCCGGGCAGCAGGAACAGCCTTGCGAGGCCTGCAACAGAATGAGCACGGTGTCTGAGGGACTGAAAGAGCCAGTGTGGCTGGAGCATCTGGCCCAAAATGAAGAGTGCTGCGAGTGAGGTGGAGAGGCCCGCGGCGGCCAAAGCAGGCGGACCTGGCGAGCCACGCCAGGGCTCTTTCACCAGGGGCGCTTCGGAGCCAGCAACAGGCGTTGGACAGGAGACGGTGTAAGCCGACGCACATTTGGGAAAGATGGACTGGCTCCTGGATGGACAGTGGATTTGTAGGGAGTAGTGGAGGGAGGAGGAGTCCTCGGAAAGACCAGGGCAGCCACCCCAAGGCCCGGAGGTGTGAGGCTGAGCGCACGGGGGAGAGCAGAGGGCTCTGGGAGAGGCCTAGGTGTCGCTTGAGGGGACGTGTTGACAGATTGGCCTTTTGAAAAAGTCAGCTGGCCCCAGGGATGGAAGGAAGCTGGTGCCAGGAGGTGGTATAGGGGCTGGGTCCAACTCTGGCAGCCTGAGCTGGGTGAAGAGACTTGCCCTGTGTCCCAGCTGCCCCATTTCCAAGCAGCATGACCTCAGAAAGGTCGCTTTGCGCGTCTGGCCCTGACTGTGTGCTTATCTGTTAAATGCTCGATCGGCACGAGAGGATGGGTAACAACCCCCGAATCTCACGGCCTGGAAAGCGCAAGTTTGTTCTTCTCTCACACGGTACACCCATCCCCCACGGGCTCTGGAAACCAGGCTGACAGGAGCCAGAACACGTGGAGGGAGAGCCAGGGGTTCCCACATTTTTTTTTTTTTTTTTTGAAACAGAGTCTCACTCTGTAGCCCAGGCTGGAGTGCAGCGGTACCATCTCAGCTCACTGCAACCTCCGCCTCCTGAGTTAAAGCAATTCTCCTGCCTCAGCCTCCCGAGTAGCTGGGACTACAGGCAGGTGCCACCACGCCCGGCTAATTTTTTGTATTTTTGGTAGAGATGGGATTTCACCGTGTTAGCCCGGAGGGTCTCGATCTCCTGACCTCGTGATCCACCCGCCTCGGCCTCCCAAAGTGCTGGGATTACAGGCATGAGCCACCGCACCCAGCTAATTGGTTCCCACACCTGAACGCAGCCCACATCCCTCCCTGTCTGGATTCCTTGGCTGGAGGGAGCCATAGGGCCACACCTCACTCCAAGGGGGACAGGCAGCGAGAGCCACCGGACATGGGTTCAGTGACGTCCACTTCACAGGGTGCTGTGCAGAGTGCGGTCAGTGAGGTGCTGCGGGAAGAGATGACTGTGCAGAGTTGATGCTCGGTACAGGGCAGAAAGGATGATCCCAGGAACGCATCGCTGGACCCGCCTCCCCTTCCTGGACATCTCCCCAAAGGGGAGTGTGATCTGAGTCCGTGTTCCCCAAACCTCCATCACCTGCCAGACCCATGGGCCAATAAGAATCAGTCACAGAGGCTGGGCGCGGTGGCTCACGCCTGTAATCCCAGCACTTTGGGAGGCCAAGGCGGGCGGATCACGAGGTCAGGAGATCGAGACCATCCTGGCTAACACAGTGAAACCCCGTCTCTACTAAAAATACAAAAAATTAGCCGGGCGTGGTGGCGGGTGCCTGTAGTCTCAGCTACTCGGGAGGCTGAGGCAGGAGAATGGTGTGTACCTGGTAGGCGGAGCTTGCAGTGAGCTGAGATCGTGCCACTGCACTCCAACCTGGGTGACAAAGCGAGACTCCGTCTCAAAAAAAAAAAAAAAAAAAAAAAAGAATCAGTCACAGAATGGTTTTGTTTTATTTTATTATCTTATTTTATTTTGTTTTGTCTTGTTTTGTTTTATTTTTTGAGACCGAGTCTTACTCCATCACCCAGGCTGGAGTACAATGGCATGTTCTCCGCTCACTGCAACCTCTGCTTCCCGGGTTCAAGTGATCCTCATTCCTCAGCCTCCTGAGGAGCTGGGATTACAGGCGTGTGCCACCACGCCCGGCCAATTTTTGTATTTTTAGTAGAGTTGAGGTTTCACCATGTTGACCAGGCTGGTCTTGAACTCCTGACCTCAAGTGATCTACCCGCTTCAGCCTCCCAAATTGCTGGGATTACAGGCTTGAGCCGCTGTGCCCAGCCAGAATCGTTTTCTTTAAATCAACTCACTTTTTGTTTAGCATTTGTTTGTGGTGTCACCGAAAGAGAAGGGCCCTAATTCAGGAATGTCTAATTGTTCCTCTGTGCACAGGGACTTCTCCGAGTTTGCAGAGCCAAGCGTGTATATATCTAAGGCTGCCCCCATGTTACTCCAGCCCAGAGTCCCACTGCATAAATAATACATGAGACGCGCTGTCTATATTTTCCATGGCGAGGCTGTGGATTAGAGCATGATACGATACATGGTATAATAAAAGCAGACGATCTATGCTGGTGTCATTTCAGCGCCTAGAACATGGCTCTTCGCTTCCAAGCAGAGAGCAGGGATTGGAGAGGAAGGGCAGGCTCTGAGTGAGGACAGAGAGCTGGCCCTGGCGGGGCAGGCTGGGGCAGTGGGAAACGTCCCAAGTGGTCAGAGCTAGGTTTGAACCCTGGCTCTGCCACTTGCGAGGTGTGTGACTTGCAAGTCAAGTACGAGGAGGACCTTTGGTGTCCCTGCCAGGTCCCCCTTGAGTCCCCTCTGTGAGCACTGCCTCCGTTCCGCCAGCATCTCAAGGCTTGGCTTTGCAGCCATTGACTGGTGCCGGGTGCAAAAGCCCAGCTCCTGGCCTTGGGATGAGGCAAAGCTGAGGGTGCACTCTATGCTCCAGTGCACCTCGTGGGAGCAGGCTGAGCTCAGCCCTCTCTTAAACCCACCCTATTGCTGTCTCCCTCTTCCCTTTCCTGCCTCCCTCACTCCTTACCAGCTTCTCCTTCGAGCTCTTCTTTCATGAAATCGCTTGCCCTGAAATCCTAGACTAGGGTCTCCTCCTGGAAATACCCCTCTAAATAGCAAGGGACTTCGCCCCTGTGCGCCTCACTTATCTCATCTGTGAAATGGATATAACATTCCCTCCAGCATGCAGTTGGCACAAAGGGCCTCAGCATAGGGCCGTGCACATATCAACTGCCTAAGAAACGAATCTCTTCTGATTCATATGCAACACACAGGAACCTTGTCATGGTGCTGCTGAGGAATGAAGCATTGCCCCTGGGCAGCGGGGGGTGTCCTGGGAGCCCTGCACAGTGGTACGGAGGAAGCAGCTTTAGAAAACATATGTAGCCCCTCCCGGGCCCATCCACCTGCTCCTCATTAGAGACGTTCTCATCCTTAGCTCTCAGCGTACAGCACAGCCCCCTCGACGGTCAAGCAGGGTTGGTGCTTTGGGGGACAGTCAGTTACGAGACCAGGTTTGGCCTCTCACGTCGTCACTTCCTCAAGATGCGGCCTAGGTACGCGGGGGCCTGGGTTAGAGCACGTGGATGTTTGACTGCAAAGTCATGTCTATTACGGGGGGGTGGGCGTGCAGATGGGGGTCTCTTCACAGAGAAGGCAGAGCCGATAGGCTGGCAGAGCAAAGAATGTTGAGCAGAGGCAACCTGGACCCTCCTGCCCATCCTGGGCCACCCACCTCTCGGGCCACATCCTTAAAAGAGAAGCAACTTGAATGAATAATGGATCAATGGCGGACGTGCTCTTGCCTGAGAGCGGGCAGGGCAAGCTTCTCTTCTGTATCCTTTTGAGTACAAGGGAGATGATTTTGCAATTCTGCAAGCCACTTAAAAAAAGAAAAGGAAAGAGAAAAAAAGAGGAAGCTGCCCTGCCCTCCCGACCACTGCCCACAGTTCTTTGGGTGAAGGTCTTGGTTAAGCTGGGGCTAGACCTCCCCACCCCAGGCATGGTAATGGCAACACCATCCATTTGGATGGGGGCATCCGCTAGAGCTAAGGGCTTTGCAGCAATACATCATTTAACCAATCCAGAAGGTTGCAATTATCTTCCCATTACTGATGAGGAAAAGGAAGTGACCACCTGGGAAGCAGAGGAGACTCATGGCCTCCCCCGGCTGAGCTCTAACCACCGAACCATCAGGCCCACCTCGCAGGAGCCTCTCCCACTTCCCCTCAGGGCCACAGATCCACTGGGTCCTTGCAAGAGCTGTCCCTGGCCTGGGATGGGGTTTGTAACCTGAGGACTTTCCCCATGGGGTACAGGTGTGGGGGAGACCCCTTCCCCTGCTGCACCCCAGGGGCCTGGCTTCCCCAGCACCCCCTACCTCACTCAGCCACGTCTCAAACCTGGGATTGAGGTTTCCTGCAGAAAAGAATCCTCAAAGCTGCCTTTGGTCCTTATTAAGTCAGCAACCCCCCTCCATGGAAGGAGGGTGCTGGGTAAGTTCCCTGCTCCTCTCCCGCCCTCTCCTCACCGCACCTTTCATCACAGGGAAAAATCCCAGGAGGGCCAGCGTCAGCTCAGCCTGAGTTACCAAGACAACGGCCTCTGCCCACTCGCCATGCGGCTTCTCCACCTCCCTGCGGCCCCCGCCCTCCACTCAGGGCCAGCGAGGCTCAGGCAGGTGCCCCCGCCACGGGGCTGTCAGCCTGGGTTGCAGGCCATGGCTTTCATCTGTGAGACTCTGCCTTCGAAGTGGATTGCATTCTCTCAGGTTCCAGGTGGTGAGATAATTGAGGAGGGAGTGACGAGGAGATGGAATGGAATCGTCTCCACTGTGGAAAAAGCTCTTGTCACGCTGCCTCCTCCTGCCGCCTGGTCTGGCCAAGCCCATTGTGGGCGACCAGGGCCCTGGGGAAGGACAGCACAGGGACCAAGACCAGGAGGCTGAGGAGTGAGACTGGCTGGGTACAAAGCCCAGCTCCACTGTTCTTAAGCTGTGTGACTTTGGGCAGGTTACTGGATCTCTCGGAGCCCTGGTACTGAATGGATGCTGATTACTGTCTCATGCGGCTGTTGCATTGGTGAAATAAGAGAGTGTGTGGGGCCGGGCACGGTGGCTCATGCCTGTAATCCCAGCACTTTGGGAGGCCAAGGTGGGTGGATCACCCGAGGTCAGGAGCTTGAGACCAGCCTGGCCAACACGGTGAAACATCATCTCTACTAAAAATACAAAAAATTAGCTGGGTGTGGTGGCGGGTGCCTGTAATCCCAGCTACTCATGAGGGTGAGGCAGGAGAATCGTCTGAACCCGGGAGGCAGAGGTTGCGGTGAGCCCAGGTCGCGCCATTGCACTCCAGCCTGGGCGACAAGAGCGAGACTTCGTCTCAAAAAAGAAAAAAAAAAAGAGTGTGTGGACAGCCTGGAGGCTGGCACCTAGGAAACACTCAGTACATAAACTGCCTGCCCTGGCCCCAGCCTCCTTTGGGCGGAGCTCAGGAGGACGCCACCGCGGAGAAGGGGACTGACATTTACGAGGAGCTCCCCGAGCACCAGGCCCCGCTTAGTGCTCACACCTGCGCTGCCCAGGAGGGCACGTGAAGGCCCTGTCCATGGTTTGTTCGTTTCATGGGTGACACTAGAGGGAGGAGCACCTTGCCAACATTGCTGGGTAGGTAAGGCCAGGCGGCTGCCTCCTCCACCAGGCCTGTGTGATCCTGAAGCCCAGGCTCTTCCGCATAGCCGGCCTTCTTGGAGACATCGCTTGGTTTCTGCAGCAGCTGGATGAAGAGCCTGCGGTTGGCAAAAGCAGGAAGACTGGGGCATCCCTGTGGCCCCTCGGCCCTCGCAGCAGCTCCTGCTTCCCAGGGCCACCCTCTGCTCTGAGCCTCTTCCTGGGCAGTAGTCGTGTTTTCCCAACCCCTGTCCTTCGGGTGACCTCAGAACTGTCACAAAAGCCCCGGGAGAGACAGAGAATCCAATCACCAGTCATTAGGTGTCCTCTATAGAGTCTGCCCTGATGGAGAGGAGGACTATGAAAAGAGATCACAGCAGAATGAGTCAGTAAACTGATTAGCTGAATCCAATCAAATTTGGAAGGCCCTGGGTGGGGGGCTTCAGACTGGCGTGAGCAGACAGAGAATGAGGGGCTGAGGATGCATCCGGCTGGCCAGTAGCCCCGTCGTGCTCCATGTCCCATGAGGCAGTGGGCAGGAATGTAGGCAACTCAGTCAGGCCACACTGGCCGAAGACATTCTGCCAGCTGAGAAGGCGGCCCTCAAATCACCAGGTGTGGCAAAGTCCCTTCCACAGTAGCAAGCATCTTTCAGCCCCAAAATGTTTAGAATTAAGTATAGATGTGTTTAAGAGAATCAAAACAATAATAATAGTATTTTTGTCTCAAAAGTTTTCCTAACTTTACAGGCCGGACACGGTGTCTCACGCCTGTAATCCCAGCACTTTGGGAGGCCGAGGCAGGCGGATCACTTGAGGCCGGGAGTTCGAGACCAGCCTGGCCAACACAGTGAAACCTCGTCTCTACTAAAAACACGAAAATTAGCTGGGCGTGGTGGCACACACCTGTAATCCCAGCTATTGGGGAGGCTGAGGCAGGAGAATCGCTTCAATCCTGGAGGCAGATGTTGCAGAGAGCCGAGATCGCACCACTGCACTCTAGCCTGGGTGACAGAGCGAGACTCTGTCTCATTAAAAAAAAAAAAAATAGTCCTCCTAACTTTACAAATGCTGAAACCACCCTCCACTCACGCTGCGTTGTTTCAGCATTTGTAAAGTTAGGAAGACTTTTGCCGATTAAAGGACAAGGTCAGCCTCACGATTCTGACTTAAAATGTGAAACTGAGCACGTGGCTTAGACTTGAGACTTGAAGCTGCGCTCTGAGAAACTTTGGAAACAGTGCTGGAATTCACCACATCTGTAATTCAATGTGTTAGACGCACAAAAGATGTGCTTCAGTCTGTAGCGAGGCTGGTTTCTCAGTTGGGCCGTGGAAGTACTTACAAAGGAAACTGAATCGATTAAGTTTATTTATGCAGTTCAAAATGTTTCAAGGAGCTCCATGAACTGGTTTTGTAAATGGGACCAAACAGTAAGGAAATGGTCCTTAGAAGGGATTGTTCTGATGTGCTGGATTTTAAATAGAATAAGTAACATGTGTAAAGTGAACTTAAAAGCTTAAGAAAGAAGAACATTTTTGAATGCGTAACATTCATGAAACAAATGTTAATGTTTAAAATCAAAGCCATTGTCTGAGTAATCTTTTCTGTGCACTAGAGCCACCCCAGAGAACAGCAAGCCACTGACAAAGATACATCCCTGTCCCCATTCAAACCTTGTTCCCCCTGTGTTCCGCACCTGCCATATCCCTTCCCAAGAGGTGAGCGTTCAAGGTGATAGGCTCGGCTGCTGTCACAGCCACAGGTTTACGGTTCATGGGCTAACGTCTGGTTTCAGCAGGACACGCTTGGGTGTCTAATAAAGGGGCTGCTCAGAGGCGGTTAGTTAACCCTCCCATTCAAGGGAGGAAGGATTCACTGAGCCCTGGCAATATCCAGGAGGAGATATTCAAGGCACCAATGAAGGTAACAGGAGCTAACAGTGCTACGGGGTTCATCATTTGTTAGGACCAGTGATGAAGCTTCATAGATATTAACTCGTATAATTGCTGTAACAACCCATTTCACCAATGAGAAAACTGAGAGGCAAGCTGATGAGGGGCGGCCCCAAAGACTTGGCCCCAGAGAGTCTGGCTGCAGAGCCTAAGCTCTTCCTCAGGCTCCTGTCCTTCAGGATCTTGCTCCGTCCTCCCACCACCCCTGTGAATTAGACATTGTTGTCCCATTCTGCAGATCAGTTAACTGAGGCTCAGGGAATCTGGAACCTCACCCAAGGCCACACAGTCACATGGGACAGAGATCGGCAGCTTCTGGCCCTTGCAACATCTGTGCAGCTCAAATCCAATGGGGGATGGACTTTGTTATTGTTGAGACAGGGTCTCACTCTGTCGCCCAGGCTGGAGTGCAGTGATGGGATTATGGCTCATTGCAACCTTGACCTCCCGAGCTCAATGGATCCTCCCGCTTCAGTCTCTTGAGTAGCTGGAACTACAGGCATGCACCACCATGCCCAGCTAATTTTTTTTGTATTTTTTGTAGAGACAGGGTTTTGCCATGTTGCCCGGGCTGGTCTTGAATTCCTGAGCGCAAACAATCTGCCTGTCTCGGCCTCCCAAAGTGTTGGGATTATAAGCATGAGGCACCTTGCCTGGCCGGGCCATGGCCTTTCAACAGATGGTACTGAATGGTTTTGAATTATAGTCATACTGGTGTTTTGCAGGCCAAGGGCAGGAGCTCAGAGTGTGCAGCAAGAAGACCTGGCCTGGTCTTGGGACAGGAGGGGCACACCCGAGGAGGTGGTGTTGACACTGAGACCTGACAGATCTCAGCTGTGGCCAGGTGCGAGTACACCTGGTGAGGAGGGGCCAAGGACCTGCTCACTGAGGAACAGCCTCCGTGAAAGCCAAGGCAGGAGGGCACTGGAGGGGTGCCCGGCGGGTGCTGGGGAAAGAGGTGGGGTGGGACAGGCTGCAGAGAGGGCAGGAGCCAGGTGGGACACTTTGAAGGTGTATCCTGACTTTTATTTATTTATTTATTTATTTATTTATTTATTTATTTTGAGATGGGGTCTTGCTCTGTCACCCAGGCTAGAGTGCTGTGGTGTGATCCCCCTGCCTCAGCCTTCTGAGTAGCTGGGACTTATAGCCATGTGCCACCACACCCAGCTATTTAAAACAATATTTTGTAGAGACAGGATCCCAGTAGGTTGCCCAGGCTGGTCTCAAACTCCTGGGCTCCTGCCTCAGCCTCCCAAAGTACTGGATTACAGGTGTGACGCCACCGTGCCTGGCTCCATCCTAACTTTGGACCTTCTCCTGAGAACACCTGGAGGTGATGGCAGGGTTTTGAGCATGAAAGGAATAAGGTTAGCCGCATGTTTGTAAGCCACCTGTCCCAGGAGGGCAGCAGGATGAGGCAGGGGAGTGGGCTGCCACGGGCGTCCAGGCGAGCAGCTGGAGCCAGGACTGACCTGGTGGCACAGAGACCAGCAAGGTGTGCCCGTGGAGAGTTGTTTAGAAGACAGCATGGATAGGGGTTGGCCGCGATGGGGTGGGGAGGGACTGGGAAAGAGGAGGCCCCTCGGGGCAAGCTGGGCCATGGGTGTGGTGTGTGGATGTCTCTCCGCATAGAGCCCTTGCCTGCCACACCAGGGCCCAGACCCGAGGGCCTTTCCCCGGCCCAGGATGAGGCACGGAGGGCTGTGCTGTTGGACCGAGAAATGTCGCCGCAGGGGCTGTGGCATACTGGCCTCTGTGGAACCCCCCCCCAGCCTGGCCTGAGGTGCCCTCCTGGCGACCTGAACCGCTTAACTCCTCCCAGAGGAGTCCGGGTAATTCGGTCTCTGTGTTTACTCCTGCGGTGAGCGCCTCTGAATCTTTCATCTTGACTGCTGACTGTATCAAAATTCCCGTGGTAATTGGATCAGGTGCAGTATTTTCCATGAGGATATTAAATCAGGCCTTCTGCCCATGTCCAGAACGATCCGTTTCAGAATATAAAGACGCAGGAGATGGCATTACCCAAGGTATTTTTCCTCCTTTAAACTTCCCCCCCATCTTAATCATGGCAGCTCTTTATTTGTTGCCAAATAAATTGGGTCGTCCTCCCCTCCCCCAGTTTGTAGCCAAAGGAAAGGAAAGATTCTTGTGCGTGGAAGTGGGAGACTGGGGGGTGTGAGCGAAGCAGCCAGGTGGGGCATGTGGGGTTGGATGGCAGTGCCCAGAGTCACCCAGGAGGGTCCCACCTCCAGGGGACCCGTGGACCTAGGCAGAGTCCTCAACAGAGGGGAAGAGTTCAGTCAGACACTGCCCTCATTCTCCCAATCAGACCCAGGAATGGCCACTTGGGGAGGAGGTTTGGGCACCCAGCATTGGTGGAAGCTCCTCGTCAGCCAGCCTGGCCCCATAGCCAACCTCAAGATGGGACATTTTAACTGTCCTTAAAACACCGCAGGAGAGAAGCTCATGGATATGGCAAGACTCCGGATGGGGAGGGAGTTGGAAAGAAGCTCCGAGACATTTAGTTGTTTAAAATGATAGGCGAGGGAGAGTACTAAGGTCAGTTCGGAGGCTGAGGAGGCCACGGCCGAATGGCTCTGTCATTTGGAAGGATGGGGTGGCAGTTGCACAACCGTGTGAAAGAACAAAATGCCACCAAATTGTTCACTTTCAAATGGGTAATGTTATGTTATGTGCATTTCATTTCCATTTTTAAAAAGCAGCTCTTGTCAAAATGCTGTGTTACCTACCAAAGACTTACTTCCATCATTCAGCCAATATTGATCAATATTGATCGAGCCTGCATTCTGTGCCAGGCATGGGTCTAGGCCCCCAGGATGTAACCGTGAACACAGCAAAGATCCCTGCCCTCGGGGAGCTGACATCAGAGAGGGGGAGTGGGAGACAGACAATGAGAAGTGGGGTGAAAAGTGCTGGGCAGAAAAAAGAGGCAGGGAAGGAGGTGGGCAGTGAGAAGGCAACATGGAGCAGAGCCCAGGGGAGGGGAGCGGAGGCAGGAAGCGGAGGGACGGCGTGGAGGCGAGTATAGGGGAGCACAGAAGGAGGGGGAGAGCTTTGGAGGGTCTCGAGCAGAAGGGAGGGCAAGAGGGTCTCTCTGGTTGCTGGGGCAGGATGGATTTCAGGGGGCAGAAGCCATCACAGGGATTCTACTGGGCAGCCAGTGCAGTTATGGAGGTGGAAACGCAAATTAAAACCACAAAGAGAACTCAGTACACAGCTGCCAAAGTGGAGAAAAATTAAAGACAGACAACACCAAGCATTGATGTCCACACAGAGAAACTGGAATGCTCCCACATTGCTGTGGGCTATAAAACATCCTGGCCACATTGAAGAAGAACATGGCAGTTTCTCATGAAGTTAAACATACATCTCCCCTGTGACCCAACAATCCCACTGCTGGGCCCATACCCGAGGGAAATGAGTGCTTATATTCACAAAAAGACTCACTCCAAAACATTCATAGCAGCTTTGTTCATAATAGCCCCAAATTAGAAACAACCCAAATGTCTACCCACAGGAGGGTGGATGCACAAACTATGGTCAGTTCACAGAATGGAATACTACACAGCAGTGAAAAAGAACCAAATCCTGACACTTGTAATGAAGCGGATGGATCTCACCTACTTTAATGGTGAACAAATAAGAAAATAGACACAAAAGAGTCCCTATTATAGGATTCCATTGGTCTGAAGTTCTAGAAGTTGTTGACTGTGCTCTGGTGATAGAAGACAGAGGTGATCTCGATGGCAGTGGGCAGAAGGATGAGGGAACTTCTGGGAGTGACAAATGTTCTTTGCCTTGATCTGTGGTCTCATGTGTGCATACACATGTAAAAATTCATTGAGCTACATAATTGTAATGCATGCATTTCACTGAATGTAAATTACACACACCCCCCCTCCCCCAACACACACACACACAAAGTGGCAATGGAGAGAGGATGGTGGCTCCAACCAGGTTGTAGTACGGTTGGGGGGCAGGAGGGAGACAGAGGGCCTGGAGAAACTGTGCTCCCTCCGGGCTCGCTACATCCAGGCCTGGGCCACCTGGAATTCCAGCCACCTCCTGCCCTTCCTGTGGTCCCTCACTTTGGGTGGGGCAACTGGGATGGGCAGATGTCCCTTCATGGGGACAGGTGGCCTGGGGAAGTGGTTATTGACTTCAGGGACCTGGCTTGTTTGTCTAGCGGGGGAGGGGCTGGCGGCGAGCATCACAGGACCAGATTCCTGATTATAACTTCATAACGGGCACTGGTGATTCGGGAGGTGCTGATATTTATGGAATAAATACAGTGCAATTTATGGCCGTATCTCCCTCTGATGTCCCATCTGATATGCAATTCAATTTCTTTTATTGTTTTTGGGCTTTTGCCATGGAGGAGAATGCATAAATAAATAAATATGTGGGCAAATGGCAGCCGGCGGGCCAGGCCGGGGCTGCCAGCCCGCCGTCTCCAGTCCCATATTAGGCCCATCGATCACACGTTATGAAGCCGGAGCCTGTCCCCCGGCTGGGATGAGCAGCAGACGTGCCGGTCACTCCCTGTTATTTAGGGGCCTCCGTTGGCGGGCTGCCCTGCCTGCCCTCTGCGTGCCACTGGGCCGTGGTGTCCATACTCAGGACCCAAGCCCATGCCGCTCTGCCACTCGATTGCAGGAATCCTGGAGGATTCTGCCCAGGGCCCAGGAGGGCATGTCCCAGCCCTTCTGTGGGCTGAGAGCACTGAGGACTTCCCCCTGCCCTCCTCTCCCATGGGAACCCCACGCCCCACAGGGTGAGGCTGCCGGGCTCTCTCACAGGCACCTTCCTGCTTCCATGCCCAACGGGCATGCCAGAAGTTCCGTTCTGGAGTCAAACCACATCTTCAAAAACCAAGCACCAGCATCTCTGAGCCCTGGGACCCTCGGTAAGTCCCCCATCCCTGCGCCTCGCTTCTTCATCTGAGCACAGGAGAGCAGCCTCTGTCCCAGGGCTGCCTGGAGGATGGCGGGAGGCCCTGCATGCGTGGGCACAGGCCAGGCACCCACTGCACAGAGTCGGACGGGGACCGTGCTAGCCGTGCCAGGTGCGGGGGATGCGCGAACCGGCCGACAGCGGCCCAGCCCTTCGCGGGGCCCTGCCCTCGGAGTCACAGAGAGGCTCAGTGGCTGAGCCTGGGGTCATCATTGATCCCCAGGACTGTCCCCTGCTGGGGACCGGACACCAGCCTGTGGGAGGACTTAGCTGGAGAGGCCACAGCCTCTCCTCGGTCCCCATCTCGGGTGGACCCCTGGGCTCCGAGATTCAAGTGGGCTGCCGAGTCCCTCCCCGTGCTCTTGGGCCAGCCACTAGCCTGGAGCCGCCCACTTCCTGCTGAGTCCCTCCCCGTGGTCTTGGACCTGCCACTGGCCTGGAGCCCCCCACTTCCAGGTGCTCCCATCCTGTGTCTCCCCGATCCCAGAGCACCCTGGGCCAGGCTGGGACTTATCTACAACAAGCTCACAGCTCCGCTCCTGCATAGCTCCAGTGACCACCACGGGCCTCGCTCCGCCACCAGTCCCAGCCGCCTTCCTCCTTTGGCTGTGCTGAGGGCTCCTGCGCCAGGCCTGTCCCCCTCAGGGCCCCATGGGTCCTGCCACACACACAGATACATCCCACAGCCACACACCACGTGCACACACACATACGCACCCACAACACACGCACACACACGCCGCCAACATGCACACATGTACACACACACAAACACACACCAACACACAGATACCCTTCCCACGTCCTCCCCTCACAGATCCCAGTGGAAACCCGATAGCCCCCAGCACATCCTTGAGACACGTGTGTGCATGAAAATCAATTTGCAAAGAATATCCCCATTGCAGAGACGGGGGTGGGGACTGACAATAAACTATGGAGAAGACTGATCTCCGCGGAGACCTGAAGGGGAAGACAAGGGGCTGCAGTGGGGAGGGTGCTCCGAGCAGAGGGAGCGACGTGCATGTGAAAGCTCTGGCAGTCCTCACATAGCTCCCCAAGCAGGGGGAGACCTAGCCGGACACTGAGGCTGTGGACTGTCCTAAATGGGGTTTGTCCTGGAAGCTGGGAGAAGTGGGGAAGGACAGGGCCAGGAGGCTGCTAAGAGAGTTGGAGAACTGGGTTTCAATCCTGCCTGACCCTCTCAGGATCAGCGATCTCAGGCAAAGCCCTCTGCTTCCCTGAGCCTCAGTGTTCTCATCTGCAGCCTGGGGGCAACGCCCCTCCCTCATAAGATCATCTTGAGGATGAATCTGGATGGTTTGTATGGCAGGTGGTGGGGACGGAGCCTGGCCCAATGGGGGTGAGCAGGAGGGGTCACCTCTCTGATTCTGACACAGCGGGGGGTGCCCCCTAACCCCACCTA
The DNA here is from genome assembly GCF_000001405.40 of Homo sapiens. Classification (NCBI taxonomy): domain Eukaryota; kingdom Metazoa; phylum Chordata; class Mammalia; order Primates; family Hominidae; genus Homo; species Homo sapiens. The sequence goes on from NC_000009.12 coordinate 130,991,323, forward strand.
CTCTGAGTGGCCCCCATTTTTACCCTGTCCCGCGGAGGGTTGGGGGTTATACTGAATCCACCTCTCTGTCCCCCAGGGGCCTCCACCAGGCCGTGCCTCCTGGGCAGGCATAGACTTGGCAGCTTTACAGTTTTATTTTCTGAGCCCCCTCGCCTGGCCTTCACATCAGCCCCAGCAGGCGGCAGAAATTTCCCGCGGCCTATGCAGGGCCCCATTTGCGCATCGCCGGGAATGCTAATCGGCTCCTGGCGGTCCCAGGCGGAGAATCCCGCCTTTCCCTGACATTTGTAAAGTTCACGTTTTCAAAATAAAGCCACGTGAAGGGCGAGGCACTCGCAGATCACTTCCCTGTCACCGGCCTGCTGGCTCCTTCCCTGCCCTTGGCCTTCACTCCCCCGCTTAAAAGCCATCAGTCCTGGGAGAACAGCCACCCCCCTCCCCGAGCTTCGCTGGCCAGTTCCTTTCTCCCAGCCTTCTGCCTGCTTTCTGCCCTCCCTCCCTCCTTTCACACACTCACCCATTCACTTGTTCTTTCATTCTGCACTATTTATTGAGCACCTAGTGCACATCCTTCCTGGGTGTATGTCAAGGACACAGCAGGAAGCCCCAGGATTCTTGTCCCCAGGAGCTGACAGTCAAGTGGGAAAGAGGGACATGAAATACTCACTTAATGACAAGTGTGAGAAATGCCACAAAGTTGGAAGCAGGGGAGGTGTCACAGGGTTGGGGCACCAGGGACTGCTTCCCTGAGGAAGTGGCATCACCCCAGGCCTAGAGGAGGAGCAGGAGTCAGCCGCCACCCCACCCTGGCGAGAAGAGGCAGAAGGGCATTTCAGGACCCGCGGGTGCAAAGTCCTGGGATGGGGGGGCCAGGGATGCCTGAGGGTCTAGAAGAGGCCCGTGAGTTCTGGAGTCTTAGGAGCTTCAGCTCAAGAGATCCCCTTTACCCGAGGGGAATGGGGGCCCTGCAGGGTCGTGCCAGGCCCCTGGTGCGGACTGGGGTCCTGCTCAGGTGAGGCTCAGTGCACGTGGCGCTCAGATGGCCAGGCCCTAGGGCAGCCGGAGCTGTGCATGTGCCTCCCGTCCCTGGATGGGTTCTGCTGACTTACACTTGGGTTATAACTGGGTTCTGGTGACTTATAATTGCTGTTTCCTTGTCCTCAGCAGAAAGAGCTCGGAAACGAAATTATTGTTTAAGGACAGCCTCCCTGCAGTGAGAACTGCTGGCGAAGACCAGTGTCTTCCTCCTGCAGCCGCACAGCAGCAAGCGAGGCCGAGCTCATGGCCTGAGGGGGCAGACGGGCCACAAACAGACAAGCAAAAACATGCCCAGCAGGTGCGGTGAGGGCTAGGGGGGAAAACCCGCAGAGTGGCAGGGGAGTCCTGGGGAAGGTCAGCAGGAGGGTCTGGGACGGCCTCTCCATAAAGGGATGCAGAAGAAAGTGTGGGAAGAGCGTTCCAGGCACGAGGAGCAGCAAGTGCAAAGGCCCCGAGGTGGAAACGTGCTCTGTGTGATCGGGAAGGAGGCCCGTGTGGCTGCAGCCAGCCCAGTGGGCAAGGGGACAGGATGGCAGGTGTGGTCACTGAAACCAGAACTGGGTAGGGGGCAATCAAGTAGTGCCTCCTGTAGGGACAGTGAGGCCCGCAGAGCTGGGGCAGAGGCCGCTGGAGAACCCAGGGAGGAAAGGCTCTCATTTGAAGCAGCACACATTCACCCCTGACTCCCGCTTCATTGATTCACCATCATTCATTCACTCTCACTCATTCATTCCTTTTCTGTCCATTCTTCCGTCCACTTCCCATTCATTTGTCAGCTTTCATTCATCCCCTCTGCCTTTTGTGAGCATCTACCCTGCCACCTGCCCAGGGGAGGAGTCAGACCCACTCCCTGCCTGCCCTCAAAGGGCTCCTCGTCTGTGGTGGGGTCAGAGGTACAACAAAGCCCACTGTAGGGGCCTGAGGTGTTTAATCCACCCACGGGATGGGTTCCTGGATCCCTGGCCGGGCCCATCTGTGGGTGACACGTGGCACTGTGAGCTGTGGGGGCCGTATCTGGGCACTGGGCAGGGGGTGCTGTATCAGTGTGGACGTGGCTGCCAGCATTTTATAGGGAAGTGCCAGGCCCAACGGAAGCTGCTGGGGACCCTGGGTCCCCAGAGGAAGTGGCAGTGGGGGCCAGCAGGGGCCAGAGGCTGGGGCTGGAGCCTCTCACTGGTGGGGGGACAGCCTGGACCCCTGGGAGAGCCTTGGGAAAGGGAAGCCACTCTAGGCAGGCCTCAGAGGACATCCTTTGCTTCCCTTTATCATACAGATGGGAACCCTGAGGCCCAGAGAGGGGAAGGGACCTGCCCAAGGACACACAGCGTGGGAGGGGCCGAGCCAGGAGAAGTCTGGCCTCCTGGGTTCCTCTGGGCACAGAACTTCAGCACTGACAACGGCTTCCCCATCTCCCCCAGGCCTGCTCCTGGACCGGCGACCCTGTCTGAGCACAGCACGCCCACCCAGGGCCCAGCCAGAGACCCAGAGCCAGCCTCAGCTTTGCTCACCACCCCGCCAGCCCAACTGGGTGATTTTCTGTCCCCAGTGCCTTCTGGCACAGATACCCCCATGCCCAGGGGCCACAGTTTGCTTCCCGGGTCCTGCAGACCCCAGCTCCTCCCTGCTCCTGTTTAGGCTACCACCTCATTCTCCTCGGGTCCCTGCAGCAGCTGCCAAACCATTTCTGCTTCCACACCACCCCCAGCGGGCCAATCTCCCTGCACATCCCAAGAGAAAATCTTCCCACAGCTCCCCATGGCCCCCCGGTGAAGTCCAGGCTCTCCAGCAGGATGTCCTGGGCCCTTCTTGGCTCCCCTTTTCCACCCTCCCCACTCCTCAAATGCCCATCCTCCCACCCCCATCCTCCGCTTCTGAGCCTTTCACATGCTGCTGTCTGCCTGGGATGCTCTTCCCCAACCCCTTTTCCTGGATACTCCATTCTCCTCCAGGTCTCAGCTGAGACTCCACCTCCTCCAGGAAGCCCTCCCTGATCTCTCCAGACTGTGTTAGGCATCAGGTCTCCACTCTCACTGCCTGGTGCTTACAGCCTTGTGTTGTTATTAACAGCTTCTTGGATCCCTAAAGTGCAGGGACAGTTTCATCATTATTCATCACTCTGTCCCCTGTGTCCAGCCCAGGGCCCAGAGTGTGGGCTGAGTAAACATCTGTCCAGTGGATAAAGGAATGAATGAATGAATGGATAGATAACCACGTTTATCTCCTTTGTAGCCCAGCCTGTGGCCCCTGCACCACCGAGAAGGGGACATCCTTTATTCTTCTGAACCCCCTGAACTTGAAGGGCTGCCCAGGGCTGACTCATCCAGGCCCAGACCCACCTCAGGCTGAACACAGCAGGGAGGTTGAGACAGTTGCTAGACTGAGTAGTGACATGCCCTGAGGCCAGTCATGTCCCTTGGCCTGTCTAAATCTGTTAACTCTGTAGGAGGAGATGCTCCGTGAGGGTGACAGCTGAGGGGCCCCCTGTCAGCTCCCATCAGCTCCCTCTCCATCCTGCCTCCCATCTCATCTTGCAGGTCTCCAGTGAGCTGTCACCTCCTCTGAGAAGCCTCCCTGATTGCTCACCCCCTCATGGAGCTCATCCCAGCCCTGTGTCTATTTCCTTTGCGGCTCTTACCGTGATCAGTCACTAACTAATTCACCAGGTTGCTTCCTGGGTCACTGTCTGTCTTCCTGATTCTCTGGGGAGCACCATGAGGTCCCAGACAGTCTATCCCCTGTACCTCAGCAACCAGCCCAGGGAGGGCACAGAACAAATGTCCCCTAAAGTAATAGAATGAATGAATGGATGGATGAATGAATGAATGGAGAGCAAAGTGGAAAGGCGCACAGGCTCTGGGGCCGGGCACACTGGGGTGTGTACACGGCTCTCTGTTGCTGACGAGCAGAGTGGTCCTGGGCAAGGAGCTGTCTCTGGCTGGGCCTCAGTTTCCCTGTCTGCAATATGGGGAGAATAACAGTAACTACTTGTGGAGGTGGTGCACTCAGCCCAGGTCTGACTCCCAGGAGGCCTCTCAGGGGGTGACCTTGTCCTTGCTCAGAGGGGCAGGGCAGTGCCCAGGGATATGCTGCAATACAGACAGATGGGCGTGGGCCTAGCAGTGGGATCCTGGGGGCTGATGTCGCCAGTTGCTAACTTCTTTCTTCCACAGTTGTCCACAAGCCCTTGGCAGACCTCCCAGTTTTCACTTCCTGCCCTTGAAGCCTGCCTGCAGAGCAAGTGATGTCTCCCCACCGAACAGAAGGGAAGATCGAGACCCAGGCATGCGGACAGAGAGCACAGGCTTAACAGAGCCTCTGAGCCAGACCTGGCATCCTGGGAACCACCTAGACCAATGCTCTTGCTGTCCACATGGGGAACTGAGCCGCCCTAGAAGGGCAGAGCCCCACCCAAGATACCACAGTGAGTCTGGGCTCCAAAGCTGCAGGGTGGGGGCAGGGGGAGCTGCCTTTCCCCTCTGCGCTGTGCCCCCAACGCTGGGCTCCAACGAGGCTGCAGAGCTGTCAGGAGAGATCAGCAGGGCCCTGGCCGATCTCCCCAGATTTAATTAACAGGCCTTTCATCTCTGTCCTGAAGGAATCAGCTCTCTTCTGTCTTCTTAATTAACGTTCATTAAGCAAATCAGAACAACAGGGTTTTTCTCCCTTCTTTCTTCTCCCGGAAGGTTTTAACCCTTAGTAGGTGGGCTTCCGGGAGGGAGCCTGCTACCTTTGCTGGTAGCCCAAGCACAAGGCCAGGCCTCTGCAGGAGCCCCCTAGGTCCCCAACGCAGGCACATTCCTTATCGGACACATACACACACACAATGGACACACACACACATTGGACACACATGCACACACTCACATATCAGACACATGGGACACATACACACACATCGGACCCACACACACATCGGACACACACACACAACAGACCCACACACACATCGGACACACACACACAGGACACACACACACATCAGAGACACACACACATTGGACACACACACATATTGGACACACACACATATTGGACACACACACACTCACATATCAGACACATGGGACACATACACACACATCGGACCCACACACACATCGGACCCACACACACATCGGATACACACACACATCGGACCCACACACACATTGGATACATACACACATCAGACACACACACACACATCAGAGACACACACACATTGGACATACACACATATTGGACACACACACTCACATATCGGACACATGGGACACATACACACACATCGGACCCACACACACATCAGAGACACACACACACTGGACACACACACACACATCAGAGACACACACACACACTGGACACGCACACATATTGGACACACATACACACATATCAGACACATGGAACACACACACATGCGTGCACACGCATCAGCTCCTCCTACCACACCATCATCAGGCTGCTCCCCTGGACTCCACTCCCATCTTCCAAAAGGAAACAGGCCTGGACCATCTGCTGCTCAAGAGCCTTCCTTGGCTCCCTGCTACGGCTAGGACAATGGGCAGACCCTCACCAAGCCCTGCCAGCTTCATTTCTGTCCCCCTTCCAGGCCCCCTCGTCCGCCTTGCTCCTCTCACTCGCCTCCCACCTCCCCGCTTGGCACTTGCAGTTGCTTCTTCAGTTGTACCCTTCCCACTTCCCCTCCGGAGACCCTCTCCAACGCCACTCCTCTCCTTCCCGAATCAGCTCTCTCTGCCGGTGCTAAGGACAGCTCCCTGAACCCCTGAAGGAAATATTCAGGGGTCCCTGCTCCCAGAGCAATCCCAGACACAGGTGATCCTGGGGTAGGGCACAGGACCAAAGCCGCCTGTCCAGGCACACCCACCAGTGGGTCAAGGCCAGTGTGACACAGGTGCCACTTACGGACCCTAGGAACTAGTACCAGCAGGGGACCTCAAATGACATGGTGGGAGGTACTTAGGTGGCAGCAGGGCTCCACTTGGGGGAGGGATGCAGGGGCTGCCACCAGGTGTCAGGGAGAGGGGTTGGAGGTTGGGGATCTGGAGAGGGGCCCCAAAGCTCCAGGCTGCAGGGAAACTGAGGCCATGCAGCCTGTGGCTTCTGTGGGTTTCTGGTCATGTGTGTAAAGAGGGGACCCCCGGCTTCAGGGGTCAGATGTCTTGCCAGGGTGTGGGGCCCTACCAGAAGGTGCCACTCAGAACCTTCCCCTGATGGAGAGCTGGCAGCCCTCACCCAAAGACTGGCTTCCTCAGTTCTCCTGGCTCCTTCCCAGCCCTTTCCGGCAGTGCAGGTGTTTATTGTCCCCTTGTTGCCCAGATTTGGGGGGTTATTCTGAGACTTTTTTGTGGGTGCACAGACACCCCGATGCCCGGGGAGGATACTTTGCTTCCTGAATTCTGTAGACCCTCCCCGAACCCTATCCTAGGAGGAGCTGACCACAGGGATAGGAGAGACCCGGTCACATCCTGCCTTGAATGTGTCCCCAACAAACTGCTTCTCTTCCCTGGGCCTCAGTTTCCCCATTTGTACAGCCTGTGCCCTGGATCCAACCATCTTTATAGGCCCATCTTATCGGATCCCAGGCCACAGGGAAGCAGGGGATGTTTAGCCACCCCACCCACAGTGCCATCCCTTCTACTCACGCTGTCTGAACACAGCGGTCAGTCTGAGAGGCCAGTGCCCACCGGCCGCCCCATGGAGGCTGAGGGGCCTCAGGATGGGGGCCCGGGGAGTTTGTCCTCAGCAGTGGGATGGAGGGAGACCTGGCTCTGGCCCTGGGTCTGCCCACTCCCGCTGTGTGTTCCTGGGAGTCACCCCCACTCTGAGCCCCTCCTTCCCCCTTTGGGCTCCCCATAAACCTGGCTGCTCCACACTCAGCGCTGGGGCCCCGAGCGGCTGGGGAAGGGCTAGCGGGGGTCAGACGGCAGAGCCTCTTGCTCTCGGGGCCTGAGACGTGCTTGTGCCACTCACCCAGAAAGCAGCCTCGGGAAGGAGCTTTGTCCGATGGAGCTCCGCGCCCCCCTCCACGGCGCTGGTCAGCTCCCCTGCCCTGTGCAGCAATGGCCCGGGGTGTCCTAGGCCACCAGGGGCCAGAGAGGGGCCCGTCCCCGTATTGTGGCCAACATCGCCACCTGGTGGTTGGTCCCGGGTGAACTTGAGCAGCTGGACGGTGAGAGCTGGGAGGAGAAGCTGGGAAGGCAGAAGGCACGAGGTTGCTGGGAGACCTCCGCAAATGAGATCACCAGCCCAGGCAGGACGGTCCCTTCAAGGGCTGCTGCCAGGGCTGGGCGAGGTCAGTGAGCACCCAGTTGATGCCTCTTGAAGGAGCCCTCATCTCTAGCCCAGCCCCTAAAGGATCCGTCTTTGCCGGCCGCGGGGGTCTCATTCATTCCAGAAATGCTCCTGAACACCGCTCAGTGCAGGCCACGGGGACACCAGGCCGGGACACACGTGGTCCTTGTCCCCCAGGGGCTCACAACCTCCAGCCCCTGCAGACCCTCGCAGGACAAACTGCCACTGCCGAGAGGCCCACATCCTCTGGCCTCTGTGCCCTGCTCCAGCCTCACCCCACAGGACCAGCTCCCTACCCAACACTGCAAACACATGCCGACCTCCCCTGCTTGTGCACGCCTCTGGGCCTTTGCGCGTGCTCCTGCCTGGGACGCCCTTTCCTCTACTCATCCTTTACAGCTCAGCCTAAATGCTGCTTCTTCTGGGAAGCATCCTCCAGTTCCAGGCAGAACGAGCCACCCCACCCTCCTTGCACCCGTTCCAGGCACTGTCTTGTTGCATGTGTCTCGTTGCAGCGTCCAGACCTATGCATATCACGCCTCTGCCTCACTGACTGTGAGCCCAAGACAGGAGAAGTTCAACAGTGGGTAACAGTACGTTTGCCGAGGGACAAATGACCACAACTCAGTCTTATAAAACAGGTTCAAACGAGCCTTGGAATGTCATCTGGCTGTTCCCTTCTTTTCTTTAGTTAGAAAAAAGACTTTCTTTCTTTCATTCTTTTCCTTCCTTCCTTTCCTTTCTTTCTTTTTCTTTTCTTTCTTTCCTTTCTTTCTTCTTCCCTCCCTCTCCTTCTCCTCCTTCTTCTTTTCTTCTTTCTCTTTCTCTCTGTCTTTCTTTCCTTCCTTCCTTCTTTTCTTTTCTTTTTCTTCTTCTTCTTTTTTTTTTTTTTTTTTTTGAGACAGAATCTCACTCTGTTGCTCAGGCTGGAGTGCAGTGGCATGACCACAGCTCACTGGAGCCTCTACCTTCCAGGCTCAAGTGATCTTCCCACCTCAGCCTCCTCAGTAGCTAGGACTACAGGTGTGCACCACCATGCCTGGCTAATTTTTGTATTTTTTGTAGAGATAGGATTCCACTATGTTGCCCAGGCTGGTCTTGAACTCCTGGGCTCAAGCAGTCCACCAGCCTCGGCTTCCCAAAGTGTTGAGATTACAGGCATAAGCTACCACTTCTGGCCAATCAGACTATTTTTTAATGAACGCTTTTCCTCTCTAACCAGACCATGGGCTCATAGAGAGCAGGATCTTGTGGGAATTATAGCAATAACAATTTATGGAGCACTTACTCCATGCTGAGCTCTGAGCCAAGCACTTGCCATGTGCTTGTGTATATCCAACAGGAAGGATTGAACACAGGTCACTAAGTGCTCAGGAAATGGTTGGGAGGACTGGAGGGGCTGATACCTGGGACACCGCAGAACTGACCCACCAGGGAAGCTGCCACCACCTCTGAGGCTGCCACCGCTGTTGGCTCTGAAAACTCACAGCTGTGCCTGCAATCCAGGGGCTGGAAATAAGAGTCAGGAAGCACTGCTCCTGCTACCGCCACCACACAGAGACCTCTCAGCACACGCAGGACTGGAGAATGGGAAGCAGGTCAGGCTGAAAACCTCCCTTCTCTGTGACCTCACTTGCACCAGAAAAATCCACCAGAAGGGCAGAAGATGGCCTCTGCCCACTTCCATCTTCTAAATCTCAAGTGAAAATACCCGGCTGGCAGGACCTATTATTATTATTATTATTATTTAGACGGAGTTTCACTGTTGTTGCCCAGGCTGGAGTGCAATGGCGCGATCTCAGCTCGGCTTACCGCAACATCTGGCCCCCGGGTTCATGTGATTCTCCTGCCTCAGCCTCATGAGTAGCTGGGATTACAGCCACGTGCCACCACGCCTGGCTAATTTTGTATTTTTAGTAGAGACACGGTTTGTCCATGTTGGTCAGGCTGGTCTTGAACTCCTGACCTCAGGTGATCTGCCCGCCTCAACCTCCCAAAGTGCTGGGATTACAGGCATGAGCCGCCGCACCCGGCCTGGCAGGACCTATTCTACATACAGGGCCCTAGCAGCAAAGGCAGCCGGGAAGAGTAGCTCTTAGGGTGGCAAGCTTGGCATATCAGGGAGGCATCCAAGAAGGAGGGGAGACCAAGGCTTCACTACCCTCCACAGCCACACAGGAGGTGGAGATAGAATCTGAACCCAGGTCTGTTCCTGAACACCATGTGGCCAATGGCTTCTGTGTCGCACAGATTGAATTGAGAAGATGACCAATTAATTAATCCAGGCAGAGTCCTTGATTGAGAATTAGGGTGGCGGAGGCAGGGTCTGCTTTGCCATGGAGCCTGGGAGGAAGGATGCTGGCCTTCTTGTCACCATCATCTCCCCCTACATCATGGTCCTGAGCTCTGGAGGGTCCAGAACAAAGCTGGCCCCGTCCCACAGGTCCATCTGCATGCCCCTGCCACCAATCTTGCTACATGGTCCATCTGCATGTCCCTGCCACCAATCTTGCTACATGGGTTGCTAAGCCACTTGCCACTGTCCACGAGTTTCTGTGCATCGTTCTCAGGTGTACAAACACTGCCCATTGGGACCACTATCCCCAGGGCCACCCCAGATTTGGCTGGAAGGGCAGTGGCAGTCCATTCTGGTCCCATAACTGCACACTGAACTGACTTACCTGGGAGCCAGGCTGGGATTTTTTCTTCCTCCACCAGCTGGTCATAGGGAACACCTTCCTCCCAGGCTATAGGTATGAGCCAAGGAGGAAGCATCAGAGCTGGGGGGCAACATGGGGGCTGTGCCACCGGTTCATGAACTCCCTCACACTATGGACGACCCGTCCCTGACCCTGGACCTACCGTTCCCATTTCATGAAGGCTGGCTGTTGGGTCTGCATCCTTGACTTCGTGGGTCCGACTCCACCCAGCTCTTGATGGCAGTACCCGCCATGTGGTCCGTTGATTTCCTTTGATCATCACTCAGCCTGTACAAAAGCCCGGTCTTGTAGACCAGGATCTGCCTTTTGAGTGGCATAGAACCCTCTGCGGGGCTGGCATGCCTTGCTCCAGAACCCCGGGGCTCACGATAATTATGGTTCTTTCCCAGCATGGATTCCACCAGCACCACGGGGCCCGCTGGCACACATGCCTAAGAGGCAGGGCTGTTCATGAATGGCCTGGAGCTGCTGCCCAGCCCTTTCCTACTCTGGGCACATACAAAGCGAGTAGCCTCACCTGTTCCCTGAGAAGTGGGTCCGAGAAGTGTTCCTACATGAAGAATATGCTGCTTCTAGGACCTGAAGAGGCCCACCAAGCATTGTGCATCTCGCTGATAGAGACAGCGTGACTTTTACTTTGGAGGGTGCGATGGTTCATTTTACCTGTTCACCTGAGAGGCCACGCCACCCAGATATTTGGCCAAACATGATTCAAGATGTTTCTGTGGAGGTATTTCTTAGATCAGATTAATGTCTAAATCAGAACACTTTGAGGGAAGCGAAGGCATAAAGTTGGTGGGCCTCCTCTAATCGGTTGAAGACTTAGTAGGAAAAAGACTGAGCTCCCTGAGGAAAAGGGAATTCTGCCAGCAGGCGGTACAGGAGCTTCAGCTCTTTCCCGGGTCTCCAGCCTGCTGGCCTATCCTGCAGATTTGGGACTTGTTGACTTCCATAATCATGTAAGCCAATTCCTTAAAATAAATCTCTCTCTCAATTTCTTTATTTATTTTTACTTATTTATTTATTTTTTTGAGACAGAGAGTCTTGCTCTGTCACCCAGGCTGGAGTGCAGTGCCACAATACAGGCTCACTACAACCTCCACCTCCTGGCTTCAAACGATTCTCCTGCCTCAGCCTCCCTAGTAGCTGGGATTACAGGCATGTGCCACCACGCCCAGCTACTTTTTGTATTTTTAGTAGAGACAGGGTTTCACCATGTTGGCCAGGCTGGTCTCAAACTCCCGACCTCAAGTGATCCACCTGCTTCGGCCTCCCAAAGTGCTGGGATTACAGGTGTGAGCCACAACGCCTGGCCCTCCCTCAATTTATTTTAAGTTATTAATTAATTCTTCTCTCCCCATATATACATATATATATACACACACACGTATATATTCTCTTTTTCTCTCTCTCTCTTTCTCTCTCTCTATATATATGTAAACATAGCCACACATCATTTGATGATGGGGATGTATTCTAAGAAATGTGTCGGCAAGTGATTCTGTCATTGTGTGAACATCAGAGAACATACACAAACCTAGATGGTACAGCCTACTGCATACCTAGGCTATATGGTGTAGTCTATTGTTCCTAGGCTACAAACCTCTACAGAATGGCACTGTGCTGAATACTGCAGGCAATTTTAGCACAATGATAAGTATTTGTGCCTCTAAATATAGAAAAGCTACAGTAAAAATATGTGGGCTGGGCATGGTAGCTCACACCTGTAATCCCAGCGCTTTGGGAGGCTCAAGTGAGTGGATCACTTGAGGTCAGGAGTTTGAGACCAGCCTGGCCAACACAGTGAAACCCCATCTCGGCCGGGCACGGTGGCTTACGCCTGTAATCCCAGCACTTTGGGAGGCCGAGGTGGGCAGATCACAAGGTCAGGAGATCGAGACCATCCTGGCTAACACGATGAAACCCCGTCTCTACTAAAAAAAAAAATACAAAAAGTTAGCCGGGCGTGGTGGCGGGCGCCTGTAGTCCCAGCTACTCGGGAGGCTGAGGCAGGAGAACGGCATGAACCCAGGAGGTGGAGCTTGCAGTGAGCCGAGATCGTGCCACTGCACTCCAGCCTGGGCGACAGAGCAAGACTCTGTCTCAAAAAAAGGAAACTCCATCTCTACCAAAAATACACAATTTAGCTGGATGTGATGGCGCCTTTAGTCCCAGCTACTCAGGAGGCTAAGGTGGGAGAATCACTTGAACCTGGGAGGCAGAGGCTGCAGTGAGCCGAGATCATGCCACTGCACTCCAGCCTGGGCAACAGAGTGAGACTCTATCTCAAAAAAATATGTATATGCTATAAAAGATTAAAAATGGTATACCCATATAGGGCACTTACCATAAATGGAGCTTGCAGGACTGGAAGTTGCTCTGGGGAGTCAGTGAGCGAGTGGTGAGCGAATGTGAAGGCCTAGGATGTTACTGTACACTACTGTAGACTTTATGAACATTGTACACTTAAGCTACATTAAATTTATTTAAAAATATAAGGTATTCGTGCTACGATATTATGATGGCTATGACATCACTGGACAATAGGAATTTTTCAGCTCCATTGTAATCTTAGGTGGTCCATCACTGAACAAAATGTCATTATGTAGCATATGACTATATATATAAAGTTAGCACTATTAGCCAATCCCTGCAAACTTCTTTGGGGGATAATCCTGCTGCATCCTTAGCAGGCTCAGAACTTCCCCAGTCAGGCCATGCTGGACTTTTCCCTAGTTGCTGGACCTCTGGCCAAGAGGGGAGGTGGGCAAGGACCATCTTATAGGAGAAGGGCGAGGATGGCCTTATAGACACCTGCCTCATTTGAGGCTCCTGCAAACTCTTCAAGCAGTGGTGGGGTGGTGGGCACTATCTTCTAGAAAAGCGGAGTGGATCCCTTCTTCAGGCCCAGAGTGTTAAAGGAATCTAGAGATTCAGGGTTCTCAGTGAATCTGTCCAGATACCCACCCTAAGTCTCAAGGTCCCACTTCTTCCCTATCCGGACCCTGATTGTGATTCAGGATGCTTTCCAGGGATGGGAAATCAATCTCCTCTGGAGTCCAGTGCAACTTACAATCAGATCCTGAGCCTAGTTTTCAGCTCGGTCTGCCCCGTGTGGTTTGTTTGTTTGTTCGTTTGTTTGTTTTTTGAGATGGAGTCTCACTGTGTCACCCAGGCGGGAGTACAGTGGCGCCATCTTGGCTCACGGCAGCCTCTGCCTCCCGGGTTCAAGTGATTCTAGTGCCTCAGCCTCTGGAGTAGCTGAAACTATAGGTGCAAGCGCCAGGCCCGGCTAATTATTATATTTTTAGTTAGAGACAGGGATTCATATGTTGGCCAAGCCGGTCTCAAACTCCTGATCTCAAGTGATCCACCTGACTGGGCCTCCCAAAGTGCTGGGATTACAGGCGTGAGCCACCATGCCCCACCAGGTCTTTTTTTTTTTTTTTCTAATTGTTGCCAACAAGGGCCTCTGGCTTTCTAAATTTGTTTTGGATTGGTCCAAGATCACCCTGACCTGGTCATTTTCCCTCTTCAAGGTATCAGTGACATTCAGCAAGGGCCACCCAATCCCACAGTCTCTATAATCACTATTCCCTACTCTCAAGCACCAGAGATTGGATGAACCATCGTCTCCTTCCACCTGTACCTTGGTCAAGTTCACTGTAGGTGAAAGTCTTATTGCTTGTACTGTTACTGCATGCTGCGAACTACAAATACTTCACCTAGCTGTAGTGATACCAGCCGGGTGTTACTGTAAAAAGTAAAGTAGAGGTTCCTCTTCAAAGAGACTCTCCTCCCCATCTAATTAAGAATAAATGGTAACTTCTCTCAGAAGCAAAATTTATTCAAAGACCTGTGCTAACATTCTTAAATATCTGCTAGCCGTAATAAAGAAATCAATGTACTTTATGTTCTTAGCTCCCACAATTTAGCCTAAATATTTGCCCTGGCATGCTTATACTGGTCCAAGCAGGCATTAGGTCATAACCTATTCCTCTTCCTTACTTAGAAGTGTTTTTACCTTTCTCAGCACTCCACAAATTTCTTCCTCCTTCCTTTGTTCTCCTCCACCTTTGCCTCTTTTAAAAAGTTCTAAGTTGCTAGCCAATCAGGACAAATACAGAATGTGAAGTCCCGTTCCAGCCAATGGAAACTGGACACAGCAGTAAAGTAGACGTGTCAGGTTATAAATGACCCTGTCTCCTTTGTTCAGTGTACTCTAGTGGCAAAACTGCTGGCGAGTGTACCCTTTCTGCACAAAGTAAAAATAGCCTTGCTGAAGAAATTAAATTTATGTTCAAGTGGTATTTCTTTATGGCACCGAGGAACAAGCATTTCTAACATTATCATGGACACTTTATGACTTTCCTGGACCCTGGGCAGTTTTGCCTTAGCGGGCTCCTTTATTTATTAAAAAATATTAAAAATTCTATTTTACCGAGGGGAGAAGGTTATAGAGAGTTATTGTTTAAGAGGACAGAGTTTCAGTTTTGCAAGATAAAAAGTTCTGGAGGCCGTGTGCAGTGGCCCACGTCTGTAATCTCAGCACTTTGGGAGGCTGAGGCAGGAGGATCACTTGAGGTCAGGAGTTCGAGACCAGCCTGGCCAACATAGTGAAACCCAGTCTCTAAAATAAAAAAATTAGCTGGGCATGGTGGCAGGTGCCTGTAATCCCAGCTACCAGGGAGGCTGAGGCAGGAGAATTGCCTGAACCTGGGAGGCAGAGGTTGCAGTGAGCCAAGATGGCGCCACTGCACTCTAGCTTAGGTGACAGAGCAAGACTCCATCTCAAAAAAAAAAAAAAAAAGGTCTGGAGATGGATGGTGGTGATGGTTGCACAACAATGTGAATGTGCTTAATATTATTTAATTGTAACTTAAAAGTGGTTAAGATCGTAAATTTTATAAATATGTTATATGTATTTTACCACAATTATAATTTTTTTTTTTTTTTTTGAGACAGGGCCTCCCTCTGTCACCCAGGCTGGAGTGCAGTGGCGTGATCTTGGCTCACTGCAACCTTCGCCCCCTGGGCTCAAGCAATTCTCCCACCTCAGCCTCCCAAGCAGCTGGGACCACAGGTGTATGCCACCATGCCCGGGTAATTTTTTGTATTTTTAGTAGAGACGAGGTCTCACCATGTTGCCCAGCCTGGCCTCAAACTCCTGAGCTCCAGCGATCTACCCGCCTTAGCCTCCCAATGTGCTGGGATCACAGGTATGAGCCACCGTGCCTGGCACTAACATTTTTAAAAATTATATTTAACCATTGCATTGATCTAAAGACGGGTATATTAATATCATACGTTAAAACATGTTCTTCAGCCTAAAAGTTCTTTTTTTTCTTCTGACTTTAAAGATATTAGAACAGTTTTTGTGGGTTCCTAGAATTCCTGTGGGCTGCCATGTTTCCTGTGCCTGATAGATGAATTTGCTTTGGATGGGTGCACAGCCCAGCTCAGGGTAGCTGCGTGGACCATCAAGAGTCTGCTGCAATCATGTTCTTGACCATAAGAGAAAACTTTAACAAAGAAGCTTCCATAACACCATCAAAAAAACAATTTGGAATTACATTAAATGATATTTTAACTTGGGGAGAATTTGTATATTTAAACAGTTGGAAATCCGTGAATATAGATGCTGGTCTCTTCAGGTTTTCTGTCTCTCAGTAGCATTTTATAATTTGATTCATTTATATCTTGCACATTTCATACCAGATTTATTATTAGGTGTTCTACCATTTCCTACATCATTGCTGGCATCAGTTTTTTGTTTGTTTTGTTTTGTTTTTGTTTTGTTTTTTAAAAAACAGGGTCTTGCTCTATTGCATAGGCTGGAGTGCATTTGCGTGACCTCGGCTCACTGCAACCTCTGTCTCCTGAATTCAAGCGATTCTTGTGCCTCAGCCTTCCAAGTAGCTGGGATTACAGGTGTGCCACAATGCCTGGCTAATTTTTGTATTTTTAGTGGAGATGGGGTTTCACCATATTGCCCAGGCTGGTCTCGAACTCATGACCTCAGGTGATCTGCCTGCCTCAGCCTCCCAAAGTGCTGGGATTACAGGCGTGAGCCACCGCACCCAGCCAGAAAATGCCTATTGCTGGCATTGGTTTTCGTACTCTATCCTGTAGTCAGCCATCTTACGGAGCTCTTATTAATTTTAATAGTCTTAGTAGAATCTTTTAGATTTTCTAGATGTATGTTCAGGTAAGTAGAAGATATAAATATTTATATCTTTTAAGTTTTTTGTCTTATTGTATTAGCTAGAACTTCCAAAATAACCTTAGGTACCAGTGGTGATATCATATACTAACTCTACTTAGATATAGTTCTGAAATCTCTAACTTATTCCATGGGTCTATTCTGTAGTCCTTTCCACAACCGTATTGTTTTAATCATGTGTAAATAACTGGTAGTGAATCAGCCCACTACAGTTCATCTTGCTTCCAAAAATTTTCTTTCTTTCTTTTCTTTCTTTTTTTTTTTTTTGATGGAGTTTCTCTCTTGTTGCCCAGGCTGGAGTGCAATGGCATGATCTCAGTTCACTGCAACTTCTGCCCCCCGGGTTCAAACAATTCTCCTGCCTCAGCCTCCTGAGTAGCTGGGATTACAGGCACGCACCGCCACACCCAGCTAATTTTTGTGTTTTTAGTAGAGACGGGGTTTCACTATGTTGGCCAGGCTGGTCTCGAACTCCTGACCTCAGGTGATCTGCCTTCCTCAACTTCCCAAAATGCTGGGATTATAGGCGAGAGCCACCGCGCCAGGCCAGGAAATTTATTTCTATTTTCCTTAGAGTTCGTCTGGGAATGGCTGCCTTTTTTTTTTTTTTTTTTTCGAGACAGGGTCTGACTCTGTTGGCCAGGCTGGAGTGCAATGGCATGATCACAGCCCACTGCAGCCTAACCTCCCGGGCTCAAGGGATCCTTCCACCTCAGCCTCCCAGGTAGCTGGGACTACAGGCTTGTGCCATGACGCCGGGCTAATTTTTGTATTTTTTTGTAGAGATAGGGTCTCACTATTTTGCCCAGGTTGGTCTCGAACTCCTGGCCTCAAGTTATCCTTCCGCCTCCACCTCCCAAAGTGCTAGGATTACAGGCGTGAGCCACCGCGCACGACCTGGCTGCTAAATTTTATCGAATGACTTCTCTCCCTCGATTTGCTAATGTTAATAAATGGGGAGTAAAGGGGGCATTTATGGGGGTTGGGGCAGAAGACAAGGAAGCCCTCTCTGAGGTGACATTTGTGATAAGACCAGGTACCCTTGTCACAAATGTCAGGTTAGAATCTCTTTGCTGTGGGGACAGAGCGCAGCCGGCAGCAGGAGTGCTTTTCAGGGTTAAGGGCGACAGGAGCTATGCGGAGCCATCTCACAACCCTGTCCAGGGCACACTTTATTGCTAGGAGGAGATGCGCAAACGGTAGCGATCAGTTAGAGATAGATCCTCTTGTCCCCTTTTATCTCAGGACTCCAAGGCACTGCTGAACAGTTTCTGTTTAATGAGCAGCCATTGAAGCCTCCCAATGGCGAGAATGAGCCTGCATCTTTACCGACCCCACTCCACAGACGAGGAAACTGAGGCTCAAAGAGGCCCGGGTCGCCTCTGGGGCAGACTCCCGAGCCGCGCACTGCCGGGCACGTCCAGCAGGTGGGAGTGGGCGCCCGGGGACGGCGCGGTCCCTGGTATTTTTAGTGGGGTGGGGCCGCCGCCGCCCGCCCCTCCCTCCAGCCTCCCCGCCCCGCAGGGGAAGGCGGGTCCTGGCGGCCAGCGCGCGGTCCGCGCCCACCCTAGCCGAGCGGGGCCGGCAGAGCGCGCGGCGTCGGTGCCCTTGACCATGGCGGCGGCTGCGCTTCTGCTGGGGCTGGCGCTGCTGGCACCGCGGGCGGCCGGCGCGGGCATGGGCGCGTGCTATGACGGCGCAGGGCGCCCGCAGCGCTGCCTGCCGGTGTTCGAGAACGCGGCGTTTGGGCGGCTCGCCCAGGCCTCGCACACGTGCGGCAGCCCGCCCGAGGACTTCTGTCCCCACGTGGGCGCCGCGGGCGCGGGGGCTCATTGCCAGCGCTGCGACGCCGCCGACCCCCAGCGCCACCACAACGCCTCCTACCTCACCGACTTCCACAGCCAGGACGAGAGCACCTGGTGGCAGAGCCCGTCCATGGCCTTCGGCGTGCAGTACCCCACCTCGGTCAACATCACCCTCCGCCTAGGTAAGCGCGGGCTGGGGGCACCGCCACCGCACCCCGTGTCCCCACTCCACTGGGGGTCTGAGGCTGAGGCCTGAGCTGCTGTGCGCCCAGGTTGGGCTGCAGGACCCAGATATGGTGTTGGATGGAGGGGCTCAGAAATAGGAATTAGGCTGGGTGCGGTGGCTCACTCCTGAAATCCCAGCACTTTGGGAGGCCGAGATGGGAGGGTCGCTTGAGCCCAGGAGTTCAAGATCAGCCTGGGCAACGTAGTGAGATCCCATCTTTACAAAAAATAAAGAAAAATAGGCCGGGCGCGGTGGCTGACGTCTGTAATCCCAGCACTTTGGGAGGCCGAGGCGGGCGGATCACCTGAGGTCAGGAGTTCGAGACCAGCCTGGCCAACATGGTGAAAACCCGTCTCTACTAAAAATAGAAAATTTGGCCGGGCGTGGTGGTAGGTGCCTGTAGTTCCAGCTACTCAGGAGGCTGGGGCAGGAGAATCGCTTGAACCCGGGAGGTGGAGGTTGCCGTGAGCCGAGGTCGCACCACCGTTCTCCAGCCTGGGCAACAGAGCTAACTCCGTCTCAAAAAAAAAAAAAAAAAAAAAAAAAAGCTGGGCGTGGTGGTGCACACCTATGGTCCCAGCTACTCAAGAGGCTGAGGCAGGAGGATCACTTAAGACTGAGAGGTTGAGGCTGCATGAAATATGATAGTGCCACTGTGCTACAGCCTGGGCTACAGAGTGAGACCTTATCTCTTAATAAAAAGAAAGAATGAAAAAAAGAAGAAAAAAAAACAGGACCTGTACCCCTAGATAGCCAGAAGGATAGACTGAGGGGTGCCCCGTGGGGCGGGAGAGGCAGGGAGTCACTTGCTGAGCTTTGGTTCTAGGTTGCAATTATAATCCCCTGTAATGGTTTTCCATCCTAGACCAGAACTGTTGGGGAGGTGACACACCAAGGACTGAATTGGTCACCCTCTAGGGCAGGGGCTCCTGATCTTGGGTCTTCTGGTCAACTTCAGGTATTCAGTGGACCCCTGAAGCTGCCTGCAGTCCTCGGGTGGGTTCTGGAAGATAGAAGCTGTGATGTTCATCACTGCACAGGCAAAGTTTAACCCTCTGGGGAGGAGGACTAAGTTTCTTCGTGCTGCTGGGCAGCTGCGCCCGGTGGCATGGCCTCTCTGCCCTGCTCATGACTTGCCGAGGTGCAGAAGCCCTTAGATCTCCAGGAATCAGAATCTGGAGTCTGGACCCAGCCCCGGTTCTCAGCCCCTGCCCCCACTGCAGGGAGCTGGAATGCTCTCTCCTCCCTCCGTGTTCAGCCCGATTCCCATGTCCTCTGTGGCCGGGTAAGCGCCAAGTGTCTTTCCTGTTGCAGCCTCCACTGCCCTTTCAGGAGGGGCTGGTATCACTGGTTAGACTCCCTTATCTTCGAGGTCAGCCTCCCAAAGCTTTGAAAACTCAAATTATTTTTATAACTCATTTTTGCTGCTAAACCTGACCTGAGGCTATTTATAAGCTATGTTTATGCTAGTGAGAATGAATATTCATTCGCTTTGCTACTGAAATCTCATTTGAGTACAGCCGGCAGCCCCAGACCCCACTGGGGGTATTAGCACAATATATGGTATAAGGCCTGCATCGTCTTTCTAAAAGCTGAAAAATGTTCAATTCCCAAACACATTTGGAGCCTAGGAGTTTGGATTAGGGATGATGGGACTGTATCCCATGTTTCAGCTGAGAAAATTGAGGCTCAGAGAGGTTGTTTTGCCCAAAGGCACAGAGCTGCTAAGTGAGCATCTGAGCGTGGACATCCATGGACATCAGAGGTCAGAGCATAAACTCTTTGATGTGAGTTCCGCCACCCATCAACTGAGTCAGCTCCACCTCAGCCTGGTGACAGTGTCCTGGGGAGGGCTGGGAAGTGACATTGGAGTGGGGTGCGGGGAGGACCGTGAGCCCGCTCTGCAGAGCACACAGGTACTGGCTGCCACCTCAGAAACTCCCTTCTTCTGGGGCCACGTCACCTTCTCTCAGCCTATCTGGATCACTAGGTGGGGCTTCTGAATGGGACGAGGGGGAGGGGACAGGAAGCCAGTGGGGAGGGGGGAGGCTGGGGGAGCTGTCTGGATGGAGCTGGCAGGACCCCAAGGCCACAGGGGAAGGAATCTGGGACAGGGTGGGGAGTTGTTGGGGAGACACAGTGCTCCATGACAAAGGGTATCACATGTGTCCTGGGAACCCAGGGGCCAAGGAAAGAGCTCAGCCCAGGCACAAACAAGGTGGGAGGAAGTTGGGAGAAATGGCCAAGTTTTTGGATTTGAGGTAGTTCCTGTTTACTGTGCATCTACTGTGTGCCAGGCCCTGTGCTGAGCTGTGCACCCTCGTGGAACTCTGCCTAGAACCTTAGAAGCAGAGTGGTTCTGATCCTTCTAAAAGCAAGGAACCTGAGAGCCTCCACACTGTGAATGTAGAGAGCGAACACACACACACATACACACACACACACACACACACACACACACTCCCTGCTGTGTCTTATCCCGGTGAGCATTCTTCCTGTTTTGTCGCCGAAAACCAGGCATATAGGAGAGAGTCCACAAGTGTGAGTGACAGGGTCACCTCCTCTGTCCTGTGCTCTGGGGCCAGCTCAGCATTCTCTTTTGCCTGCTCTGGGAGGCAGAATAGGATAGAAATCACGAAAGGAGGCTTTGGACTTAGGCCCAGCAGAGCCACTCACTGGGCAAGCGGAGTCCCCTCTCTCAGCCTCAGTTTCCTTACCTGTACCGTACGGATAAGAGTCGCCACTTCCTGAGCAGCTGTTCGGGTTCATGAGCCCGGGTCGGAGCCATGGCAGTCCCTGTGTGTGACCAGCGTGGCTGCTGAGACAGCTCAGGGCTGAGGCTCCCTTGCGGGGATTGAGAAATGCTCGTCCCGGCCGCCCTGCCTCCTCAAAGACATCCTGACGCTGGTCTCTGTTTACGCACAAGGGGCGCCGGGGGCCCAGCGCAGCCCCAGATTTGGCCTCTTTTTGGTTTCCTATGACTTAGGTTTGCTCCAGGCTAAGCCATGGCTTGCATAATAGCGGGGGAAGGAGAGGCCTGGGATTGTCGGTGTCCCCTGTGGAGGCCGTCTGATGACCTCTCCTCCTGGTCCTTAGGCCACCTCTGCTGGCTCTGTCCCCCCACTGCTCCCTCTCCTTGAAGGCTCATGGGAAGGGAGAGTGGGCGGCCAGCTCTGGCCCGGGGTCTCCTAGAGGGAATGGGGTGAGGGGCAGGGAAGGAGATGGAGGTCGCCGCATTCCCAGCCCCCCGTGGCTCCTGGACATCTGTTCCGGATCCTCCCGTCATCTCTGAGCTGAGCCTTCCTGTCTGGGATGAAAGGCAGCAGTGGGCTCTGGCAGCCCCAGCCCACCACCAAGGCCCAGGGAGGCCACGGGGCTGGGGCCTGGGAGTCAGTGGGGTGTTGGGGGAGTGGACAGTGACGGGGGTACAGACCATTCCGGGGCTCTCACCGTGTACCAAGGACTCGCCCAGGCGGCATCCCAAACCGGCATGCTTTGTTCTTTTACAGACAGCAAAACTGAGGCACTGAGGGTGAGATCAGTTGCTTGGGGTCGCACAACTCAATAAATGGTGGCCCCCGGGACCCTCCCCCTAACTGCTGTACTTGGGAATGAAGAGGGTCCAGGCTAGGCTGGTCCACATGCTTGAAGCCTCGGTCCTGGGAGGAACAGTATGGGCTGTGGCTTTCGGTGGGCTGGGGGAGTCTCCTCCCGGCTTGCACTTGGATCGCTGAGAATCTCCTGGAACCACAAAAAGACCTGAGTCCCCCAAGCAGATGAGTTCTGCCCTCCCTCCCCCGCAGGTCCCGGATGTCCCTGCATGGAGTTGACTTCTTCTTGCTTTCATTTAGCCGTTTGCTTGGTGGTCACCCAGCCTTGGCTCACTGGCCACAGGATGCAGCTGTGAACAGGGCCATGTGCGGCCCCTGTCCTGAGGGGCTCAGGGCCCACCAGAAGGCAGCCTTTACTGAGCAGTGCTGAGAACGAGGATGTATGCTCAGAACATGCACTGGTGCGCACGAGCCTCATCTCTAGGGTCAGGAAGGGTCTCGCTGAGACCTGAAGGATGGTAGGAGCTGACCAAAGAGGGAAGGATGTTCTTCGACCTGCCGGGCCTGGATGGCCTGAGTGCAGACACCGAGAAGACGCTGGGGTCTGGCCAGCCACAGCGAGGAGCCGGGTCCCAGGGTGCTGGACATTAGGGGGACCCTGTGGCCCCTGAGGGGTCCTGGAGCCAGCTGGGTCTCCTGAGCCTTGGCTCCGTTCTGTCTTCCTGTCGAGT
The DNA here is from genome assembly GCF_000001405.40 of Homo sapiens. Classification (NCBI taxonomy): domain Eukaryota; kingdom Metazoa; phylum Chordata; class Mammalia; order Primates; family Hominidae; genus Homo; species Homo sapiens. Next base: position 131,013,914 of record NC_000009.12, read on the forward strand.
GGGCGGCTGCGATTGCCTTGGCCTGGGCCAGTGCTGGGGGCCAAGTCCTCCCTCCTGCTCCCTGGGGGTTCTGGCTGGAACGCTGGGCCCTGAGCAGGGCAGGAGGTCAAGGCAGCGGCTGGTTAGCCTCCATCCACCCACAGAACTGCCCTCCAGGCCCCTGGGCCCAGCTGGCCTTGGCCACCTCTTTCTCTCTGGGCCTCCCAGGACTAATCCAGGAGATGCAGGGCTAGGAAGTGGCAAAGCCCAGGATGGGTGTAGCCAGCCTCCCATGGCCTCTGCATCATCCCTGTCCACTTCCCACACTGCCCTTCAGCAAGGCCTTGGCTGGGCCGAGGCACTCTCTCTCCTCCAGCGCCTTACATGTGCTGTGGCTTCGGCCCAGCGCACTTCTCCTCCCACCTTCAGCCTAACTCATGTCTTGTTCATCCACAAAACCATTGCATGTCTGCCGATCCCTGTGCTGAGCCCTGGGGATGTCTGTCTGCCCCACTCAGCTTAGAGGTGCCTCCTCTGGAAAACCCCTCACCCCTCTAAGGTTGGGCAGAAGGCCTGCCCACGCATCCTTGCAGCCCCTAATCCTCCTTCCACCAGAGTCTGGATTACACTGCGTGAGGGCTTGGTCTGTTTACGTCCATCCCTATCTCTGGGCTGCCAGAGGGAATGCCTGTTTTCACACCTGTGCCCCAGTAGTGCCCAGCCTGCATTTGCCCACTGCACAGGGTGCTGGGTAAAGGTTGGTCAGGCGAATGAATGGAAGAGCAGCTCAAATTTCATTGAGGCTGGGTGAGGCTCACACCTGTAACCCCAGCACTTTGGGAGGCAGAGACGGGAAGATCACTTGAACCAGAAGTTCAGGGTCAGCCTGGACAACAAAGTGAGACCCTGTCTTTACAAAAATAAAAATAGAAATGAAAAAATTAGCCGGGCGCGGGGGCAAGTGCCTGTAGTCCCAGCTACTTGGAAGGCTGAGGTGGGAGGATCGCTGGAGCCTGGGAGTTCGAGGCTGTAGTGATCACACCACTGCACTCCAGCCTGGGCAACAGAGCGAGACCCTGTCTCAGAAAAAAGAAAAATGTAGTTGAACAAATGCTTCGTGCCTGGGACTGTTCCAAGTGCTTCCAAGGCATTTGCTCATTTAGCCCTGTTATTGTTATGCCTATTTTGCAAATGGGGAAACCAAGGCACTACATTGCACAGTCACTTGCCCAGTGAACCCGAGGGAGTTCAGCTATTTTGCCCAAGGCCACAGAGCCAGGAATTGGTGGGGCTGGGCTGTGAACCCCAGGGTTGCAAGATTGCACTGTGTTTCCTCGCTCAGAGCAAGGGAGTGAGGAATTCATGGATGAAGGGCCCCCAGCCTTGCAGGTGCCTCCCGTACTCCTAAGCCACGGTGTTCACAGCAGTGCCGCCGTCCTCCCAGCCCAACCCTGCCCTGCCCTGCTCTCCCTTGCCCAGGCTTCAGCTGCTTGGTCTACCTCCCTTCCCTGTGGCCCCTTGTCCCCGGGCAAGCCCTCCCAGCAGCCATGCCCTTCCCCAGCTCATGCCCTGGCTTTGCTTATTTGAATCATAGTCGACATCCAGGACTCCACCTGCACCCCTCGCCCTGACTCGGTCTCCACCTGAGCCCTCGACTGGGTAATTTGAGCAGCCGCCTTGACACCAACCACTCTGAATGTCATGCAAGGGCCCCCGTGTGCAAAGGCTATGCAAGGGCCCCTGTGTGCATAGCAGCATTTTCTTTTCTTTTTTATTTTTTTGAGACGGAGACTCGCTCCACCGCCCAGGCTGGAGTGCAATGGTGCGATCTCAGCTCACTGCAACCTCCACCTCCCAGGTTCAAGCGATTCTCCTGCTTCAGCCTCCCAAGTAGCTGAGATTACAGGTTCCTGCCACCACACCCAGCTAATTTTTTGTATTTTTTTGTAGTTACGGGGTTTCACCATGTTGGCCAGACTGGTCTCGAACTCCTGACCTCAGGTGATCTGCCCTCCTCTGTCTCCCAAAGTGCTGGGAATACAGGCGTGAGCCACGGCACCTGACCCATAACAGCATTTCCACAATAGCCAAAGGCAAGGCAGCCTAAGTGTCCACCGAGGGGTGAATGATGAGCAAGAGCAAATGTGGTCCATCCATCCAGTAGAATATTACTCAGCCCTGAAAAAGGAGATTCTCACACAGCCACAGTATAGACGAACCCTGAGGACATTATGCTAAGGGAAAGAAGCCAGCCAAAAAAGAACAAATACTGTAGGGTTCCGCTGATATGAGAGGCACCCTGGGATAGTCAAGTCCACAGAGACAGAAGGTAGAATGCTGGTTGCCAGGGGCTGGGGGAGGGGCAATGGAGAGTGACTGTTTCATGGGGACAGAGTTTCAGTTTGGGAAGATGAAAGAGTTCTGGAGATGGATGGTGGTGAAGGTTGCACAACAATGTGAGCTGTGCAAATGGGTAAGATGGTAAATGTCATGTTATACATATTTCACCACAATAAAAGAAGGTTTGGGGAAAAGTACATGTCAGCCCCGTGGGAAGGCAGCTTGGCAACATGGTTGAAGACCCACAAGAATATTCCTGGCCTTTGGCAAAGGAATCCTACTTCTGGGAATTCAAATAAGGGAAGGGTCCTAATGCATGAAAACATTCATCGAGGCGTTCTTTATAGTAGGGAAAAATGGGAACCATAAGGGACTAGTTAAGTAAATTGTAGGACATAAATTCTCATGGTGATTGGAGCCATTCAGTGCAACAGCTGACAAAGGGTTTGTAATACACAGGGAGCGCTTAAGTCAAAATGTTGAATGAAGAAAAAGACACAAGTTGGTATATGTGGAATCATCAGATTTATATTTTAAAATCCCTAAAGAGTAGGCAAAAAAAGAAAGACATCAAACTGGTAAGCGTGTTTGTCCTCAGGACTTGCAGTGACTTTTCTTCCATTTTCCGTGTTTCTACATTTTCCCAGTATTCTCTCATGAAGCTTGTTCTAATTTAAAAACTGGAGAAAACACATTTCTACGATTTTTTTTTTAAAAAGCACCCGCCTTGCTATGTTCTGTTTTAAGATGTTTTTCAAAGTTCTGGTGCAGCACAGCTTGGCACCGTAACTCCCAACCCCTTAAAAGAAAGCGTGCGGAGCAAACAGGGTCCGGATCTGGGGGCGGCCTGGTGTCTGCGCCTGTTTGGAGCAGAGGCTTCGGGCCTTGGAACGAGGTGGGGGGCTGGCCCAGATGTGTATTCGCTAAAGGATGCTGTGCGCGGGCTGCTGCGGGTCACCGGCGCAGACTCCTTGGTAAACATCTAGCAGCCAGACACCTCTCGGGAGGGGAGCTTGGAGCCACTTGAAAGGTAGCTGGCAGCTAGAAGCGTGATCGGAAAAAGGCAGTCACTGGGAGTTCATGCAAACGAGCGGCCTCACGCGATAGGAAACATCCCGGCTTTTCTGTCCTTGCCAAACCAGGAGGTGAGAGAAGATGCAGCAATATCACAGAGACATGGCAGGGACTTTTTGTTACAAGAGTTAATTAGAGGCCGGGTGCGGTCCTTACGCCTGTAATCCCAGCACTTTGGGAGGCCGAGGCCGGCGGATCACTTGAGGTCATGAGTTCGAGACCAGCCTAGCCAACATGGTGAAACCCTTTCTCTATTAAAAAAAAAAAAAATTAACCAAGCGTTGTGTTGGGCGCCTGTAATCCCAGCTACTTGGGAGGCTGAGGCAGGAGAATCGCTTGAACCGGAGGCAGAGGTTGCAGTGAGCCGAGATCGGGCCATTGCACTGCAGCCTGGATGACAGCAAGACTGTCTCAAAAAAAAAAAAAAAAAAAAAAAAGGCCAGGTGCAGTAGTTCACACCTGTAATCCCAGCACTTTGGGAGGCTGAGGCGGGCGGATCACCTTCGGTCAAGAGTTCGAGACCAGCCTGGCCAACATGGCAAAACCCCGTCTCTACTAAAAATACAAAAATTAGCCAGGTGTGGTGGCGTGTGCCTGTAATCCCAGCTACCCAGGAGTCTGAGGCAGGAGAACCACTGGAACCCGGGAGGCAGAGGCTGCAGTGAACCGAGATCGCACCACTGCACTCCAGCCTGGGCGACAGAGCAAGACTCCATCTCAAAAAATAAATAAATACATAAATAAAAGAAAGCAGCTTAATCCCTCCTTTGTGATGAAAAAGTTTCTTCCAAAGGCAACAAAAAGGTTGGGAAAGGAGTGGCCCCAAGATCTTTTTTTTTTTTTTTCTTGAGTTGGAGTCTCACTCTAGCCCAAGCTGGAGTGAAGTGGCATGATCTCGGCTCACTGCAACCTCTGCCTCCTACGTTCGAGCGATTCTCATGCCTCAGCCTCCCGTGTAGCTGGGATTACAGGTGCATGCCACCATGCCCGGCTAATTTTTTGTATTTTAGTAGAAACGAGGTTTCACCATGTTGCCCAGGGTGGTCTCGAACTCCTGAGCTCAGGTGATCCCCCTGCCTCGGCCTCCCAAAGTGCTGGGATTACAGGTGTGAGCCACTGCGCCCGGCCCCCAAGATCTTTTAAACAGCGACGAGAATTAAAATCTGCAGCCCTAGCCCAGACCCTCACAAGCTCCAGGGGCCAATGAGGCTTCTGGGTGATTGAGACAGCTGTGTTCCTATCAGGAAAGCCGAGCCAAGATGTCATCCTTGACTGTTAGCTGGTGGTGACACTGCTTGGGAGTACTTGGCTTCCCTCACCTCCAGGCCGCCCAATATGCTGTTCTCTCTGTCTAGAATTCTGTTCCCTCTGCTCTCCTCGCCTGTCTAGCTCCCATGCACCCCTGCTCATCCCACCCGCTTACTGGACCACATGCCCCAAACTTACTTCTCACCACCTCCTCCCTCTCCATGCTCCTGCCAGCCTGAACTACAGGCTTCACCACAAGGTGGCCACAGCTTTGCCAACATCCTGCCTGGTGTGGAATGCACCTTCTCCTCACCTTCCCTGGCTAATGGCTGCTCATCCTTGGAACCATAGGTTTGAGCGCCTTGTTGATGCTCCCACAGCCTCCCTGGGCTACTTTGTCCTGTTCTATAAAGACCTGCCTGTCTCATCTGGGCACGGTGGCTCACGCCTCTAATCCCAGCACTTTGGGAGGCCGAGGCAGGCAAATCACTTGAGGTCAGGAGTTTGAGACTAGCCTGGCCTACATGGTGAAATCCCATCTCTACAGAAATACAAAAATTAGCCAGGCTTGGTGGTGCACGCTTGTAATCCCTGCTACTCAGGAGGCTGAGGCAGGAGAATGGCTTGAATCCAGGGGACGGAGGTTGAAGTGAGCCAAGATCACGCCACTGCACTCCAGCCTAGGCAACAGAGTGAGACTTTGTCTCAAAACAAACAAACAAACAAACAAAAACAAGACCTGCCTCTCTCTCCCTACCTGTAACCTCCCCTTGGGGCAGGTGCCATGAATCCTTATAGCTGAGCATGGCACCTAGCACACAAGAGGTGCCCAATAAATGCTTGCCCGATGAATGAGTAGACTCGAGGCAGGATTTGTACCTTCAAGGAGTTTATAATCCAGTGAGAGAGTGGAGACAGCAGGCAGTCCTGACAGTGTGGATCACATTGTCCCAAGTGTGCCTGGAAGTCATGATCCCTGGATGAGTCTCTGTTTCACACTAGCCAGCATTTAGTGAGCACCTGCTATGTGCCACGTGCTTTGCCAAGTACTTTACTCACACTGTATGGCTGAGATCCCCAAACACTTCATTTACTAGTGAGGAGTCAGGCTCAGGGAGCAGAAGGACTTCCTCAGTGTCATGCCCAAAGTCACTGCTCAAAACCTGGGTGCCCTCCTACTCAGGAGTCCATGGAGCCCCAGAGAGAAGGGGCTGCCTAGGAAGGGGGTGAAGGGGGTGCTGGTGCCCATGGAGACATGGAGGTCCCACCCGCCCCCCTCCCAGTCTTCACCTGCTGGCTGAGCCAGCAGCTGGGCACAGCAGAGCCTCCCCCGGCCGGGCCCCGCACCGCCCACGCCAAACAGCAGGAGCGCCAAGCTGTGTCCTCTCCAGCCAGCTGGAACATAAAGCCCATCAAGAATGACACCGGGACAGTCATAAAATCAAGCTGGCCCACATCCGGCACTGACCAAGCAGAATGAGCTCAGTACGAAGAGGCTTATTTTGGGAAAATGGAAACAAAACAAAGCCCTATAATTGGAGCCATCTGGGCAGCAGTGGCCTAGGGAGTGGGGCGGGAGGGGCTAGGGTGGAAAGCTGGGCTGGGAATGCATGGGTGAGGCTGCCCTGCCCACCTCGAGCATCAGAACCAGGTGGGTGAGCTGCTCCCAGCCTACAGGGGAGTCACACCCAGCAGGGTCCCTTAGCCCCATCTGGCCACCCACTGTTCTTGTTCTTCCTCTCCCAGCCAAGCTCTTGGCACTTCTGGGTGTGGTGACTCCCTATAAGGAGCTGGGGACTCCCCATGGCCATAATGCCAGATACCACAAGACCCTGGCTGAACCAGGGATAGGCTCCATCACAGCCCTCCCATCTTGGCACTAAGTCTAAGCCCCAAATATGAATCAAGATTGCCAAGTCTAAAAAAACAAAAAGATTGCCAAGTTCTCCTCTAACCTGGGGAGACCAAACAGTTTTCCTTGGATTGAGTGTTGCCTAGGGCTTTGTGTTAAGAAGGATTCTGAGGTACAGTCTGAGCCAAAACATGACTGAGACATGACTGCATGTTTGCAAAGAGAGGTGGCAGGGCATTCCAGACCATTGCATAAGTCAGGGAACAGACGAGGGGCTGAGAGAATGACAGAGAGGAGGGCTAACACAAGGAATTCCAGAGAATGAGCTAGTGATCTGGTGAATACTGAGGTCACTTGCGAGAAGGAGGTGATTCACCAGCTTCTTGTTTTGGTGCATAGAGAGACTAGGGGAGGAAGGAGGGTGCCTTTATTTTTCCCCCCCAAATACATGTAACACAAACGTGGAGTCTGGCTTTCGGTTCTTTTGGGTATATCCCCAGAAGTGGAAGTGCTGGATCATATGGCAATTCTATTCTTAGGTTTTTTGATGTTTTTTTTTCTCCCCAGAGTCTCTGGCTTCTTTTAATTAGTTTTAACCTTTAAGCTTTTGTAAGCGTAATCAACCAGCTGAGGATGGTAGGGGATATTTCCCAACACTTCTCGTGTAAACTCAAATTGTAGGTTCTTGCTTGGAGTAACACAGGCTCTTCACTGCTTACAAGGTTATTCTTGAGTTGCAAAAATTCTCTCTCCGTAGTTTTTCCTGGATTCCTCTATTCAATCTCGGCTGCCACAGAAAGCAGAAAGCAGTCAGAGAGAAAGCACAGGGACGCTGTTTTTGCATCTGTAGTGGAAACCTTAGCAGACAGTAACTGCTCTGGGGCTGTCAAATAGATGCATTGTTTTTAGTTTTTTCGGGAACCACCAGTTTCCCATAGCGTATGCACCATTTCACATTCCCACCCACAGTGCATGAGGGTTCCAGTTTCTCCATATCCTTGCCAACACTTGTTATCTTCTGTTTTTTTGATAATAGCCATCCTAATGGATGTGAGGTCCAATAATACATATATATAACTGTGTAGGGAAAAACTCCTCAAACTGTGTTTTTCCTCTGCTCTCAGACGACAGCCATCATCAACACAGAAGACTTCTGTGACCAAATGCGTGGGTTTTTCCCCCACCCAACAAGCAGCGGTACCAGCTGGGTGTCCTCTAATTCAGTTCCAACACGATCTAGTCAGAGATAGCATCCGGTCCCACAGGTTGAGGGCTCAGTCCCCAAGGCTGTCTTCCGCCACACACACCAGTCACAAGTCTAGGCCTCACGAACTTCTGACAGATTAGCTTCAAGTTCCCATGACCCCTTCTTTGGGTTCAATCAATTCACTGGAGCAGCTCACAGAACTCAGGGTAACACATTGACTGGTTTATTATAAAGAATATTGCAAAGGACACAGATGAAGAGATGAGCAGGGTGAGGAACGGTGAAGGGACGGGAGCTTCCATGCCCTCCCTGGGTGCCACCCTCCAGGAACCTCCCCGTGTTCAGCCATCCAGAAGCTCCCTGAACCCTGTCCTCAGGTTTTCATGGACGCTTCATGCATCAGCATTGCTTCCCTTGGGCGTAGGGTGGGACCCTCTCTTGGAGGGTCTTAAGACCCACGGTCAGAAAGGTGGGGGAACTTTAGAGTGAAAGGAGGGCAGGAGAAGGCAGAGGCCTGCCCCTGAGGCCCAACACACCCAAAATTCTAATGAAAGACCGTAAGGAGGGCTATGGGAGTCATAAGCCAGGAGCTGTGGATGAAAACACACACACACACACACACACACACACATATATATGTATTTTTTTAATAGAGAGACATGGTCTCACTATGTTGCCCAGGCTGGTCTCAAACCCCTAGGCTCAAGTGATCCTCCCACCTTGGCCTCCCAAAGTGCTAGGATTACAGGTGTGAGCCACCACGGCCAGCCCGAAAACTGACAGCTATCATAACACCACAATAACATACATAGTATATATAACAGCTTTAGGAGATACAATTCACATACCGTATAATTTACCCATTTAAACTATACAATCCAGTGGTTTTTAGTATATACACACAGTTGTGCAGCCATCACCACAATCAATTTTAGAATATATTTATTTATTTATTTATTTATTTTGAGACAGGGTCTCACTCTGTTGCACAGGCTGGAGTGCAGTGGCACGATCACAGCTCACTGTGGCCTCTACCTCCTGAGCTCAAGCCATCCTCCCACCTCAGCCTCTCAGGTAGCTGGGATATGCAAGCCACCACGCCCAGCTAATTTTTTAATTTGTTCTTATTTATTTATTTATTTTTTGTAGAGAGAGGATCTTGCTATGTTACCCAGGCTGGTCTCAAACTCCTGGGCTCAAGCGATCCTCCAGCCTCAGCCTCCCAAAGTGCTGGGATGACAGGTGTGAGCCACTAAGCCCGGCTTGGAACACCTTTATTACCCTGTACCTATTAGCAGTCACTTTCTGTTTTCCCCCAGTCCCCATCCTGAACCCCTATCCTGTGACAACCACCTGTCTCCTTCCTGTCTCTGTGGATTTGCCTATTCTGGACATTTACGTGGAATCCCATAAGATGTGGTCTTTGGTGATTTTAGCTTCTGCCACTTAACGTTCTCGTGGTTCATTCTTGTGGTTGCGTGTGTCAGCACTTCATTTCTTCTTGTAGCCCAATCATATTCCATCATATGATATATGCCACGTTTTATTGATTCATTCATCAGTTGCTGGGCATTGGAGTTGTTCCCACTCTTTGGCTGTTGCAAAGAAAGCTGCTGTGAACATCCATATGTACGTTTTGCGTGGATGTATATGTTTTCATTTCTCTTGGGTATATGCTGAGGAGTGGAATTGCTAGGTCCTGTGATAACCCTGTGTCTAACATTTTGAGGAACTGCTAGGCGCTGTTTTCCAAAGTGGCCGCCCCATTTTACATTCCCATCAGCAGTCTATGAGGGTTCCAATCCCCCAACTTCCTCACCAACATTTGTTATTACCTCTGTTCATGCTACCCAGCCTTGAGGGTGTGAAGGAAATCTCATTCTGGTTTTATCTTGCATTTCCCTGCTGGCCAATGATGTGGAGCATTTTTTCTTGTGTTTCTTGGCCATTCATATATCCACTTTGCAGAAATGTCTATTCAAAACCTTTGCCATTTTTGTTTTTTCTTTTTTGAGATAGAGTCTCACTCGGTTGCCCAGGTTGGAGTGCAGTGGCGTGATCATGGCTCACTGTAGCCTCTAATTCCTAGGCTCAAGGGATCCTCCCACCTCAGCCTCCCAAGCAGCTTGGAGGCACGGGCCACCATGCTCAGCTCATTTTTTATATTTTTTGTAGAGATGAGGTTTCGTCATGTTGCCCTGGCTAGTTGTGAACTCCTGCGCTCAAGCAATCTACTCCTCCTTTGTCAGTTTTTAATTGGGTTGTCTTTTTGAGTTGTAAGAATTCTTTATATATTCTGGATAAGTCTCTTATCAGATATATGATTTGCAACTATTTTCTCCCACTCTGTGGGTTGCCTTTTCATTTTCTCAGTGGTGTTCCTTGAAGGACAGAAGTTTTGGTTTTGATTAAGTCCAGTTTATGTATTTTTTCTTTTGTTACCTGTGCTTTTCGTGTCATTTCTAAGAAGGCTCTTCTAGTGCAAAGTCCCAAATATTATTTACTCCTCTGTTTTCTTCTAAGAAAGAAGTTTTAGCTTTTTTTTTTTTTTTTAGACAGTCTTGCTCTGTCACCCAGGCTGGAGTGCAATGGCACCATCTCAGCTCACTGCAAACTCCACCTCTTGGGTTCAAGCAATTCTCCTGCCTCAGCCTCCCGAGTAGCTGGGATTACAGGCGCCCACCACCACACCTGGCTAATTTTTTTATTTTTAGTAGAGACAGGGATTCACCATGTTGGTCAGGCTGGTCTCGAACTCCTGACCTCAGGTGATCCACCCGCTTCGGCCTCCCAAAGTGCTAGGATTACAGGCATGAGCCACCGCACCCAGCCTTTTAGCTCTTACCTAGAGCCAAGATGTTTCAGCAGACGACTAGGGTGGCTTGTCCTCGGCACCTAAGGAAGATGGTGGTGGCAGTGGGCAGTCTCTTGGGGGTCTCTGGGACCAGGGAAGGAAGGATCAGAGAATAGAAAGCCGGCCATGGGGAGGGGACTGGGCATCTTCTGTGCTGCTCTGGGAAGTGAGAGGCTACTGCCAACGGTAGAGATGCAGGAGGGACTCCCTGCGTGGGCCGTTCTTCCCTTCATTCATTCGTTCCTGCACCAACACTCAGTGAATGCCTGCCAGGTGTCAGGCACCTTGCTAGGCACTGGGATGGCAGAGATTACCAAAGAGACGCCCGGTGCCGACGGTGAGGAGCTCTGTCCAGTGTGGGGAGCCACCGCTGAGCAGGTAACTCTGCAGGAGGCTAGCTAAGGAGTCACATTGCAGGAGGCCCCCTCTCCTGTCCTGGGGGGATGTCAGGGGTGTGCATTAGGGCTTAAGGTTGAGTTGGGCTTCTGTGAGGAGGGGGTACCTGGATGGAGTCCTAAACATAGGAGGATGGGGAGAGATGGTGGCATTTCAGGCAGTGGGGAAATTGCCTTTTTAAATTCAGGCTGTACTTCCTTCTTATTATTGAAATCATACCCGCTCTCAGTGTAGAAGCCAGATACTTCCCAGCTCGAACTGTGGAAGGCGGCAGTTCTCCCGCGCCCGCACCCCAGGCTCCCTCTCCGCCCGGCGCTCTCTGAGCCATTTCTGTTCCCTGATGCATCCTTATCTCCTAGCCCTGTGCCTGCACTGCCATGTCAGGGTTTTTCTCTTCTTAGGCATTGCCTGTTGACATCCCATGAGGGAAGAGGAGGAATTGGGAACCCCCTTCCCTCTACCACAGCCATCCTCCCTACCCCAGCCTCCCAGGGTAGCTGAGTCATTGTGACGGAGCCAGGTCTGCTGTTGAGGATGCTTCCAGGGTGGAGCGCAGGGCAGGCAGGTGCCTAAAGCCTGCAGATCCTCCAGCTGGGTGTCGGGGGCATGTGGGGGAGTGGGGCTAAAGCCCAGGGAAGGGAGAGGCCACTGGAAGCTGGGGGTTCAGGGAGCAAGCAGAGGGGCTCAGGAGGGGGCCAAGGCAGGCAAAGGAGAGGAGAGCAGGTGGAGGCCCCGGGAGAGGGGACTTTCGAGGAGGTGAGCATGATCAGAGGCCCCTGGCTGTGGCCACCAGGGGCTGTGGGTGAGGTAACTTTGCAAGTACAGTGTCTTCTGTGGAGTGGCCCAGAGAAGCTGAATTGCAGGAGGTTGAAGGTTGAGTTGGGAGATGAGGCTGTGGGGCAGTGGATTTAAACCTGTCTTGGGAAATTTGGAAGATAGAAACTTGGAGCAATAAGGGGTCCAGGGAGGATTTCGTTAGGATTAGGAGATATGTGGTCATTGCAAGGGAATGAGGCCGAAGGCACAGTGCAAGGATCAGCTTCGTTGGGGTGTAGTAAAAGAAATAACTTTCTAACGGTAGAGCAGGCTTTCTTAGAATGTGGCAACATCCCATTGCTGGAGATATTTGAGCAAACAGAGATGGCTGCCTCTCAGGGGTGTTGCAACGGAGATTCCTGTGCAGGGTGGCGAGTTGACCCAGAAGAGGGACAGCAAATACTTGGGAAGCATGTGGGCATTGTCCTTTCCAGTGCCCCAGCAGGCATCATGAATGGAGGGTGGCTTCCCCTGTCCAGAGCTCCAGACAGCTTCCAGCGATCCATCCACGCTAGTGCCTGCAATGCAGCCGTCTGTCCTTCCTAGACCAGGATTCCATACCTCCTTCCCCTTCCATAAAATGGGCCCCGTTTTCCTGGCTGCAGGGAAGGCTTATGAGATCACGTATGTGAGGCTGAAGTTCCACACCAGTCGCCCTGAGAGCTTTGCCATCTACAAGCGCAGCCGCGCCGACGGCCCATGGGAGCCCTACCAGTTCTACAGCGCCTCCTGCCAGAAGACCTACGGCCGGCCCGAGGGCCAGTACCTGCGCCCCGGCGAGGACGAGCGCGTGGCCTTCTGCACCTCTGAGTTCAGCGACATCTCCCCGCTGAGTGGCGGCAACGTGGCCTTCTCCACCCTGGAGGGCCGGCCCAGCGCCTACAACTTCGAGGAGAGCCCTGGGCTGCAGGTCAGGGAGGAGCGGGGCTTCGGAGGTTGGGACGGGGTTGGGACTGGGTCACGGCAGTAGGAGGGTCTGATGTGCCAGGACACACAGGGTGGGGGACCTGCAAAACCCCATGGTTTTCTTTTTCTTCTTTTATTTTTGGAGACTGAGTCTTGCTCTGTCGCCCAGGCTGGAGTGCAGTGACGCGATTTCGGTTCACTGAAACCTCCGCCTCCTTGGTTCAAGCTATTCTGCCTCAGCCTGCCAAGTAACTGAGATTACAGGTGCCCGCCACGACTCCTGGCTGATTCTTTTTTGTATTTTTAGTAGAGACGGGGGTTTCGCCATGTTGGCCAGGCTGGTCTTGAACTCCTGACATTAAGCGATCCACCTGCCTCGGCCTCCCAAAGTGCTGGGATTACAGGCATGAGCCACTGCCCTTGGCCCCAAACCCCATGGTTTTCAAGCTTTCTGCCACAGAAGGCTTGTTGCACCCAAGTCTTCTGTGGATGCCGCTAATGAACCAGAAGGAAGACGGGCTACTCAGTGGACCAGAGCTGTCCCTTCCCTGGCCTCCTGGGGCAGAGCCCTGTGGCTCCCAGGAGCCTGTGAGGGCTGTCAACCCACCTGGCCCCTTCCTTATATGGGTGTGGAAGCTGAGGCCTGGAGGGAGACAGCATTTTCCAGGGGCACAAATGAGGCGTGGAAGGGCCCAGGCCAGCACCTGAGTGTCCAGACTCCTGGCTGGTGTTCTTTCCAGAACTCTCCGCTGAGGGGCCTCGCTTCCTCCTCCTGTGAATTAGTAACAGGGCCTGCCCATGTGTCTCCAAGGGCTCCTATGAAAATGGCAAAATGTGACAGGAACATGGGCTTTGGAGTCATAGAGCCCTGGGTCCCACGCTGTAAGTCCGTGCCAACCAGCAGCACTTTCTGTGATGACGGAAAGCGCCTCTAGCTGCATTGTCCCATGTGGTGCCACCAGCCACCATGAGATGTGGCCAGCGCAGTTGAGGAACTGGATTTCATATTTTATTATTAATATTTTATTATTAAATATTAATAAATTTAATAAAATAATAATTATTTTATTAACTTAGCCACATGTGGCCAGTGGCTGCCACGTTGGAGAGACTGCTGTGGGGTAGCGGGAACACACACACTGTGACCAGTGCGGTGCTTGGCACGTAGAGCGTGCCCACCCACACTCGGGAGATACGCGCGCATGACAGCTCCCCGTCCTTGTCCTCACGGTAGAGAGGACGGCTGGCCTGTCGCCATGTCAGTCCATTCAGGGCCCTCCAGTTCAGCCCACGTAGGTCCACCCAGGTGTGCGGACCTGCCGGGATCGGCACCTATCTGTGTCCACGTTGCTGTGTGTCCATAGCTGTTCATCTCCACACAAGTGTGTTGGGTGGCTCTCCAGTCCACAGGTCCCCAACCCCCGGCTGCAGACCGGTACTGGTCCATGGCCTGTTAGGAACCAAGTCACACAGCAGGAGATGAGCGCGGGCAGGTGAGCTTTCCTGCCTGAGCTCCGCCTCCTGTCAGATCAGCCTCCTGTCAGATCAGCCTCCTGTCAGATCAGCTGCGGCATCAGATTCTCCCAGGAGCAACTGGGTTGCGTGTCCTCCTGAGAATCTAGTGCCTGATGGTCTGAGGTGGAACAGTTTCATCCCAAACCACCGCCTACCCCGTTCGTGGAAAAATCGTCTTCCACGAAACCTCTTCCTGGTGCCGAAAAGGTTGGAGTACCGCTGCTCTAGTCCATTTCCCCGGGTTCAGACCCAAGACGTGTCCAAACCCAGGGAACCTGCCCTCTCCTCCCCTCCAGACTTTCAGAGCGTCTCCTTTGCCCATCTGGGATAATGAGGGAACCAGGGTTAGAATCCTGTTTCCAGAGGGGACACTGACACCCAAAAAGAAGTTGCGTTCTGTCAGCGATGTGCAGCATGAGAACACACGGAGCCGGCCGTGTCGGGGTCCCCAGGACCACCCTTGGGTTTAGTGGTTCGCTATAAGGACTCACGGAACTCAGAAAAGCTGTGAGGCTCAGAGCTGCAATTTTTTGCAATGAAAGGCTACCGGCTCACATCAGCCAGTGGAGAGGCGCCCGGCCAGGTCACAGAAGGGACCAACCAGGCTCTGAGCTTCCAGCTGTTCTCCCAATGCAGTGGAGTCACACGCACAGCACATATTTCCCCAGAGCCACATGTGACAGTGTGCGTAGAGTACTGCCAACTTTGAAGGCCAGAGTTTTTTAATAATTTTTTTTTCTTAAATAGAGACCTCGTCTCACTATGCTGCCCAAGCTGGTCTCTTACTCCTGGGCTCAAGCGATCCTCCCACCTCAGCCTCCCAAAGTGCTGGGCTTAAATGTGTGAGCCACCACACCTGGCCTGAAGTCCAGGGTTTTTACTGGAGGCTGGCAGTGTAGACACGGCTGACCACCTGTGTGGCTGACCTGTCTCCAGCCCCTCCAGAGGTGAAGCCGATTCTGTGTGGCCCGAGGCCCCCACCGCAAATCACATCATCCGCATAGACTACCTAGTGTGGCCCAAGGGAAGACCCTCTTATCAGGAGGGACATCCAAGGATATGGAGGTCACTCCCCTGGATCCAGGGCAAAGGGCCAGGCCCCTCTTTGGGCAAGCCGAATCCTTTATCACACAGTACCACATCTCTAGACGTCCAGGCCCTGCTTGTCCCACTAAAATTGTACATGTCACCATGATTTTATTTAAAAATTACAATTTCTTCTCCACGGGGCTCCAAAGCTCTGTAGATTAGAAAACGTCACCCGAGGTCAGATGAAGACAGGCAGGGAGGGCCGGCCCCCGCTCCCACCTGCGTCTGTGCAGCCACCACCGTGGGGACACCCTTGGCTGTTGGAGGTTTTCTGTCTTGTTGCCTCTTGTGTTCTGGACACTGTCCCTGATGGAGAGATGACCTTTTGAGAAATATCTCCCCTGCTGCTTCTGGACAGAAACCAAGAGCAGAGCAGGACAAAGAGAGGCAAGTCTACCTTGCTCTTTTCTCCTCATGCTCCCTCTGGACACATTTAGGGGGCAGGTGCTTTCTCAGAGGACACAGAGCTTGGAAGGAAGGATGTGGCTGCTGGGTCTTGGGTCCCTCTGACCCCCAAGGAAGGGCCTAGGACTTTGGAGGAGAAGGTCGACCTGGCTGTTGCAGAGTAAGACCGCCAGAGTTGAGGGGCCGCCTGAGCACCCCTTGGACATAGAGCCCAAGCTGTCCACCTCCTGCTTCTCCTTAATGCCATGGCCTGAGTCCTGGGATCCATCTAAAATCAACTCCAGCACCCACTCATAGCTTAAGCTGGAGTTCCAGTGCCTGGGTTCAGTGGGGATTGCCCTAAAATGACTTTTTTTTTTTTTTTTTGAGACAGTTTCGCTCTGTCGCCCAGGCTGGAGTGCAGTGGCACGATCTTGGCTCACCGCAACCTCTGCCTCCCAGGTTCAAGCAATTCTCTTGCCTCAGCCTCCCAAGTAGCTGGGATTGCAGGTGTGTGCCACCACACTGGCTAATTTTTGTATTTTTAGTAGAGATGGGGTTTTGCCATGTTGTCCAGGCTGGTCTTGAACTCCTGGTCTCAAGGGATCTGCCCGCCTTGGCCTCCCAAAGTGCTGGCATTACAAGTGTGAGCCATCACACCAGGCCCTAAAATGACTTTTAAGGCATCAAGACAGTCCCCCTGCAATTGAGGCTAAGGCTGCTCTCTCCCAGCATCCATCCTATGTCTCAGAGATTTTGACCCCATTCCTTTGTGGTCATTGTCCTTGCAGACTGATGGATCAGGTCACAGGCCAGGAAGCAGAGGTGGGAGACCTTGGGCAGGTCATTGCTGTCTCTGGGCCCCACTGGCATGATAAGGGCTTTGGGATAGACACAGGAAGGCAGACCAGCCTCGTGGTTAAAGCTGGGACCCTGGGATCAGATAGACCAGAATCCCAGCTCTGCCATGCACTGGCTGTGCAACTTGGAACAGAAGGGTTACCCTCTCTGAGCTTCAGTCTCCTCATCTTTAAATGGGGTTAATAACAATACCTACTTCAGGGTTACCGTGAGGCCCGAGCCCTAACCATACAATATGTGTCAGTAGCCGCCGCACCTCCTGGCTCTGGTATCCAGTTGGTTTGAGTTCTCCAGGTGGCACTTTTTTCTGGAGAAGGAATCGCCACAGCGCGTTCAGCTCTGGACTGCGGGACTTCCCCACCCCAGGCCTCAGCTCCTTGTCCAGTAGCCGGCCCAGCAGCATCAGTACCTGGGCACTTGTGAGAAACGCAAGCTCCCCAGCTCCACCGCTGACCCCTGAATCAGAAGCTGCACTTTAACCAGATCCCTGAATGCACGCTGAGCTTTGGGAAGTGCATCCTGGGGTGATCCAGGCCTGCAAACTCAAGCACAAGCTTAGCTTGGTGCAGAGGCTCCCACTTTAGTGTTTGGGTGCTGGACCCCTCTCCCTGGCCAAGGCATCCTCTGGCAGAGGCCCTGGGTCCCCGGCAGTAGCTCCGGTTGCCGAGCTCTCGGGGAGCAGGAGGGCCGTCGGCCTGAGTCACGCTGGGGCAAAAAGATGGCCTGCCAGGAGCTCATTTTCTGCACTGATGGGCCTGATTGCTAAAGCAGGGGCTCCTGGGCGGAATCAAAACGCTGATTAATATTCAGCTGGAGCTGCTGCTGCTGCTCACAGCAGGCAGGTGAAAATGTCAGTCTTCACGTGGGTTTTCCCCGACTTCCCCTCCACGCTCTTCCATGGGGAAGCTGCTCATTCAGGGATCAGCAGGTATTTATCGAGTGCCTGCTAGGGCCAGGCAGAGCCCAGGGCCAGGGAAACAGTGAGAACAAGGGGCCACAAGTCCCTGCTCTCGTGGAAGAGATGTCACCTGAGGCAGGTGACCTGTCCACAGGAGCCTGACCCTCAGCATGTGAGGAGCCAAGAAACCCGGGGCCAGCTGCATGCCAGGCCCCACTGAGCAGGGGAGAAGGTTGCGGGGGCACACCGTCCCCCAGCTGTATCCCTGGAATGAGGTGCAGGAGCTGCTGGGAAAAGCCAGGTGACCTGCACAACCGGGTCTTCAGTGGGCTGCTTTGACCCCTGCCCGCCCAAACCTCAGCTGCTTCCTGACCACGGGCCCGACCTCACAGCCAGCACTGATACTTGCTACCCTCCCCCAGACATGTTTGTAGGGGAGGTGCTATTTTTGTTCCAATTCACAGATGGGAAAATGGAGGCTCTAAGACACTGAATGCAGTTGCACTAATCAGTAGCCTAGCACCCAGGTTGGGGTGACCCCCAAAGCACAGCCTCCTTATTTCTGCAGTGTTCTCAGAATTGGCCTGAGCTCGGCCTGTTCCTGTGTCCCAGGAGCTCCCGGGGCAGCCAGCTGGATCTGCCAGCAGAGCGATGGGGGTAAATACTAAATACTCAGGAACCTGCTGATGGCACCCTCTCCCCTCTGCCCCAGGAGTGGGTCACCAGCACCGAACTCCTCATCTCTCTAGACCGGCTCAACACGTTTGGGGACGACATCTTCAAGGACCCCAAGGTGCTCCAGTCCTACTATTATGCCGTGTCCGACTTCTCTGTGGGCGGCAGGTAGGAGGGAGGAGGGAGGCAGGGTGGCAGGGCTCCAGGACCCAAACCCGAGAGCGGAAGGTGGCTGCTGTGGGGTGGGGGGTGGGGGGGCACAGAAGCCAGGTGTGCCCCAGGGGAGAGGGAGGGAGCACCTGCCATTCGAGGCCCTGGGGGTCCACACCCAGCCCACCTCCTGCCGGGTCCCCTGCATCAGCTGATTTGCCATGTGCCAGACACTGGGTCTTGGTTCCCATTGTCCCCTCAGCCTGGAGGTTCCTTCCTTCCTCCCTCCCTCCCTCCCTTCCTCCCTTCGCTCTCGCTCTCTTTCTCTCGCTCTCGCTCTCTCTCACTCGCTCTCTCTCTCTTGCTCTCTCTCGCTGTCTCTCTCTCTTGCTCTCTCTCGCTCTCTCTCTTGCTCTCTCTCGCTTGCTCTCTTTCTCACTCGCTTTCTCTCTCTCTCTCTCTCTCTCACTCTCTCTTGCTCTCTCGCTCTCACTCACTCTCTCTCACTCTCTCTCGCTCTCTCTCTCTCTGAAGGAGTTTCGCTCTTGTTGCCCAGGCTGGAGTGCAGTGGTGCAATCTCAGCTCACTGCAACCTCTGCCTCCCAGGTTCAAGGTATTCACCTGTCTCAGCCTCCCAAGTAGCTGGGATTACAGGCATGCGCCACCACGCCCGGCTAATTTTGTATTTTTAGTAGAGATGGGGTTTCTCCATGTTGGTCAGGCTGGTCTTGAACTCCCAGCCTCAGGTGATCTGCCCGCCTTGGCCTCCCAAAGTGCTGGGATTACAGGCATGAGCCACGGCCCCCTTCCCCTTTCTAGTATAGGGGTGTTACTGGCCTAGAGAAAGGCGCTTCTCTCTGGCCCGTGGTCCTGGTCCTGGTCCTGGTCCTGGTCCTATGCGCCATTAGCACCCATCAGTGCTGTGGGCAGTTTGTTTCTCCTCCAACATCTGTCCCCTCCAGGAAGCAGGGGCTGCCTAGGAGGTAGAGGCCCATCTCTCACCTCAAGTCCCAAGGCCTGTCTCGCACATGGCCACCTGGCAGTGGGTGCCCAGGGAGGGCTGTGGGACGAGGGAGGCATGAACAGCTTCCACGTCAGTGTTTCTCAGGTTTCTTTGAAAGGAGAGAGGAAAACAGGTGCGTTCCTGCCCCAGTCACCTGGGGATGGCAGACATTGATCAGATTGCTCCCCAGTGAACACATCAGCCCGCTCCAGGATGACAAGGAAGGAGAGGAAAGGGAGAGCGTGTGCCTGGGGTCGGGGAGGACAGGAGCTGGTGCTGCAGATGGGACCCAAGAGTGGGAAGGCTGGGGTTGAGGACTAGGGGACGGCCAACGTGGCTGGGTGGAGGGCAGGCGGGTGGGCGTGGAGAGGTTGGCAGAGTGTCAGGGCCTGGGCGGGTTTAGCCTCACCCAGAAGTCAAGAGGAAGCTGTGGAAGGATTTGGTCAGGGTAGTAACAGAGTCAGATTTTTAAAACACCCCCAAACCCCTGACAGCCAAGTGGGGCAGATAGGAGGAGAGAGGAAGTCGAATGTCAGGAATCGAGGCGGGAGGCGGCAGCTTGGACCAGAGGGCTGGGGTGTGGGGCGCGTGGGTCTGAACGCGACTGAGGATGGAAACGCAGCTCTGTGTGTGAACCATGGGCCATGGGAGTGGGGAGCGGGGATGACACTGGACTCTGGGCCTCCACAGTTCAGAGGCGCTTGGGTGGCATTAGAGAGATGGAGAAGGGGGCGGCATGAGGCTCAAATGCCTGCTTTGGGTGTGTGAGCTCCAGAGAAGGCCAAGGCTCGTCACTGAGAGCCCCTGTGGCCATGAGGATCCCCCTGCTCCAACCTGCCCCCTTATGTGAGTCGGTGGGAGGAGCTCCCCGGGGAAGGCGGCCATGAGCTCCAGTGCCTCCTGTCAGGGGGCTTCGGGCCAGAGGACATCTGGGTTCCAGCTGCCAGAGCCAGACCACCCTCAGACCACAGCTGGCTGGGGCAGGCTGCTCATGGCAGGGGACAGGTGGCCCCAACAGCCTGTGTTCACAGTGGAGCCCGTGGAGTCTCACTCTCCTTTCCTGGGTCAGTGGGCTTCACAGGGCTGGTGTTTACAGCACCCCCTCCAAGGCAGGGGCAGTCCCTTGTGACTTCCCTGGTGACCACTGTCCCCAGGATTGCCTGGCGCCTGCCTCACCCCAAGAAACCCTGGGGTGCTGCCTGCCTAAACTGGGCCTTGCGTGGAAGCCGTGCTACGTGCCCTACCACACAGTGTGTCCGCTATCAGCTAAAGCACCTGGAGCCGCAACAGCGGTTGGTGATTCGTCAACATCCACAGAGGGCAGAGCGTGGAACGTGGCTTAAGGGAGCCACTGAGTGGCCACAGAGGAGTGTCCAGGAGCTCAGGGTCCACGTGGAGTCGATGAGGACGGGCTTCAGCTCCAGCTCAGCCACTTAGCATCTGTGAGTTCCAAGGCCTGAGCCTGATGCCTCATGTGTGGAATGGGGACGCTAATGTCCCTCCCACCTCTGGTGAGGCTCTAGGGAGAAGCTATTGCCTTGGCCAGGGGCAGAAGCCATGGCCTCTGAGCAGCTCAGGACAGGGACAGTGGTCGGGACAGGGACAATCACTCACAGGGTCAGGCTCTGCCGAGCATGCCGCGGGCTCCCAGGGCACCCCTGTTCCTGCCTGATTCCACCTGTCTCTTGATCCTGTGTGTGGAATGGGGCCACAGGCCGGGGCTGCTCTCAAAGACCCCGTATTTGTCCATTCTTGTACTGCTGTAAACACCTGAGATGATTATTTATTTATTTATTTATTTATTTTTGAGACAGAGTTTTGCTCTCGTTGCCCAGGCTGGAGTGCAATGGCACGATCTCGGCTCACTGCAACCTCTGCCTCTTGGGTCCAAGCAATTCTCCTGCTTCAGCCTCCTGAGTAGCTGGGATTATAGGCATGCGCTGCCACACCTGGCTATTTTTGTATTTTTAGTAGAGACTGGGTTTCTCCATGTTGGTCAGGCTGGTCTCCAACTCCTGACCTCAGGTGATCCGCCCACCTTGGCCTCCCAAAGTGCTGGGATTACAGGTGTGAGCCACCATGCCCAGCTGATGGTAATTTATTAAAAGAGGTTTAATTGGCTCACAGTTCCACAGGCTGTACAGGAATCATGGTGCTGGCATCTGCTTGGCTTCTGGGGAGGCCTCAGGAAACTTACAATCATGGCGGAAAGTGAAGAGGGATCAGGCACATCACATGGCCAGAGCAGGAGCAAGAGAGCAGGGGATGGGGTGGGGCTGACGGGTGGGTGCCACACGCTTCTAAACAACCAGATCTCATGAGAACTCACTCTACAGTACCACGGGGGAGGGTGCTAAACCATTCAGGAGAATTCAACCTGATGATCCAATCAGCTCCCACCAGGCCCCACCTCCAACATTGGGGATTGCAGTTTGACACATTTGGTGGGGACACAGATCCAAACCATATCCGAAGTGGACTCATGGGGGATTTGGAGTGACTCAGGAGCTGTCCCTGTTTGGGGTACCTTCTTTCCTGCCCTTTCGGACACAGTTGAGGGATAGCTGCTGGAGGCGGTTCCCTTTGCCTTCCACACCTATTGCTGGTGTGACTGCTGGCCCACTCTCCACTTGGGAGACTAAGGTGACTTCTTCCTGGGTCCCTCTCAGCCCCCAGGTGGGGCTCCTCCCAGGCAGAAGCTTTCTGTGCCAGGCACTTGCTAGCTGGTGGCTTTGGGCAGCTTCTCTGTGCCTCTCAGTTCACCCATCCATTCTATGGGGGTGGTAACAGGCTGGTGAAGATGGAATGGGTTTGTTCCAGAGCTCACCAGTACAGTCAGTTCTCTGTTACTGCTGCCCCCAGGGCACATAGTAGGTGTTCAGTGAGGGCCAAGATTGAGGGTGGAGTCTGGCTCACACCTGCAAACAGGGGCTACCTGGTGACTAACTCCTTGTCTGCCCTGCCGGCACCTGCGGGTCCCCTTCCTCCTCTGTGTCTTTTCCCAGGTGCAAGTGCAACGGGCATGCCAGCGAGTGCGGCCCCGACGTGGCAGGCCAGTTGGCCTGCCGGTGCCAGCACAACACCACCGGCACAGACTGTGAGCGCTGCCTGCCCTTCTTCCAGGACCGCCCGTGGGCCCGGGGCACCGCCGAGGCTGCCCACGAGTGTCTGCGTGAGTGTCTGAGTGTCACAGGGCATCAGGGACCCGAGGCTGGTGTTGCAGGCGGGGAAAGGAACTCCCCAAAACGTCGTGGTGGGGGCTGCTCCTGGGTACGCCCCGGGGGCAGCTCGGGGTCTCTGTGCTGCTGCAGAGATAAGGACGAGCAGAAGGGGAGCCTGGGGAGGGGGTGCATTTAAGCCTCAGTCTCTCCTCCACTAAGTAGCTTCCCTGGACCAACTCTACCCATGCAGAGGCGCCTGTGGTGGGAGGGCCGGAAGGTCCCCGACTTGCTTCTTTGTGTTAACCGCTCCCACCCCAGCTGCTAATCGGAACCAGGCTACCCAACAAGCAAGGGGGTGCTGATGGCCCACCCAGCCTCTCCCACGGGCCCCCAGGCAGCCCTTTGGTGTCCCAGCCCCCATGTGATGTGGCTTTGACCACCTAACCTCAGAGAAGCGCTGGAGAGAGGATGATGCCATCATGTCTTCTCCAGGGACACAGGCCAAGAGCAGGGACCCACTGACTTCCCTTCTGGCTGGGGCACTGGCTGCAAGCCCCACCCTGTCCCCAGACAGCCTGGTTTCCTCCAGGCTCTCCATGCACAGCCGCCGTTGCTGGGGGCCAGATCCCAGCTGGTGCTGGTGCTGCTGGCAGGAGACACATCTTCACTCACAGGCTCGCTGGGCGGGCAGCTTGGCCTCTGGACCCCGCTGTCCTCTTGGGCCTGGGCCACTGGCGACCAGAACTGGGGCTGGGCCGGGGGCGGCTTGTTCTGAGGGTGGGGCACTGTCTGCAGGAGCTGCCCTCGCTGGCCTGCCTCCACCAGAGAGTCCTGGGGCCAAGGAAGCTGTGCTGGCTGGCTTCCACTGTCCCAGCCTGCTGCTGTCTCCATGGTGGGGACACAGAGGCCAGACTGCTTCTACCATGTCCTCAGCTCCATGGTCACGTCTGTCTCTCAGTCAGCAGCCTGGGAGCCAGGGTTTCAGGCTTGACCCTTCATCCCCACCCTCACCCGCAGCTGAGACAGCCCCGAGCCCTGAATTCCGCCTCATCCACATCGCTCCAGTCTGTCTAACTTCTGTCCATTGCAGCCGATGCCTTGGGCCTGGCCCTGCCTCCTCTCCCTGCACACCCGAAGCTTCCTCTTCCCTGCTCTCCCTGTTCCCAGCCCTCCCCTAACTGCAGCTAAGGCTCTTTTCTTGAAACACGGCCTCACTCTGTCACCCAGGCTGGAGTGCAGTGGCCCAATCATAGCTCACTGCAGCCTCGAATTCCTGGGTGCGTGTTCCTCCTACCTCAGCCACTAGAGTAGCTGAGACTACAGGCACATACATCACCATGCCAAGCAATGTTTTATAGAGCTCGGCTCTCACTGTTGCCCAGGCTGGTCTTTACACTCCTAGGCTCAAGCAGTCCTCCTACCTTACCTTCCAAAGTGCTGGGATCACAGGCGTGAGCCATGGCACTGGGCCAAGACTTTCTAAAGGACAAATTTAGTAACATCTATTCCCTGCTTAAACCTTCCCACGGCTCCCCCTTTGCTCCCAGCTAACGTCCACTGACCACGGCAGCCCAGCCTCCCTGGAGCAAGCTCTGCTAGCCTCTGACTTCACAACTGCCCCTGCACTGCAGGCCCCCCACTGCACAAAGTCCTTCCTTCCCTGCCATCACACGACATGCCGTCTGCAGCCAGCCTCATGGCACACCCGCACCAGGCCACGCGTCTGTCTCTGCATGTGGGGTATCCCCTGGGCTTTCGCCTCCTGTCTGCGACGCCCTTCCCGCCCCCTCTTCCTCTGCCTGGCCTATTCCTCACTGCTCAGCCTTCAGATTCAGCGCGGCCATGACTTCCTCTCGGAAGCCTTGTCCCACCACCCCAGCACAGCTGCAGGGGCCCCTTCTTTCGGCTCCCAAAGCCCCCAGCCTCTCCTGTCTCAGCCCTGCACCTGCAGGGGGTTTGCTTGCTTGCCGTCTGGGCTGTGGGCAGCACGAGGGCGGCAGGTGTAAATGGGTCCGCACCTTTCATGGATCCACCCCTGAGCTCACTCTGGGAGCCAAGACAGAGCCAGTCCTGCACACAGACTTTTAAAAATGATTTAATGGGGGAAATGAAAGGTGACTTGTGCTTTCTGTACCCCTGAGTGACCTCACACAATAGTGAGAGTCACACTATTATGGCTTGGAGGACCTCCAGGAGATTTTGGAGAGAGCCAAGCTGCCACTCCAGAAGGCAGCCAGCCTCTGATCGGTGCCCATCTATCTGGGTGTATATCCTTGTTGCCTGGGATGGTCTTCTTTCTGCCTGTTGTTTTGGTGTATTTACTAACAGTGTCCCCTTTGCTCTTAAGAGTGTCCTGTTTTGGAAAATCAATTGATCAATGTCTAGCCTTGATCAAGCTGGGCCTGAACTCCATTCTGGACCATGCTCTTGCCCTTCTCTTTGCACTGCCTGCTCATTTAGCACAGGGAGGCTGACTGACACAGATGCAGCCTCCTACCACATCACAGGGGACTCACACACCTTTCCCCACTCCTGCCCATAGCCTGCAACTGCAGTGGCCGCTCCGAGGAATGCACGTTTGATCGGGAGCTCTTCCGCAGCACAGGCCACGGCGGGCGCTGTCACCACTGCCGTGACCACACAGCTGGGCCACACTGTGAGCGCTGTCAGGAGAATTTCTATCACTGGGACCCGCGGATGCCATGCCAGCCCTGTGACTGCCAGTCGGCAGGTGAGTGGACTCCACATCCCCAGCCTCCGACCCTCTCCCTTTCCTGGCCTCAATTGCCCTGTGCCCTTCCTCTCCCAGGCTCCCTACACCTCCAGTGCGATGACACAGGCACCTGCGCCTGCAAGCCCACGGTGACTGGCTGGAAGTGTGACCGCTGTCTGCCCGGGTTCCACTCGCTCAGTGAGGGAGGCTGCAGGTGAGGGCGAGGGGCGGCCCAGTATGGACACATTGCACTGAATGACAAGAAGCAGGAGGAACAGGCTGTCAGCAGTCCCTCCCCTCCCCATCCCTTCCTGTCTGCAGCTACCTCGCCCTAATCCTGGTGAAGACTAGAGACACTCAGCTCCTGGAGAGGCCAAGAGACAAAAACAGACCTTAATGAGACCAGGCTGAGCCCTGTGGAAGCTCAGCGGATCTTGCAGGTGGAGGGCAGGCTTCCTGTAGGAGGTGCTGCATAAGTGCAGGGAGAGGGGAAGGACAGGTGTTTGAGGTGGGGTGGGGGGCACGGGAGGCCTCTGGAGGAGCCGTGGATCAGTGAGAAGCAGGAGTGGGTGAGGGGGAGGCTGCGTGGAGGCTACAGCAGGAACGCCTGGGCAGCCTGCATGGGGGTTTGACTGTGGAGAGGGAGAGCAGGGCAGATTCCAGAGCCCAGTGCAAGGAGGAGCTAATAGGACATGGTGACCAGGGGGTGGAAGAGGAAGAAGAGGTGGAGGCTGACCTTCGGGGTTCTCTGGGCCTCTGGATAGCAGGGCACGCAGTGTGGGGAGCGGGGTGGGAGAGGCTGAGTGTCATCTGGGTGCACCGAGTTTGGTACCTAGTGGGACAGCTGAGGGGAGAGAGGGACAGGGGCTCCTGGGGTCTGGACCTTACCCCAACACATTTGCCATCACTTGATTGAGAAAGTATACAATGGCCAAAAAACAAAAACAAAACAAAACAAAAACCTATGATAAATTTAGAAGCTTTTTTTTTTTTTTTTTGAGACAGATTCTTGTTTTGTCAACCAGGCTGGAATGCAGTGGTGCCATCTTGGCTCACTGCAACCTCCACCTCCCCGGTTCCAGCAATTCTCTGCCTCAGCCTTCTGAGTAGCTGGGATTACAAGCATGCACCACCATGCCCACTATCTCTATTTTTTTTTTTAAGATGGAGTCCTCCTCTGTCACCCAGGCTGAAGTGCAGTGGCGCGATCTCTACTCACTACAACCTCCGCCTCCCAGACTCAAGTGATCCTCTCATCTCAGCCTCCTGAGTAGCTGAGATTACAAATGTGCACCACCACACCCGGCTAATTTTTGTATTTTTTGGTAGAGATGGGGTTTTGCCATGTTGCCCAAGCTGGTCTCAAGCTCCTGGGCTCAAGTAATCCACCCTCCTCGGCTTCCCAAAGTGCTGATTACAGACGTGAGTCACCGCGCCTGGCCCAGAAGCACTTTTAAGTGAACTTGCTTTGGTTGATAACGGGCATCTTTGTATATTTGAGAGGCAGCAGAAACACATTGGGGATATCTAGGAGAGCTCTGATTCCTTGTAAAATATTTGGTGGTTCTGGGCATAAAACTGACCATGAGATGGGGCCTGGCTGCTTCCCTGGGGTCCCTCTGTCCTCTGGACCTTTGCAGGTGCCACACCTCCCACCCCTGCCCCCTCTCCCCAGCCTGTGGCTCACAGCCTCCTGCTCATTCTTCAGGTCTCAGCTGAGCAGCCCCGCTCTCGGGACACCTTCCCTCCCACCTGCCCCTCGCCTGCACACCCAGGCTGAGTCAGAGGCCCCACAGTGCAGGCACAGCCTCTCGTACATCTCCCACAACACGTATCGCGGTACAGGGTCTGCGTGATCTGTCTGTCTACACCAGACTGGGATTCACCAGGGAGGAACCATGTCTTATTAGATGAGTGGATGGATGGAGGGAGGGATGGAAAGATGCATGGATGGGTGAATGAATGGGTGGATAGGTGGCTGCTGGACAGAAAGAAGGAAGGATGAATAAGTGGATGGAGGAGTGAGGGGATAGACAGAAAGATTCATGGAGGCCGAGCACGGTGGCTCATGTATGTAATCCTGGCACTTTGGGAGGCCAAGGCAGGTGGATCACCTGAGGTCACGAGTTAAAGACCAGTCTAGCCAACATGGTGAAACCCTGTCTCTACTAAAAATACAAAAATTAGCTGGACATGGTGATGCATGCCTGTAGTCCTAACTACTCAGGAGGCTGAGACAGGAGAATCACTTGAACCCAGGAGGCAGAGGTTGCAGTGAGCCAAGATCATGACACTGCGCTCCAGCCTGGGTGGCAAAGTGTGACTCTGTCCCAAAAAAAAAGATTCATGGATGATGAGTGAGTGCGTGGATGACAGATGGAAGGATCCTGGATGGATGTGTGGTGGGTGGGAAGATGGACCACTGTACCAGTGATGGATGGGTCACTTCCTTGGCAAGATGGGAACAGTAAAGCCAGGTCAGTTACCTGCGTCAGCCTCACTCCTGATGTTGGCAGCAGGGAAAGCTCCCTTCCTAGGATGGGCTGTTGCCATTCTGAATTTGCTCATTGCACATTTTCCTCTTGTCCTGTCTCATTGGCAGACCCTGCACTTGCAATCCCGCTGGCAGCCTGGACACCTGTGACCCCCGCAGTGGGCGCTGCCCCTGCAAAGAGAATGTGGAAGGCAACCTATGTGACAGGTTTGTGAGCTAATCCAGCAGTAAGCTTGCTGGAAGTGACCTGGGGGCTCACTGATGAGGCACCAAAGCTGTGGAGTGCGGGGAGGAGCAAGGGGCACGGTCTTCATGGACTTGGGTGACCTTGTCACCCTGTGCCCTTCCTGGGGCACCATGTATCTGTCATACAGGAAGTTACTCAAAAGCTTTATGGCACTGTTTGTGCTTTGATTCAACACCACTGATCATTCATAAGCTGAGAAAATACATGTCTTAGCTTAGAATCCTGAAAAGAAAGAACTGGAATGATAGGAGAGACCATCTAATCCAGGGATAGTAAATAGATGGTGCTCGTACTACCACCTGCTGTGGCAGACATCGCTAATGGAGCACTATCACAGGCCTCCCGTTTCACACTCACTGCAGACATAGCTAATGGAGCACTATCACAGGCCTCCCGTTTCACACCCACAGCAGACATCACTCATGGAGTATTATCAACGCTCCCCTTTCACACCCATGACAGACACCACTAACGGAGCACTATCACAACCCTTTCACACCCACGGCAGACCTATCACAGCCCTCCCTTTTCACACTCAATAGACATTACTCATGCAGCACTGTCAATACACCCCTTTCACACCCACAGCAGACATCACTAATGGTATACCCATGGTACACATCACTAAGGGAGCACTATCACAGTCTTCCCCTTTCTTACCCACAGCAGATATCACTAATGGAGCACTATCACAACCCTCCCTTTTCACACTCACGGCCAACATCACTCATGGAGCATTGTCAATGCACCCCTTTCACACCCACAGCAGACATCACTAATGGTATAACCATGGCAAACATCACTAATGGAGAACTATCACAGCCTCCCCCTTTCATACCCACAGCAGGCATCACTAATGGAGCACTATCAACCCTTGCCTTTCACAGCCATGGCAGACATCACTAATGGTGCCATATCAAACTTTCCCTTTCATAGCCATGGCAGGCATCACTAATGAAGCACTACTACAACCCTTCTTTTTCACACCCATAGCAGACATCATTCATGGAGCACTGTCAACACACCCCTTTCACACCCACAACAGACATCACTAATGGCATACCCATGGCAGACATCACTAAGGGAGCACTATCACAACCCTCCCCTTTCATACCCACAGCAGACATCACTAATGGAGCACCATCAACTCTCCCCTTTCACACCATGGCAGACATCACTGATGGCATACCCATGGCAGACATCACTAAGGCAACACTATCACAACCCTCCCCTTTCACACCCACAACAGACATCACTAATGGGGCACAGCAGTCTTGGCCATGAGCCCTACTATAACCTCAGGATCCTTCTTAACACCCTGCTTCAGGAAGCCCCTACCCACTGAGCTGGATTTTGAGCCTGTTTGCCATCTTTGCAGTCTGATCATGGTACAAATGGGGCATCTGAAGCTCTGCAAGTCAAAGGGGCTCTCCCAAGGCCAGGAAGTACATAAACTTCCTCTTTCAAGTGTTCAAGAGGCCTCCAAGCTCCAGCAGTGCGGCCAGCAGACAAACATGGGTTTAGCTCCTTGGGTACACACTATCTCTTCTTCCTGGCTTTGTGTCTGACATTCACCAGAGCTGCTTGGAGAAGTGGCAGATTCTGGGGCTGGGGCTGGAAAAAGACAAGATAAGCCCAAGGCGTCTTACAGTGCCAGGAAGCAAGGAAATGCTGAAAAACAGAGACAGACACAAACAAAACAGCCCAAACCAGAACGTGGGCCCATGTCAAAAGGACACAGGAGCCGACGTGAAAGAGCTCTCAGGGCTGAAACAATTTGAGCAACAAAATAAACGATAGTATTGGATTATAACCCAGAGAATAAAGTCAAATCCACGAATCCATACTGATGTAAATAGATGATTGAATACATAAATAGATGGGCATGAAGAGACAAACCTTCCTTGCAGAAGAATTCCAAGTAATGAATGTAGAAATGAAGGAACTGGAAAACCACTGTTCAGACCTCACAGTGGTAATTGCTACAGGCAAGAGCTGCCGATGAATGCTGACATTGGTGGGCAGAACTTTAAGGAAAGAGAGGATATTTGCATAACCTCAAAATATCTATTAATTACTGGGGTGGCTTTAACATCTGTCCGTGGGTTCTTTGATACTCTTCCTCTAGGAGGTCGAGCTTAATCCCCCTCTTTTTGAGACTGGGCTGCATTTAGTGACTTGCTGCTTTTTTTTTTTTTTTTGAGACGGAGTTTCGCTCTTTTGCTCAGGCTGGAGTGAAGTGGTATGATCTCGGCTCACTGCAACCTCTGTCTCCCGGGTTCAAGCGATTCTCCTGCCTCAGCCTCCTAAGTAGCTAGGATTATAGGCACCCACCACCACGCCTGGCTAATTTTTGTATTTTTAGTAGAGATGGGGTTTCACCATGTTGGTCAGGCTGATCTCGAACTGAC
Organism: Homo sapiens; assembly: GCF_000001405.40. Lineage (NCBI taxonomy): Eukaryota > Metazoa > Chordata > Mammalia > Primates > Hominidae > Homo > Homo sapiens. Next base: position 131,044,187 of record NC_000009.12, read on the forward strand.
CTCAGGTGATCCACCCACCTCGGCCTCCCAAAGTGCGTGAGCCGGCCAGGCGCGGTGGCTCATGCCTGTAATCCCAGCACTTTGGGAGGCCGAGGTGGATGGATCACGAGGTCAGGAGTTCAAGACCAGCCTGGCCAACATAGTGAAACCCTGTCTCTACTAAAAATACAAAAATTAGCCGGGCATGGTGGCGCACACCTGTAGTCCCAGCTACTTGGGAGGCTGAGGCAGGACAATTGTTTGAACCCGGGAGACAGAGGTTACAGTGAGCTGAAATCGTGCCACTGCACTCCAGCTTGGGCAACAGAGCGAGACTTCGTCTCAAAAAAAAATTTAAAGTGCTTGAGCCACCGCGTCCGGCCTATTCAGTGACTTGCTTCTAATGACTGGACCGTGGTGATTGCACAGTGGAGAGACTGGTAGACAGCACAGGTGATGAAAGTCAGCATCGCTTGGATGTCATGTGGGTTTCCTGTGCCCCCATGTGATATGACGAGAAGGGTACTTCACCTCTGTGTATTTCTTTCCCAAGCCTATAACTCTGGTCTAATCATGAGAAACATCAGACATTCTAAAAATACCTGATCAGTGCTTTTCAAAAAGTGTCAAGATAGTGGCAGACAAGGAAAGACTGAGAAGCGGTGATAGGTTGGAGGAGAACAAGGATACCACTAAATGCAACACCGTGTCCTGGATGGGATCCTGCAGCAGAAACCAGACATTAGAG